>NC_000013.11:105002979-105627979 GCF_000001405.40 Homo sapiens
GTAAGGTATATTAATATGACTTTACATATGAGAACAATGAGGTACAGGATTACAGCTATTTAGGTTTTAAATCGGCAGAGGCAAAAAGAGTAGAATAGTCCTATTTTCTAAGCCCAGCAACTACAACACATTTCCAATAGAAGAATCATTACATTTATAACTGGGTGGTGTGGTGTGCTTATTGTGCTCTGTTTTTTTTCTCTCTTTGAATGAACTAGTCATTCTGACAGGTCAAAGAGTTGATCATGTCTAGCAATGACCTCTTGATTTATAGCAGTGACCCGCTTAAAAATTTCTTGTTCATCATACTCACAGGTCACAGATTTTCTGCCAGATGTCCATCCTGTGAGTAAATCATACAATTGCACAGATAAAAACATTAAGATGGTGTGAAAGCCACATTCACTTAAAGGGTGGGTGCAGATAAAACACTGATATTTCTGTAATTATTACTAAAAGAATATTCCATAATAAATTTAGGCTGGTCTGCAGTAGGTATATATTAAAGATGTAATTGCACTTTTCACAAGAGGTAGGATTTGCCATGGAAGACTCTGCCAGGATTTCTTTAGTCTGGATGTAAACCAAGAATCCGTCATATCCCTATAGGGTAATATTCACCTTATAAAACAAAATTTGTGTATTTACTTAATTATGCCATAAGATGTCCCTTCAAATTCATGGCCAAAGTTCAATTGAATGAAATGTCTTTGTGATGAGTGTACCTCTCGAGCTGAGTGAAAAAATTTACCAATTTTCCAATCATAAATGAATCAAAAATTGATTAAATGTACATTGACCTCATGCCACTGATCGTTAAGAAGGAGGCTGCAATAAAGCATTCCTAGATGTAATCAATAATTTTCTTCAACTATTATTTAGAGAAGAGAGCCATCAAGGCACAGTTTAATCAATAATGTGAAACACACTTTTTATATGTAGAAGAGGGACTGATCATTTTTATTGTGACTGATGCAGAACTAATGGGTGAGGTTAAAATATAAGGCAAAGGGCAAGAGTATTATGACTTTTTTCTTTGACGTTTTGAATAATAGGCATAATTGTGAGCTCCCATGTTAGTAATTAACTCCAGAAAACTGTTAATGAAAATTACTAGCACTAAGATTTTCTGGCCAAATAATAAATAAATAAATAATGCACACATAGAAACACACATATTACACACACACACGCACACACACACACACAAAATATGTCTCTAAATATGCAAAGTATTTCCTATGCTGGGATTTCTTACTTATTTATAGGTCTCATATATGACTGCATTGGTAAAAACCATGTAAAGTTAGGATTCAAAATGACATTGCCCTTTGGACACAATTTAAGCTCTCTCACTCACCGTCTTCTCTAGAGATAAATAATTGGCCAGGAGCAGTGGCTCATGCTTGTAATCCCAGCATTTTGGGAGGCCAAGGCGAGTGGATCACTTGAGCCCAGGATTTCAAGAATAAAACCTGAGCAACACAGGAGAACCCCTTAAAAAAAATAGCCAGATGTGATGGCACATGCACTTCCAGCTACTTGGGAGGCTGAGGCAGGAGGATCACTTGAGCCTAGCAGGTCTAGGCTGCAGTGAGCTGTGATTCTGACACTGAACTCCAGCCTGGGTGACAGAGCAAGACTGTCTCAAAAGAAAGAAACAAACAACAACCAAACAACTATTAATGTTATTTTCTTAAAACTTTCTCTCTACCAAGTTAGCTCCCCCAGATGCTATTTCAAGAGTAGATTCTGCTCTACTTAAAAGTAATGGCAGAAATAAAATTAATGTGGCATCAGAATTTAGAATTGATTAGATGGAACTCTTACTTTTTTACTCAAGTAAAGTTCCTAGGGAGCACTGCTACACAGCTGGACTCCAAATATTAGCAGGCAAAAGATGCATATATACTCCAAGGGGAATTTCCTAAGTTGTGCTAGTGAGGAAGGCAGGCTCCACTGGCTTTTCCAGAGAGTGAGTGAGAAGATAAAGTCTGAGACATATAGAAACCTCTACTTTTTCCTTCCCCACCCCATCCCTTCATTCATTCTCATTTCTTCTTGTTCTTATTGTCATTATTCTCCTAAGCAACAAAGGGCAAATTGATCTTACAGTCATCATTCTTCTTTTTTTTTTTTTTTTTTTTTTGAGACGGAGTCTAGCTCTGTCGCCCAGGCTGGAGTGCAGTGGCACGATCTTGGCTCACTGAAACCTCTGCCTCCCAGGTTCATGATCATGAGGTCAGGAGATCAAGACCATCCTGGCTAGCATGGTGAAATCCCGTCTCTACTAAAAATACAGTCATCATTCTTAGCAGAATACATCAATGAGAGGCAGAGAGTTTATTTTTTTACAATCATAAAGCTAGGGAGATTGAATTTCCAGACAAAGGTCTTGGTGAGAGGACTGGGAAATGGGGAATTAAGAAATCTGGAGACAGAATAGAGTCACCTAGAAATATAAAATCTTTCTGCCAGCCCAAAACTTCAGGAAATTCTTATATCTTATACAAAGTTCAGGTAGCATGTGTTGTCTTTAAGACAGGGGACCGTACTCTATCTCCAAAGTGTCATGGTGTTATTTAAATCACACATAGAATGTCCATGGAATCAGAAGTTTAGGCGAAGAGCCCACTGGGGAATAAGCAAACACCCGCCTCCTCTTAGAATCCTCTATTGCCTTCTGAATTACAAAGCAAATTTGGAACGACATGAATCAATCATAGCCCGTGGATGGGATTAGCACAGATTTCACTTGAGTTTCGAAGGATGAAGTAGATCAGCTAACATCAGAATTATATGTAGGAAAAGGTCACATTAGAGATTGGGTATATAAGAAAAATGTATGCAAAGATTAACGCATTTAATTTAGTTAAAACTTATGCAAAATTATTATCAGATGGGACTGTTCAGATACAGCTCCAATGGCATAAATGTTTTCACAATCTACAGCCAAATGATGGTGAATTTTATGGTATATAAATTCTCATCAGTTACTGAAATAATATCTGTTTGTTAATTTTGGGAGTGTTACTTTTAATGGGAACTAATGCAAAACTCTTTTTTTTACTAGATTTTTATTTTTATTTTTTAATTAATAAAACAATTCATATATATATATATTTTTTCCTCCTCCAAATTTTGTGATATTATGGCATTTGAGGTAGTGTTGTTATATTATTTTCATGCCAAAAGTTCAGTACTTAAGTTCTTATGTGTGAATTTGTGGTACAATTTTTCCCTTGCCAAATGTAAAATATATCATGGCCTATTTTTATTATAGTGTAACTTTCTTCATTTGTAAAATCATTTTCTCTCTCTCTTTCTCTCTCTCTCTCTCTCTCTCACACACACACACACACACACACTTCTATACTAAGCTCTAAAATATTAATCACTCTTCCTAAGAATGAATTTACACTAATTACCCCAGGTATATATGCTAATTCCTCCAGGTATAGATGCTGAAATATCCTGGAGGTCTGGGATGGGCGAGTCAGGTGGAATTGAAAGAATAACTTAGTTATTACCGTAGTAGGGAGTTGAAGAAATGAACACTCAGAGAGGTTGAGCCAGTTGCTTGGAGTCACATAATTAACAAGTAGCAGAATTTATATTTGACCCCAAAATGTAAACTTTTTACAAAAATATGCTTCTGACTATACAAACATGTTTAATTATCATTCAGAAACTCATACCCAGAAAGATTGTGTGAGTTTCATAAGGCCATACAACTCTTTACAAAATATGTGGACAGGCTCAAAATATATCATCAGACAAATTTCTGTTTTGATGGATGAATCATTTCTTCAAATAGAAAGAACCCTCAATATTCAGTGCCAAAGTGATATATGTATGCACATGTCCATGTGTGTTCAACATAAAACATCACCAGTCTATTCACCCCATTCTCAAGCTTGAAGAGTGAGAGGAGAGCACTGATGTCAACACATTGTTTCAATTCCATTATTAACATTAAAATCATATGTATACATATGTATTACTATATAATATACACAGTGTTATATAAAATAATATATATTTATATTCTATAAATTCATTTTATATACATACGTGTTTATAGGAGCCAAAAATAAGTTACATTTTATGGCATTCCTTAGACCCTGGTAATCAGCATTCTGTTCTCTAACTTTATGAGATCAAACCCAATATGTTTTAGTGGTATATTAGACTTGACATTCACCCCCCTTTCTGTGCACAGTTTGTTTGTTTCTGCCTACTCTCCTTATCCAACAGTGCACTCTAGGCACAGTGGAAACTGCCCTCTGTTTCAAACATTGACCAACAATGCCAAACAGCTCCTGCTGCTGGTATCTGTACTTGCTGTACTCACCGACCACGCTCCTTCCCTGCCCGCTGAACTCAACCGCATGGACACAGGGCTCATTTCCTCCCATTCTTCGAAGCTTTCCTTAAGTACTCCAGTATCACTCAGGGCCCCACCAGAGAAACAGAAACATAGGAGATTATATATAGAGATATAATGTGTATAGCTAGATAGATTGATTATATATATATTAAAAAATACACACACATTAATACATTAATTAATTAATTAATATTTTATGTATTAATATCATTACATTTATTTATTATTTTATTTATTAATATAATCACATTTATTGATTAATTTATATATTTATTATTTTGTTTAGTAATATTATTAATTTATTTATTATTATGTATTTACTTTTCCATTGGCAGTCAAACTATTAATCGGGGAGGCAATATTAGGGTGTTATAAGAAACTCCTGTGTTAATGTTGAATTCTTATGGGAGGCTGAAGAGGTGACTAGGTAACTAGAGACAGGTGTGATAAGTAAACTTCAACTTACAACCACTTGCTCCTTTTGAATTTTTAAACGGGTGATTTTTTTGTTGTTTTTTGTTTGCTTTTTTGATACATTATATTTGTACATATTTCTGGGGTACACGTGAAATTCTGTTCTATGCATAGAATGTGTAATTACATGCATAGAATGTATAAAAGGGTAAAGTCTTTGGATATAGGAGAACTCCTCTTAGATTATCAAAGTAATTTGGAAAAGACTTTCTAAAGTCAGGGTATTTCAGGTATCCATCATCCAACATGTATCATTTCTATGTGTTGCGTACATTTCAAGTCCTCTCTTCCAGGTATTTTGAAAACTACAATACATTGCAATACATTGTCATTACTATAGTCACTCTATACTGCCATTAAACATTATAACTGATTTCTTCTGTTGAACTGTCTGTATGTTGGTATCTAGTATATGTGTATATATACTGGATATGTGTGTGTGTGTGTGTGTGTGTGTGTATATATATATATATATAGAGAGAGAGAGAGAGAGAGAGAGAGACTTATTTTCAAAAAAATTGGAATATGAGATAGTGGGGCCTCTGAAATCCATATATAGATCAGGAAGGGCCAACCAGAACTCTTGGGTGTGAGCTGAATGCCACTCTACAGTTGTAATTTCTCGTTCAAAGAAGCCTTAGCTTCGCTCTTGAGATCTTTCAACTGATTGAATCTGAGCCACCCAGATTATCAAGGATAAACTCCCATGATTAAAGTAAACTGATTATAGACCTTAGTCAAATGTGCAGAACATCTTCGCAGCAACACCTAAATTAGCATTTGCGTGAATAACTGAAGCTATAGCCTAGCCAAGTGGACACATACAACTGGACATCACAGCCTCCTTCTCTGTGAAGCCTCTGCCAAGCATCCTGAATGAAACTGTACCAGCCGCTCCCCTGCTCCATGGCCGTCCTCACGCTGCTGCTGTGCTTCATCATTTCCACAGCTTAATCAACATTAGTCAGTTTTGTATCTCCTGGATACACCAGAACACTAGCCACATAGAGTGAATACTTAAAACATTGTTAGAATGAATAGACGAAAAGAAAACAAATATAGAAACCACAGTGTCAAGGGAAGAAAAGGGTAAAGACTTTGTATCTAAGAGAACTCCTTTTAGATTCTCAGGGTAATTTGGAAAATATTTCTCAATAATTTACTATAAACAATTTAAAACATATAGAACAGTCAAAAAAATAGGAAATAAACCTCTGTACCCCTTACCTGTAAATACGTGTGTGTGTGTGTGTGTGTGTGTGTGTGTATTAGGTTGGTGCAAAACTAATTGCAGTTTTTGCCATTATAAAAATTGCAAAAACTGCAATTTTAATAACATTATTTGCCAATTTAATGGCAAGAACTGCAGTTAATTTTGCACACACCTAATATCTATAACATTGAAAAATAAGTTTTAAACATAATTCTCTACTAATAATTAGCATGCATCTCCAAAGGACATTTGCCAAAAATGCCACATTACTATCATCTTACATTAAAAATGTATTAATTTTATACTATTTAATACCCATTATATATTCAATTTTTATCAATTATATTTTACAGCATATTTTGGAACTAGAAATTTTCTTCATAGCATTTTTTAAATCAATATTTTACCTGAATTCACCCATCACACTTTGTTCTTATAACTTGTTTACTCTTTTAATCCAGACCTGTAACACCCCCTACTTTTTTTATTATATTACTCTGAAGATCAAACCAGTTGTTGTATACTACATATCATGTTATGAATTTTTCTAAAACTATGATTTCATTACATTTATTCCTCTATTTTTATTTCACAATTTATTAAAAATTATTTCACAATTTTTAATAAATTGTAAAAAAATTTAGATTTTTGGAACAGATATTAAGTATTTTTTAATCCTTCATGTTATATCATATTAGTTGTTACGTAATCCCATAGTGCTTCACAGTTAGCAATATCCAATTTGAATGGGAATATTTTGACAGCTATTATAACTCCCATTTTATAAGCCAGTCTTTCATGGCTTTGAAAACATGTGTTAGGTACTTTGTGTCCAGACCTATGCTGCTACTTTTATTTAACGTGCACACTGATGACAATAGATTTTGAATTGTTTTCTGGAAAAAGAAGCATTTCATGTTTTTGAAATAGGAGGTTAGATTTGGCCTCAAGAAAGACAATGTGAATCACAAAACACTAAAGTGAAACTAATGTCTTCTACAGGCTCAATAATAGGGAGTACGATAGCTTGAATGTATCATGTGATAAACATGGAATATGGGCATTTAGAATAAATTTTATGTAAACATTTTTACAAAATACATTGTATCTATCTTATCAATAATCAGAAAAGAGATATGAGAATTTACAAAGCAAAACATGGGTAAGTTTTTAAAGTTTATTTCTAACATATTTTTAAGATATTATTTCTAACATCTTTTAAATGTCTTAGAACCACATGTTTATAACTATATCCTCAGTGTTTGTTTCCTGTGTATGTAGTTGTGGGTATGTGTGTATCTGTAAGTGAGAATAAAGTGTTCTTGGGTATTTAAGGTATCATAATTTTTCTTTTCAATAAGAAAACTTTGAGAATTTTGAAAGCTTTAATGAAAATATGGGTAGTCCACATTTAATTTAATTTTTTTTTTTTGGTAAATTTATCATTTAGATCTCAAACTCTGTTCTGCTTGTCAGAGGCCATTTTGCAAATCTAAAAGATCTGGTATCTGAAACCAGATCGCTTATTCTCCCTTTCTTCCAAGGTGTAGAGCCACCAGCTTCCCTGGCTTCTCTGTGTTCCTGGAAACTGTGGCATCTGTCTTACATGTGTGTGTTTGAGCACCTCGCGTAGCCTTGGTAATTTTGCATCCAAGTAGAATATCATCTCCCATCTTTATTAATCTATTCTTCTGTCCTTGAAGTAAGAAAAACGATCCCTTTGAAATCCATTAGGATTTGTAAGTATAGAATTACAAGCAGCAAATGAAAAGCCTTGGAAGCTTGGAAGTGTATATGTGTGTGATGTGTGCGCGTTGCCATTGTTGCAGTGCTAGTTTTGGTTATGGATGTGATTATTGTTACTGTTGTTCGATTTTCTAACCAACCTACCTAATAACGGAGATTTTATGGATGAAGCGGAAAAAACATAAAAATAATCTTTGTGGAGAGTGATGACAGAAGTATGGGAGGTTTTTGGGTAACAAAAGAAATTCCAACTTTTTTTCTGGCAGGAGTTGATAGAAGTAGGCTGCAGGATCAACACAGTATTTCAAGCACCTGGCGAGTTTTACTTGCTTTCCTTTCAAGCTGCAGTACAGCAACTGCAAGGTCTTCCTTGGATCTATCATAATGGTTTAAGCAGAGTAGATATTCAACAAATATTGGGTAACTAAATCTGGTGTTTGAGTGGATGTAAAACGATTTACAGTCTTGGCTGCCTCTGGTGTAATGGAATCTCAGACTTAATTTTTCTCCATTAAGAATCTTGCATTGGGGCTAGCTATAAGTCAATTGTGGGAGACAGGTCAAAATTCTGTGGTCAGCTTGAAACTTAAAGCTAATCCTCTGTTATCAAGATACGTTTCTACTGGGAAAATAACTAACATCTCTCAAAAACATACCGGAATTTTAATATTGAAAATACATTTAGAAATATTTGATATGCATTTATAAACGTATAAAATTAATCAATATTTATCTAAATAGTTCTTGAAGTTTGAGTACGTGGCCAAATTTGCATACATCTTTCCATTGTGATAGCATTTTTTTATTTATGTATAGATTTAATTTTCCAATTTTGCAATGAATGGCACTTATATTAACATGTTTAAATAAAATGCAGTAGAAAACCAAGTGAAAATATTTCAAATACCTTAAAAGCAGTAAGTCAGCATTTTGGCAAAGTGAAAAGATGGGACACAAATATTTTTCTAACATTTAAAAATTCATGTTTTCTCAAATTCCAAATGAGAAAAAATTACGTATTTCTGATTCTGTGAAATTGGAATTTGGGATAAAAGAATAACTTAATACATGTAATAGAAGCTTTCTAAGAAATTCTGAGATCAAGCCATATGTTCCTATAATGTATGCCAAATTTTGAATTGCATTAAGCTTCATAAATATATCTAACCAATTATTATATACATCTGAGATGTATTATATACATCTGAGATGATGTTCTTTCCCTTGAAGAACTTACCAATGGATGATCATGTCAAAAACTTTGCTATAGTATGATTTCCGTGCTTTCTAGAGAAACTAGTTGAAGCATTTTACTCATCAAAATCAAATACTGAGTGTTTTAGAGGAAACAGGGTTACATTCTGGAACTGACTGTCTAAAAGATGGAACCAGAAAGAGAAAAAGAGGGCTTAAATACTGGAGAGCTGAGGAAGTCTTCACTCGTCCCTTGGGACCACCGAATACAGCACTTACACTGAACAAATTATGTGAGGCCTCTCTTGAGAGACGCTATGGGCACTATTCAGCCAATGCTGACTTTTGCTAAAAAATCAGGCCATCCTAAGCAACATTGATTCTTCCATTAAATTAGTATTGAGTATTTATGTTCTGTCAGGACCTTGCATAATTTGATAAAACTCCAGATATCATACAAAAAAAAAATCAACTTCCAAAGCCTAGATACATCCCACCAGTACGAGTGCTCTGGAAGTCACCTGGTCCCACAGTTTTGAAACTTTCTTCTATTATTGGGAGACATTAGCTTGCAGTCAGCACCAACAAGTGGGATCTTGCACAGGGAACTGGAAGACTTTTCATACTTGTCAGCCACATAATCTCTTCCCCTTTCTAGAAGTTCTAGGCTTGGGGAAACTCCTTCTGCTTCTCAGGAAACAACAGCAGGAACTAGTGGGAACCCCAACAGAGAAAGATAAACCAAATAAACCAAAATGGCCCAGTTCAGCAATGGAATTACGGTCCACCAGAGTAGGCTAGGAACTGCATGTTGAATCTGAACAGGACAGCTGTCTGCTAACCTTAAAAATATAGCATGAATCCAGAGTGTTTTGAAATAGCAGACAAAATATCTAAGATAAAATTTTAAAAATCACCCATTAATGTCAGAACCAAAAAATCACAACTTGAATAAGAATATCATCCGCTATCACCAATACAGAGATAATTTGATATTAGAATTTTCTGTCAAAGATTTTAACGAAGTCATCCTAAAATGAGCAATTATAAATTATCGGGAAACAAGCACAAGACAGAAAATTTTACAAAAGAAATGAAACTTACATAAAAGAACCAAATGGTAATTATTGCACTTAAAAATATAATAACTGATAAAAAGAAAATGAAAACTGACTGCATGGGCCTAAAAGCTGAGTGGAGATGAGAGAATACAGTGAGTGAACTTGAGGACTTAAAGAAAGACAGATGCATAGAATAAACCTAGACGGAACAGCAGAGAGGACATATTCTGGGAAAATAAAATGAACAGAGGCTCAGGACTGTGTAGGACAATAACAAAAACATGCACCATTTGTATCATTATAATTCCAGAAGAAGAGGTAAATGAAAGTAGGGCTGATAGAGCATTTGAAGTAACGATGGCTGAAAACAAACCAAATTTAGTAAAAGAAAGAAATCTGCAGGATGGAGAAGCTGAGTGAACCACAAAGGAATAAAACTAAACAAATTCATGCCAAAGAAAGAATAACTAAGCTTTTGAAAACTAAAGACAAAGAAAAAAATCTTAAAAGCAGACAGAGAGAAATGGCAAACAACTGATAGATCATTCAAATGGCAGCACATTTCTTGTCAGAAACCATGGAGGCCAGCCAGAAACACAAAACATTTTTCAAATACTGAAACACACACACACACACACACACACACACACACACACACATTTCCTTCAGGAATGACATGACACGGAAATATAGACAGCCTCAGATAAAGAAAAGGTAATATAATATTTTGCTAGTAAACATATCTATAAATAATGGCTAAAGAAAAGTCTTTAAACAGAAAGGAAGTTATGTAAAACAAACAAACACAAACTCAGAGCCTTAAGAAGGAAGAAAAAACAATGGAAGTAGAAATGGGAGTACATTAAATAGACAATTCATCTCATGAGTTTTATAAATCAGACTTTATAGTACCATCTGAGGGTAAACTCAATGATATTTAAAAGTAGAGAAGGTAGAATGATCTAAATAGAAATCAGCTTACGTGGTAAAAAAAAAAAAAAGACTACCTATATGGGGGTCTTAAAATAAAAACAGCGCACACTGATCAGAAAAAAAGCAATCAAAAATCAATAAATGCACATTTCAAAGTTATCACCAGGAAGCCTTATTTCTAAAGTCTTATATTTGAGTATATATTGTTTATTTATTCTCCCCTTCAGGAAATATTTCTACTTATTTCAGAGACTCTTCATCCATTATTTAGTGATACGCATTAAAATTCTTCTTGTTGCTAAATCAGTATCTACTTTTCAAAATAACTGATATATTCGGGAGACTATTTGGAAAATTTGAGGATGAACTGAATATTAAATAAAATTAGGGTATTATTGTTAACTTTGTAATCTATGTTTATTATGAGAATTAAAGAATAGACAAACTGGCTTACTTGTAGATGAGGGGGCCTGATAATTTTAGTTTATTTTCACATAGTTATATTTACACACACCATATATATATATATATATATATACACACACATGCAAATATGGCACAAATGTTAACAACTATTAGATTTAGCGGTGAGCACCCAAATACTCAATATATTATTATTCAAACTCTTCTGCATGTTTGAATTTTTTCTTAGAGAATAAAACTAAGGAGAAAAAAACACAGAAGTGCTTTCTTAAATTATAAGCAAAATGATTCATAATGCTATCCTAGTCAATCAGAAAAATAATTCTATCTTAGTATACTGTTTAAGTTGATCTTATTCTTGTAAAATGTCAATTTTGTTTGTGTCTTATAGTATACATAGTATATTAACATAGTACTTCTAGATAAGTAGTACTTATATGACTATATATGATCCCAATTACTAGAAATGGTTTGATTTTGTTTTATAGATTTATAATTTATTATTTCTTTTGGCTTGAAATAATTTATTTTCCAAAGAAACTGGTTTCTGTGATGCTTTTATCTCAGGTTTCCTTAAAACATTTTAGCAATAAATAATTTCAGAAACTATTCTAGGTAAAGAAGGGCAAAGTGTGACCTACTCTCACCAATATAAAAGGTTGTGACTTACAGAATGAAAATATAAAGAAAACCTGAGTAATATGTGTTCAAACTCTTAACAGTGAAACTGTTCCAAAGGCTAGCAGGGCTGTAATTTATCCAGATTTTGTTTTGTATGGGGATTAATTTGACTTTAGTGTGGTTGGGGAAAATGATGTTAGTTACAAGAAAAATAGTAGATCTAAATTTAAGAGGAAATGGGCCCCTGTAGAATTGCTGAAGATTTTCTTTTCAGGAACTCAAAGAGGTGACATTTTCCTTGAAGCAATTTCATGAAGTGCATTGGTGATTTAAGGTGTTAATTAATAGACATATTCTGAAGCACGGTTATATATATAAAAAGTGATAGAGTAATTGACCTTAAGAAATCACTTAATTTTCAAATGCAATGCCATGTTTGGAAAGTGTAGCCATTTCTGGGCTCAGTGCACATGGGGATGAGGTTTTTCAGCCTCCCAGGATCAATAGTGCATTACGGGGAAATAAAAGAGTGGAAACTCAGGTGCAAGAGGGAAGCCTGTTCCTTCAGGTGGAGAGCCTGAGCAGGTTTCAATAGCCGCCTAGGAACACTTTCTCAAGCCTCTCCATGGCACTGTCTCATATTGATTGAACTCCAACCACTTCACTTCTCTCTAAACCCTCCACAATAATCAGGTATAGGGAAACCACACTATTGGAGGAAGGAGAAAAATAAAATGAAAACTTGAGTTAAACCACCATAATCCATTCTTAATCACTACTTCTAAAATTGGGCTGAAAATGCATGAGAACGTGCACTGAAAGCTATCTGCAAGTCAAAAGACACTGTTTTTTTTTTTTTTTTCTTTTTAATTTTGTGCTGACACCTGAACCCTCTGGAATTGAATGCCTGATACAGTATACAAAAGTAAATTCATTCGGGCGGCAGTCACAGATGCACCTTGCATTTTACCAGTAAACTTTCCTTAAAATTAACCATTAAAACCTCTAGTGAAGTTAGATATGGCTATGTTAAGAACAGTTCCCAAGGATTTACAAGGGTTCCTAATTCCACTGCAAGCATCTAAGTAAAGGAATGCTTGGTGATGTCTTTTAATCATGGACTTTCAGGCACAGAAAAATTCTTCTTTCTCAGAGACGTGGAGACTGAGGCATCCACCACCTTCAGATTTTCATTCCACAAATCTGGAAGTATTTCAAGTATAAAAATGGCTTTGTCTAGTTTTATAGTTTTACTTCCCATAAAATAGTTGATGCTCTTTAAAAATGGAGGAAGAGTGATATAACATAGAAAGTGAAGTACCATCTTTTCCTAAAAATTAGCTCAATTTAACTAAAGTACCTTCCTTCTTTCAAGACAGTTGGCTGGTGTTCTAACCCCGATTTAGAACTGCTTACTCAACTGAACGACAATGTGCATGTCAGCTTCCTCGAGGTAAGTGAACTTTGTCTTCCCCTCATTTGAGTAAAGCAGACGGTGCCTTCCTTGTTTTGAAATAGAATAGCACTGGGCATTCCTTCTTTGCCCATTAGAGTCTTGGAAACAGGCACATAATTCTGATTTAGTTTAAGGATTTCACAAACAGTGGTGAAATCAGAGTTTATTGTAACTGGGTGTAACTACCCTATTTAAAATGTCAAACTTCTATTTCAGAATTATTATGCACAGTGGCAACGTATTAATATTGACTTTGTTAGCTCATGGATTGCTCCGCACAGTGACTTATATAAAAAATTGATTCTGCCCCTGCCTGCATGTTTCCACCTTGCAGCATGTGATCTGTAGCCAATCACATAGAACAATCTTGGTCTCTGAAGCTCAGTCTTTTCATTCTCCTGGAAACACATTTTAAAAACCGGTGCATTTTGCAAGATGAGGAAGGATCAGATGTCAGCACTTTAAGTAGCCTAAGAAAGTTCACCACGCATAGGGATAAATCTCAGGTTCATTTGATTAAATAAATGACTGCTTAATGAATAGACACTTGGTTAACAAGTGATTTCATCTTTTGGAATGCGCTTAGGAAGAAAAGGCAATGACTAAAAAGGAAAAGAAAAGTAGATGAAAAATTGAGCCATGTGCATTAAAAACAATTACGGTACTCGCAGTTTCATGGCCAGATCCATAGGAGTATTTTCCCTCCAGCTTTCATAATAAAATTAACATGATCACTTTGACCTGAGGTACTTTAGAAGAGAACAGTAAGTGTGTAAGTGCTTGAATCCTTAATGGTGTCAATTTTGATCAACTGCAAGCAGGCAGTGGCCAGTTACAGTGACATTGAGGGAAAGCCCTGTTTAAACACACCAAAGTCACATATTGAGGTCATAGAACCTTAAAGAAAGGTGGTTTTAATAAAGAATTCTTTTTATACTGGATGCATTTGTTTCGATTTATATTCTGTAGACTCTGATGACAACTCAATAATGATTGCTCCAGACCCCTGTATTAATAAGATTTAATATAGTAAAGTTTCCAGAAATGTGTTTTTTGAAATATTATGCATCAGGAAATATTCCTCTGAAGCTGAATCTCATCAACAGATTTTATGAGTTTGAATTCAAAGAATTATATATAGTTTCCACAGGAAAAATGACCCCAAAGCAAGCAAATTAGTTAACTAGTTCTTTTGCATGACATATACGTATGCTAGAATGCAATCCGTCTTCTATGAACCTTTTGAAGTTCACTTTTTTAGAGTTAAGAGTAGAACAGAATCCATTCTGTTTGCAGATGTATTGCATTGTAATTGCCAGAGGTCCTGGGCCAAAATATTAGTTCTTTAAAAACACACTGCAGATTTTAAAATTTTAAATGAGTCTCTTAGATCACTCAAAGAAGTGAAAAATCATGTTGGGAATACAAAGAATTCAGTATGTATGCAGTAACTTAATTTAACAATGGGGATAAATGCACCGTATATTAAAATTGTTTTAGGATGTTTTCTTCAGTATGGCTTGACGTTAATATAATTATTTTTGAGCAAAAAAGAACCTTTGAAGTAGGCATTTTTGAAAAAAAAATCTTACTTGATTTATGTAGTTATTTCTCTTATCCTGAGGTGGTTTATTACTGCTATATATTAATCTCAATGTTCTTTTCTAAATTTAAAAGAATTCATCTTATGTTATCAATTTTTAAATTTTTAAAAATGGTTAACAGGACTAAAAACAAATCCTTTTTACATGATGATTTAAAAATAGAAACTCTTTATAAATTCCTGAAATGATTATATATAAATCTGATATATGGAAACATCAATATACTTCAAACATATCTGGATTGATGTATGCGTGCAAAAGTTACAGTATTGCAATAGCACTAGCATCTTTTCTCATTTTTCTAAATGGCATTTCTGCATGCAAATTAACAAGAACACATTAACTAAAAACAAAAATCAAACTCAAATATTTCATTCCACCTTTTAAAAGATATTTTAATCTTTCTCATCGTAACTAAATTAGGATTTGCTATGGGTGTAGAGCCCTCTGAGTGACAATACAGCACTGCTTCAGGCAACTCTGAAGTTTGTTCACTTAATATTCATATCTCAAGATTTCTTTCTTTCCTTTTCTTTTTGGTAGAACTATATATATCATCTTATTTTGCTTATTTTGTTTTTTATTTTTAATTTTAGCTTTTTTTTTTTTTTTTTTTTTTTGAGGCGGAGTCTTGCTGTCTCCCAGGCTGGAGGGCAGTGGCACGATCTCTGCTCACTGCAAGCTCCGCCCCCCTAGTTCACGCCATTCTCCTGCCTCAGCCTACGGAGTAGCTGGGACTACAGGCGCCCGCCACCACGCCCGGCTAAATTTTTTTTTGTATTTTTAGTAGAGACGGGGTTTCACCATGTTCGCCAGGATGGTCTGGATCTCCTGACCTCGTGATCCGCCTGCCTCGGCCTCCCAAAGTGCTGGGTTTACAGGCGTGAGCCGCCGCGCCTGGCTTAATTTCAGCTTTTATTTTTAGATACAGGGGGTACATGTGTAGGACTGTTACGTGGGTATATTGGACCTAGACAGTGAGCACATTATCATTTTTGGTCAGCCTTCGTTTATAACGATGCTTGAAAGATATATTGGATTGAATGTAATTCTAGATAACATGTCCAAAAATTGTCAAGTTAATCGAAGCATCCATATAATCCCATCTTTAATATTATGCAACTCTAAATAATTTGACTACACCCTTTTCCAAATTCCGATCAATTTGACGGAGTCATCAAAATTGACATTGCTAAAAACAAACGAACAATATCTCAGCGAATAATAAACACATGAAATTAAATCAATAATAACAGTTGAAAATATGTACAATAAAATACGTACAATAAAATACTTTTGTAGAATTTGAAACCATTTTTTAAATAAATGTTTGTTTTATTGACTTCAAAAAATAAAATCCTTGAAACTATAGGATTCTTCTGTAACAACAATAAAATTATTTCCAAAAGAACTTACAGTTGTCATCATGATATCATACTAACGGATTGTTGCCATATTAATATTTTCTCCCTTTTAAATTCCTTTGGTTTATCTAAGAACATAGGGAATTGCATGTCATTATAATAGAGATGTATTTCAAAAGATATTTTGTTTTGTCAAGGAAAAATGCTGCATAGCAGCACCAATAGTAGCAGTATAACTTCCAACCCAGATTCCTCTAAGGAAATGCTTCTGAAAAAGCTTGATTCATATTGATGTACTACCATGTTAGAAGCAGAATTTTCCAACAGAAAAAAATGTCTTTTACGGCTTGTAGTTAGTCAAATGGTCTAACACTTCCTGACCAACTACTTAAGAATCAGAAGTGTGGGAATTCTTTATTATAGATCCCTTTATTGTGGAAATATTGAAGTTAAAACTCTTGCACTTCTACATCCTCTCAAGCACTGCAGTGTGTGTGTGTGTGTGCGCGCGCGCACGTGCGCGCACGCGCGTAAAATCCCTAGTGGCTTTTTAATGGCCTTCCCTTTGAGCTTTCTCCCCATCATCTCATCCATCAAATATTCTTGGTAGATCTTCTACCAGAATCACAGTTTTGATCATGTTACTCCTGCTCAAAAATCTTTCAACATAGTTGTATGTTCATGCCATTCTAGGCAGTATTTATGGGCTAAATATTTGACTTTGTCATTATATTATTGCATGCATCATTTTGATTTTATTCTCTATCCTTTATATACATGTCACCTCCTTTTTAATACATACTACCATGCCATGCACCTCCAACAAAGTTATGAGTTACCTATGGGCAGAGACTGTGCATACAAATACACTCCACTTTTACAATGCAAGAATCACACACTTGTATACGCACTCCTGCTGAGTAAGTGCTACAATATATGAATTTTTAATTGACTTGTCTAACATAATCAAGAAGCACTGTATTTACTGTGCTTGTATCTTTATGCTGGAGTTTTAAGTATTTGTTTTTAAACTGTATTAAAACTGATATCGAAAATATTATGAAATTGGACTGGTGGAACCCTATGCCTTCTGGAGTCTGATGATTCTAAACTTTGAAAATATGTGCCCTTCATAAAAGGAAAATATTCACCCCATTACCATCACTACCCTATTATAGCTTAAATATACATTATGGACCCGTATAGAGTATATGGCCCTGGACAACTTAAGAAATTGAGGGTGTACTATGTAAAGTAATTATCATTTGTAAAATATCTCTGAAAAGGAATATTTTGACTTTGTACCTCTTAAATATTTTCATTAGTTTTCTTTTAAAATAATTTAGAGTCACAGAAGAACTAAACTGATAGTATACAGTTTCCATAAATTTTTCATCCAGCTTTTGCTAATAGTAACATTTTTTTCCTGGAAAATGGCATTTAATTTCCATAATCTTGGCATCAAAATTGCTCTTTACACTTGTTTTGTTGGTATTTTTTAGTTTTTCAGTTGGCTACGTTAGGAAATACATACTGATTGTCTTCCATTATAAAGACAGAGGTTATTTACCTACTGATGGAATAAAACGATAATGCTTCTCAAGAATTGTTTTCAAAATTTTCTATCATGTATCTAACTCTATTCTTTATTTTGTGTAGCAATGTGGGGCCAGTGGTACATGTTAACCAACCCCATAAAGATGTTGTCCCTAATATCCAGATTGTGAGAAACTCTAAAGGCAAATCTCTTGATTTCTTCAACAAATAAGAGAGAGAAGTTACAATCTATAGATTAAAAACTTAATAAACATATCAATCAATTGCAATGTATGGACTTTGGTTTTTTATCCTGATTTAAAGAAACTAAAAAATACATGACACACGGGACTTCTGCTTCAGGAAAGATAGAGTAGATGTATTTTTCCTACTCCTCCCACTAAGTACAAACAAAACAAGTATGTGCTCGTGTGTGTGTGTGTGTGTGTGTGTGTGTGTGTGTGTGTGTGTGTGTGTGTGGTGGGAAGACTATGAAAGATTGACAGAAGAAGGCAGACCAGCTAAGGAACTCCAGACTTGATGAACAACATGATAATGAGTTTGCTGGGTTTTCTTATGGCCTCATATATTCTAGACTTAGTGTTGAAAAAGCCAGCAACCTAGAAATGCCATTGGGTGCACACAAAGATATTTCCAACAAAAGCCTGCTCTCTCTAGCCAAAGGACCAGAAAAATGGGTAACCTAATAAAGCAGAGAACTCTCAGAACATATTTGATCTATTGCATCCAAACACAACAGAAAATAATTTTACATCTTTATCCTTACCCATACCAGCAAAAGCTAAGTGGGTATACTAGCCTTTGAAAGTGAAGCAGTATAAGGTATCCCAACATCTCCACCAGAGTGGCATAAGGAAGACCAAAGAGGAAATGGGCAATTTCATTCTTGGGGCTATTTACCAGGACCTTCACCCAATGGTATCAATGAAATCCAAGTGAGGAACCTATACTCCTATCCCACCTGGCATTGATAATGCACCACCCCTTATCATATTGGGGTAGTGTCATTGGAGGCCTAGTGGAAAATCAAAACTTTCATCATTGCCCAGTAGTAACGAGGTAACTTCTACTATGATGTCATCCACACATCTCCACTTCCCATCCTGTGCAGTGATAATAAGGAGAACCACACAATTAAAGTCAATGGGAAAGATGGATTTCTATCTTCACCTGCAAATAACTAGTCCCAAAACGTAATATAATATCCATTTTTTTCCAAGGAAAAATCACTTCTTACATGAAGCATCAGAAAGCTCTGAAACTGAATGAAAAAGACTATAAATGAATGTCAATATCAAGATGACAGAGATGTTGAAACCATATGACAAAGTTTTTAAAGCAGCAATGTTAGAAAAGTTGCAATAAGAACTTAAGAACAGACCTGAAAAAAAAATAAATAAATAAAACTCAAAAACCAAAAAGCCTCAGGGAGAATATAGGAAATTTCGGCAAAGAAATGGAAGGCATAAAAAAGAATCAAATACAACTTTTACAACTTTTGGAGTCAATGGTACTCCTGAAGGAAGAGAGATTTTGAGAAAACAAAAGAGGTGTGATGACTTGGAAGTATGTCTATATAAAGGTAACAGAGAAAACAATACAATAAAAAGCATTATATTTGACACATAAGTATTTAATATGTGATCTAGAGAAATAGAATTTTAAGGAAAAATCCAAGGGGAGATATTTGAAAAATAGTATCTAAATTAGTCAAAGTGCAACGTGGCTGAAACCAATATGGTCTACCTAATTTTTCCAACATTAACATTACCAACGAATAAGAAATGCTGGCTTACTAATAGGGTAAGATTTTATGTAATATGCTGCTCAGAGCTCTGGTAGTCAGAATTCTAAAGCTGTACTCTGCAACTCCCATCTCCTAGGATTCAATCAAACACAATCTAGGTACTTCTGTGAAGGGGCTTTGCTGATGTAATTAAGGTTACTAATCAGATGACCTTAAAATAAAGAGTTTATCCTGGATTATCCACATGGTCCCAGTATATTTGCATGACAATCTAGCAATATATAGCCTTTAAAAACCAAGAGATTTCTCCAGCTAGATTCAGAGAAATGTGGAAAACAGGAAGTCAGAACATAGATGAGGCAGCGGAAGAACTCATAGAGATCTGATGTGTGCTCAAGCTTCAGGAAATTGTTGTGGGCTTGCAGATAGAGTAAGGGGGCCATGCATTGAGGAAAATGGGCAGCCTCTAGAAGCTGAGAACAACCCCTGGCCACAACCAACAACCTCAGTCCCACAGTTGCACAAAACTGAAATCTTCCAACAACCTGAATAATCTTTGAAGCTGATTCTCCTTTGTAGGCTCCAGAAAAAAATGCAGCCTTAATGACACCTGGATATTATATTTCCTTTAGGCTTTTGAAACCAAAGCCACCATGCGCTTAGTCTTTTGACCTATGGAACTCTGAGAAGTAAATGGGTGTTGTTGTTTATCTGCAACAAACATAAGCAAGATAGATGTTAAAATCTGCGTGCAAGGTTGACACATACAATTCATGGTCTCAGTCACTGAATCACACTAATACACTGACACAACGATGATGGTTTCCAGAGGTGTGAATATGGCAGAGTAGACTTCTTGTAGTAGACTTTCCTTAACAATTCACTGATAGCCATGCAATCCTGAGTAGCAACCTGGAGCAAGATCTATGGGAACCAACTGGGGTCATTAGTTTCAGTCCTTTTCCTCCAGTGTGCCAAACATTTGATTTATCACTAGCCAAATCATGATCCTGTGTAAAAGGTCTCAACTTTGATAATTGCCATCATAAATTGATACGGAATAGTGAGAGCTTTAAACAAAATAAAACAAAACAACATTGTACTATTATCTACATCTTTCTTGTGGTTCTTTAGACCTAAATATATATTGGGCACATACTGTTTTCAAGTGCCTTACAAACTATTATTTAATTTGTATAAGCCTTGCCTAACAAGAAAAAATATAAGGTACATTTTTAACAAAAAATTATAAGGTTTTTGAAACATATTTTCATGTTACTGTAACTAGAAAATCTAATTTTCTAGCATGAAGCATTTTTAAGCTTTGTCTTCCTTGTCTTCTTGTTATCAATAAAGGTTAGGTAATTAAGTCAAATAGCAATATCAACATCACTTGTGTAAATTTAGACAGAGTCTAAGGTAATATGGTGGTCAGTGTCTATTTCCTTTGTTGTATTTATCCTTTCAATTTCAACATGTGCTTTTCTAATTGTGAGGGGAAAACTAAATTTCTATCTTAGAGCTTAGAAATTAATTGAGATTTTAGGAAGTTAAACTTGCTGTGATTTTTTGCCTGTTTTGTGTATATATATATATAAAATATATATATATATAAAATATATATATATAAAATATATATAAAATATATATATAAAATATATATAATATATATATAAAATATATATAAAATATATATATAAAATATATATGCCTAAATATATATCAGTTTACCTACATATTATAAAGAAATATATTTATAAATGAATTATTTCCTTTACATTAAGATTTATGTTACAAATTAGACAATGGTGACAAAAATGATGTGATAAATATAAATTAGTTTTTCTTATGCTGAAAGATCTTTATAAATGAATCCATGTTTACTATGATTAACACTGAACAACAAAAAAGTCTAATGAAGCAGTAACTCATATAAAGGAATAATTTCAAAAATACGATCATAGAGCATATTTAGATGCTCTTTAATATGACATATTGAAGGATATATTTCCTTTATGTTTGGATTTTTTAAGCAGTAAATTTTGCTTTTACTCTGAAGAGTTATCCAAGGACACTCTATGAATAAAATGCATGAAACATTTCAAAGTACAATTTTTCAAGTCAACATGATGACTCTCATACGAACATATAGTGAGTCTGTGGCAAAGATCTGTTTAACTTATTGAACAAGGTATCAGCAGCATCACAAAACTGGTTGAAAAGACAAATATGAAGGGCTGAAAAAACATCACATGAAAGAAAGAATACTAGAATAAGATAATGAGGTTAGATAGAAAACTTTTTGATATGCCACAGCAAAACCATACTATTCATTGTTATTTATCTTCCCAGATAGCTTACAGGTGAAAGAAAACATAAAACAAAACTGAAAGTTAATATTCAACTTTACATGGTATTGGACTTAATCTATAATAAATACTAAGACAAACAAAGATTCATTCTATAGGGGAAATAAATAAACCCAAGGTGTGACTGTTAGGCATTGCTCTAGTGTGACACTGAAATGACATATTATTTCAATTTCGCATAATTTTTACTTAACATTAGGATACTAATTTTATTATTTTTTGGTTGCTTTGACCTGGAACCAATTTTATTCTTTTTTGTTTCCTTTAACTAGGAAATGGTACTGCTGAGCTACAAGAAGAACATCGTGTTAAGCTTAGTGTATTCCAACTGCAGGTTTGTTGATTATGAAGTTCATTTCACATGTCAATAACAATATCTAGTATAAAGAAGTCGACTAGAAATTAATAGAAAAATATCACATGGCTTCCTACATTGCTAGACTATTGTTGAATGATATTTTGTCTCAGTTTTCTGAATGTGTGTGTCTGTTTATATGTATACCACATTACAACCCCAAATGTATTTCTTGTATTTCAGTCAAAGGTTTTGAAAACCGATACTCGAGATTTCTCAAGCTGATTTTCTCCCTAACTATTAGTATTTGATCATTTTTTCTCTGACAATAAAAAAAGGCCTGAGAGGAATTTTAATAAAAAAGAAGAAAGGACATTGAAACTTATGTCGGGGAATCGGGGAACCTTGATCTTCTTATCAAAGTGAAAAGCAATTTGAGATTTTTAAAAATATATAGGCTATAACTTTCCTTCTGAAGTCTATTTCCACTGCATCCCAAAGTTGTGGTAGGTTGTATTTTTGTTTTCTTTCATCTCTAAGTATTTGATCATTTCCCTTGTGATTTTTTTTTCTTAACCAAATGATTATTTAAGAAAGTGTTGTTTAATAGTCACATATTTGTGAACTTTATAGTTTTCTTTTTGTGTTCCTTTTTAGTTTTATTCCATTGCAGTTGAATAACACACTTTGATTTTAAAATTTTTGTGTTTATCAAAACTTGTTTTGTGGCCTAACACGTGTTCTACCCTGAAGAACATTTCATGTGCACTTAAGAAGAATGTGCATTCTGCTGTTGGGTAGAGCAGGGGTGTCCAATCTTTTGGCTTCCCTATACCACATTGGAAGAAGAATAAGAATTGTCTTGGGCCATACATAAAATACAGTAACACTAATGATAGCTGATGAGCTAAAGAAAAAAAATTGCAAAAAATCTCATAATGTTGTAAGAAAGTTTACAAGTTTGTGTTGGGTCACATTCAAAGCCATCCAGGGCCTCATGCAGCCTGTGGGCTGTGAGTTGAACAAGCTTGGGGTAGATAGAGTGTTACATACTCAACACTCTTCACTGCCCTTCCCACATATTTCTATCTGACTATTCACTGCCCTTCCCACATATAAATATACATCATATAAATGTGTGGTGTATATATGGTATACATGTGGTGTGTATATGTGTGTGTGTGTAACACACACCATACAAATATGTGGGAAGGGAGGTGAAGAGTCAGGTTTAGTTGGCTTATAATATTGTTCAAGTCCTCTATTTTCTTAGTGATATTTTTTGTCTATATGTTCTATCCATTATTGAAATTGGGGTATTGATATATCCAAATATTACTGTAAAATTTTTATCTTTTTTATTCTGTCAATCTTTGCTTAACATACTTTGGGACTCTATTGCTTAGTGTATATATGCTTGCAATTGTTTTATCATCTTGAAAAATTGACTAATCAACATATATCTCCTTTTGTCACATGTAATCCTTTTTACTTTAAGTATATCTTCTCTGATATTAGTATAAAGCTCTTTTTATTGTTAGTATTCAGCTCTTTTTATTGTTACTAAATAGTAACAATTTGCAGGAAATATATTTTTCTACTCTTATACTGTCAACCTATTTGTATCTAAAATGACCCTCCTGTAGACAGCATATTGTTAGATCATTTTATTTTTTAATTCATTCTGCCAATCTCTGCCTTTTGATTGGAGGCATTAATCCATTTACATTTAAAAGTAGTAATAAGAAACAGTTACTTTTGCCATTTTATTTGTTTTATGTATGTCTTGAAGTTTTTTTGCCTTTTATTCTTTCTATTTCAGCCTTCTTTTGTGTGTAATTGATTTTTGGTAGTGATTGTTTTTTGATTCCTTTGCTATTTCTTTCTGCATATATTTTTACGTTTTGAAGAATAATAAACGATTGTACTTTTTGTGACAATTACTAGATTCACAATATTTGACCAGTTACTTAAATTTCCTGAGCTCCAGTTTATCAATTGGAAAACATTTTAATTGTTACGAGGAATGCATCAGAAAATATTTAAGTGTCTTTCATAGAGCCTAGGATGAGTAGGAACTCAATTAATGTTTGTAATGGCTGATTTTGGTTGCCAACTAGACTGAATTAAGAGATACTCAGATAGCTGGAGAAGCATTTTTATTCTCAGTCATGTGCATTAATTATCCTTAATGCTTCAGTAGGCATTGAGTCCATTTTTCTTCTATAAAAAAGGAAACCTAGATAGTTTGACATTTGATTGGAATGATTAAGCTTCCCCAGGTATTTGTGTAAGGGTTTTTCCAATGAGGATTGACATTTGAATCAGTGGACTGAGTGAGGAGATCCACCCTCAATGTAGGTGGGCACCAGTCAATTAGTTGGGGGCCCAGTTGAAACTAAAAAGCAGAGAAAGGGTGAATTTTTGCTCATCTTTTCTGGAGCCAAGCCACTTTTTCTGCCCTTGTACATCAATACTTCAGGTTCTCCTTGTTTTGAACTCTGGGACTTGCAGCAACATCCCCCGCCCTGGGCTCTCAGGCGTGCACCCTCAGACTTAGAGTTATACCATCAGCTTCCTTGGTTGGCCTTTGGACTGAGCCATGCTACCAACTTCTCTGGTTCTCCAACTTGCAAATAACCTGTTGTGGGCCTCCTCAGCCTCCATAATTGAGAGAGCCAGTTCCCCTCATAAGTCCCTTCTCATGTATACCTCTCTTTATGTATATCCTCTTGGTTCTGTTTCTCTGGGGACCCCTGGCTAATAAAATGTTCCCCTTCTCCTTGCCCAACTATATGTCAGCATAAGTTTATGATAGTAAACTATGACATATATGAAGAACTATGTACATATTCTATAATTTTGAGGCTTCTCAAATTAGGTTGTTTTTATAAAATAAAAATTTGACAACCTTCCTAATTTCTGAATGTAGTCACCATCAGCAAAATACATAAATAAGTGATGAAAACAAGACAGATTTAGAGAAAGAGATAGAAAGAAAGAAACAAAAGAAAAATATTAAAAAGTTATTTGTACCTTATCCTTCCAGTGTTGCAAGCGTTGAGGTCAAAGGCCATGATATATTCCTTTATATTTCCATTTACATTTAACATGACAATATGTACTTAACAAATATCGACTCAATGAATAAAAAAATCAAAAATTAATCTAACAATAATACTTTAATTGACTTTGCAAATAATTCAAATTAAAGTAAGCATGTTTAATATTTGATCACCTGGAACTTCCTATCTTATATTTATTAACATGCTAATCCTGATGACCCTTAACAATAAAAAAACTCTTATGAAATTCATTTTTAAGTGTAATATTATAGAGACATATTCTCCATGGGCTTACAAGCCCTAGTAATATGCATTGTAAATCCTAGTGAGAATGGCTGAAGAGATTCTATTCCCTAGCATGTTAATAACTGAGCACTGATGATCTACAGAGCTTAGTAAGTATCTTTTAATTATTCTTTGTTGCTAATGAATAATAAATAAAAATGTCAGGTGGTATAATAAAGGAGATGTTGGCTTTTCTACTGTTTCTGGGCAACTCTGTCTCTTCTAGGGCTTACATAGGCCAGCAATACCTTTATTTATAAAATTACTCAGCCTACTCACCCATCAATTTAGTAGCTCTTAATAGTCAATCATGTGGTTAGTCATGTGTACCAAGACTGGGTTCCCCCAAGTAACTGGACAATGGAACACAAACTTAAATTATGCAAATTCATCTGCTGCTGTTTGTCTGCCTCTTAAGAAAGATACAAATTATTCCATCGTTGTAGGATTATTTGTAATTCATGTGAAGAAAATAAAGGAAATAGTAAATATAAGTGTATTAGTCTGTTCTCTTGCTGTCACGCTGCTAATAAAGACATACCCGAGACTTAGTAATTTATAAAGAAAAAGAGGTTTAATGGACTCATAGTTCCACATGGCTATGGAGGCCTCACAATCATGGCAGAAGGCAAAGGAGGAGCAAAATGTCATGTCTCCATGGCGATAGGCAAGAGAGCTTGTGCAGGAGAACTCTCATTCATAAAACCATCAGATGTCATGAGACTTATTCGCTACCATGAGAACAATATGGGGGAAAACACCCCCATAATTCAATGATCTCCACCTGGCCCCACCCTTGATATATGGGGATTATTACAATTCAAGGTAAGATTTGGTTGGGGACGCAGCCAAACCATATCAGTAAGGAACAAAGGAAAATATACAGGCCAGATAATATTATAGGCTTCTTAACTAAAAATAAAGAGTATTCTTAATGACAGGAATAAAAGCTATTATGTCAGGCACATTTGGTTTGAACTACAGCTCCAAGCATTTTGGCCAGTTATTTAACCTCTTATGCCTCAATTTCACCATCTGCCAAATGGAGGAAATGAAAGTATATAATTTATAAGGATATTGTGTATACTGTGGTGATAACAGTAAATGACAGGAATAATTTACTCAGTGGCACAGTGACTGCTACAGAGTCATACATGATATACATATGCACAAAAAGTCCTAGCCCCTACTCACCAATTTGTAACTCCCATCAGAGATGCTATGTAGTGGCCCACTTTGATGCTTGCCCTCCATTTACGGCTTAGAGAGGGGTGTCCCCAGCTTCTCTTCCTCTCTATCACATCCCCATGAGCATCTCTCTTGGAAAATAATACACAAACATAAATAAAATTCTTAAGTAAGAAACTTAAATCTCTCTATATGTTCATTCAGAGAGCTTTGTCTTCACATAAGACAAGTCACACAGTTCGGAATTTTAAAAAATCACATTGCTCTTAGGTATCAGCATGCTAGACTTGGAAACATCACCTGTACATAAATGCAGACTTCACTGAAAATCAGAAAATATGATATGTGTGATAGAGGGGAAAGATTAATGGGCTATATGTAGGAGGAAAGGATGCTAGCTGCTCCAAACTGGGAGGTTGAGGAGAATGAAAGCGTTGCTAGTAGTGGCTTCAACGAGGCAATAGGCATAAACCTGTTTTTAGTAAACAGATTTATTAATAAACCGGGACTCTCCCAAACATCCAGAATACATTATCATCCTACGTATAAAATGAAGAGACATGGGTTTTAGGCCAGTTTTGCATTTCCTAGCCGCATAATTTGATTAAGTCATGACAGATTTCTAGGAGTCTTGCCTCATTCAATAAAATAAAGAAGAAATGACTTGTATTAGTCAGGCTTCTCTAAAGGGACACAGCTAATAGAACAGATGTATATATGAAGGGGAGTTTATTAAGGAGTATTGACTCACACGATCATAAGGTGAAGTCCGACACTAGGCTGTCTGCAAGCTGAAGAGCAAGGAAGCCAGTCCGAGTCCCAAAACCTCAAAAGTAGGGAAACAGAGAGTGCAGCTTTCTGTCTGTGGCCAAAGACCCAAGAGCCCCTGCAAACCACTGGTGTAAGTCCAAGATTCCAAAAGCTGAAGAACTTGGAGTCCAGTGTTCGAGGGCAGGAGGCATCCAGTACAGAAGAATGATGAAGACCAGAAAACTCAGCGAGTTTGCTCATTCCACTTTCTTCTTCCTGCTTTTTTCTAGCCATGCTGGCAGCTGATTAGATGATGCCAACACAGACTGAGGGTGAGTCTGTCTCTCCCAGTCCACTGACTCAAATGTTAGTCTCCTTTGGCAACACCCTTACAAACACACCCGGAAACAATGCTTTGCATCCTTCAATCCCATCAAGTTGACACTCAGTATTAACCATCACACTTGGTGATGCATAAGAATCCTTCTAGCTGTCATTCTGAGATAGAAAAGTATATGTGCCTGTTGACTGAAGAAGACTCACAACCTAGATTGCTGGTAATACGTGCCATATAGAAGATTCATCCTTCTTAACTTCTTAAAAGCATAAATAAGAAACAAGACAGAAATTTGAATGAAAAGTAAAGGAATGGCGCTGCGGGTGAGAATGAGAATGAGAGCAAGGAGCCGTGAGCAAGCTGCTGTTGGAACAGCAGGTAGGAAGGACACTCCTGTGCAGGCGGTTGGAAGAGTTCCCACTCCTGCAGGATGTGGTATCAGGAATCAGGTGAGAGGACCACAGAGGGAAATGGCTGACGAATAATACCCTTCTGTCTTTTCATTTCTTGCTTTCCAATTAATTACCAAGAACCCTCCTTCTGTTGCATTGGAGGAGGTATGTGTGAGCAGATGGAGAGGCCACTGGGTCCTTTGTATCTATATTCTTATCTACAGTCATATTTTTCATTTTCCAATTGAGAGTTACCAATTGAAGCCTGGATTCTGAAGCAGAGGAAGTTAGATGGAGCTGTAAGTCTGTGTCAATTGTTTGATGTGTCCCTATGTTGTATGCAAGTTATTTAACTTTATTCTTCAGGTTTCAACTTAAATATTTTCTCAGAGAGAAATTTTGTGAATAGTTATTCTAATGATGGCTCCCTGATTTAAATTCTGCCCTTTATCTTCAAAGACTCTATCAAAATCATTTTTAAATATATGCTTAGTGCTTGCCTGCCCACAACTGACTGCAAGCTTCATGAAACCAAGAACTCCATCTGCCATGTGCTCAAAGCAGACGGTAGGAGCTCCATAAACACTGATTGAATAAATAAAATTAATAACTATTAGTCAAATAAATAAACTCCTAGGGAGAAATGAGTGAAGGTGTCATAAAATAAATGGAATTCTAATAACACTTGAATTATGGGCTGCAAACGTGAGGCGGAGGAGAGGCTTTGTGTGCAAAAAACATTTCTGGCTAAATTTTTGCATGTTGCTAATTAAGGAACAGACATTGGTAGAAAAAAGTGAGACATGTAAAATTTGCTTTTGTTTTATTATGAAAAATTCCAACAAGTAGTTTGCCATTATTGGATGATAGATAGTACCAGAGATGTTGGAAAATAGGCCCTATGACATCAGTGCGAACATCTTACCTTTAAAAGCTGTGAGTTTCACTAATTGGCAGGTTATTTTACTGTGATGGCCAAGACAGAGTTACAATTCTATTATTAAAACATGCAAAAATGATGGAAAACTGAACGTAAAAATCAGTATTGGTAATGGGTGAAATAATTAAAGTACAAAAAGGACAGAAGGTAGAAGGTATGCACCACAGGAGGTTTCTTTATTTGGAGGTTAGGATGGAATCAGTGTTGCTTTAAGAAATACAGAAAGGGCTGAATGTGGATGTATTGCGTGAGCTAATTTTTTTGTATTATTATTATTTTTAGAAGTCAACAATTAATTAACAATGTAAAATATTAGATATTGTTTCATGAAAAGTAAGAAAAACAGTCAAACAAAAACGAGTCATTAAGGGCCTTTGAGAGTTTTAATAATCAAGAATAGAAAGTCACATTACATAGGATTGTTATGGAAAACAGGTAGTCAAAAAAAAGACAATAGAAACTGATTTCTCTTTGGTGTAGATTGGAAAGGAGATGCCTCAGGAGTTTAAGCAGGGTCAATGGAAACACTTTCTAAGTACCTATTCGAATTAAATTTGTGTGAAGGCACAGAAGTATGAGGTGGTGAGGGGGAAGATGAGATGGTGCTAGCTGCACTGTTGTACTGTGAGTCTTTGTTTCACACATGTATAATGAACAGCCACATGAGAAGCACAATTTATAACATCAAAGTGACTTGTGAGACTACTAAATGAATGTTTTCTCTGGACACATCCAAATTACATCCTAATTGTCTGTATTTTGAGGTTGGCTTCTTTCATAGTAGGTAGTTTACATCTGGAAAATGCATCTATTTATTTTATATATTTATATATATATTTTTAGACATGGAGTCTCATTCTGCCACCCAGGCTGGAGTGCAGCGAGGCACGATCATAGCTCACCGCAGCCTCCAAGTGCTGGACTCAAGCGATCCTCGCATTTCTGCCTCCCAAGTAGTTGGAACCACAGGCCACCATGTTCAGCTACTTTTTACGTTTTTTGTAGAGATGGATTCTTGCTTTGTTGCCCAGGCTGTTCTTGAACTGCTAGCTTCAAGAGATCCTCCCACTTTGACCTCCCAAAATGCTGGAAGTACAGTTGTGAACTACCACACCCTGCCAAAAGATAGATCTATTTAGGATATCTGAAAATAAATACAAGGTGAAGGAAGCCCTGGTTATATGTTTGAGTGTTCCAGAAAATGGCTTTTATGATGGGTTTCAATATTCAAGTCATTTATTTGAAGGGAGAAGATAATTTATGAAAGATAAAAGAAAGAGAGAAAGAGCGAGAGAAAGAGAGAAGGCATAGGTGCAGAGGCCCCAGACTCTACTGCAGCTGTAACACCTGCAAAGAGAGAAAGGAAAGGACTTAGGATCGGGCTGGCAGAGCCTCAGCCTACGGTGCAACTAGGAGAGCAGTGACCAGGATAAGAGGGGGCAGGAATGACAGGACACTCGTAAGCCTGCCAGGCCCGTCATGGGCTGAGAGATACCTGGGCAAAGCCTGGTTTCAGCATAAAGGCTGTGATCATTCCTGTCGTCGTTTGTTTTGGTGACTATAACAAAAAGGCATAAACTAAGTGGCTTATAAACAACAGAAATTTATTGCTCACAGTGCTAGAGGCTGGGATGTCCAAAATGAAAGCACCAACAGATTCTGTTTTCTGGTGAGGGCCCACTTTCTAGGTCAAAGATAGTGCCTTCTAGCTGTGTCCTCACAGGACAGAAGGGGTCTCTTTCATAACAGCACAACTTCCACTGAAAGCCAGCCTGACTCAATCACTTCCCCAGAGTTCCCACCTCTGAATACTATCACATTGGGGATCAGGTTTCAAGCTATGCATTTGCAGGGGACACTAAGATTGAGGCCAGAGCAATTCGATAAGGTACTGCAGTGGAAGGCCCTCAGCAAAATGTGCTCCTCACATGAGAGTCTCCGGGGTGGAGAGAGGAGTAACTTTCTCCCATGACTACCACCAACCAGGTCAATAGGATCTGTGCTGTTAACCTTCTTAAGGGATGACCTGGTCATCTTAGGGTCTTTCATGAAATACCAAATTCTCCAATGCCAAGCAGGCTGCATGGTTCAGACGGCAAGCCCTGTGGATAAGTGACAGTGGTGCTTATCTACACATTCAAAACTTCATTCTTGAATTGAAGGGAATTCCACGGACCTGTTGGGATGTCCTGCATCTAAGTATCCCCACAGAATTTTATCCTCAGAGCTTATTTTTAATATTATAATTCCTGTGACATTTTCACCAATTGTTTCACTGACCTGGTTTGAAATCCCTTGAGTAGTTGTATGTGATATAAACATGTCATGTTGGAAAACAGAAATAAGAACTACAATGGAAAAGCTTTAAGGATACTTAAATTCAGAGTGTAGAGTTCCCTGAAGATTGAAAAAATTAAAAAAAAAAAAAAGAAAAGAAAAGAAAGAAATGCGAAGTTCAATTGTTTTGAAATACGTGTGGAGTGGCTGCTGTAAGCCTTGGTGGTAGTAATTGTGTACTTTTGTGCTTCTTCAGTTTAACTGTTATGTCACCTCAGTTAAAAATGATAGACATTTTGAATTCCAAGCTCTATTTTTGCCCCTTATTCTATACTGTGTAAGAAAATTTCTCTTTCCCCATGATATATTTTCTATTCAAAGTGAGTGATGCCATTCAAATGGCCAACCAAATTTTCTTCTTAGGGAAATAAAATCAGGGGAGGGCACCTCATTTTGCATGACAGTTCCCAGGTGCTGCCTTTAGGGCTGGCACACACACGACACGTGCAGGAAGCTGGTTCTGGTTAGCACCCACTCGCAGTGGGGATAATTGGCACATTTGCTTGGCACACACCTCTGCTCCCCACTCCAAACAGAATCCTGCTCGTCACTGCTGGGTTCCTGCACATTTTTGGATTGCTCTGACCCTGATGAAAGGAAAAGTTGCTAACAGATATGAGTGAACAGGTTTGTATAAAAGAATGCCTGTGAGCCAGCTGGCCCTGTGTTTGTTCACTGCAACAGGGTCAGGAACTTTGCATGGTCTTAATAAATAGAATCAACTGACTTCATATGTGTTTTGGCACTAACCTGGGGCCTATGGCATCATTTCCTGGGGTTTAGTACAATATTAATAAAAAGGACTATTCCAGATTAGGCACAAATCAATGCTATATTATAAAACCATTTTAATTTTTGGCTAAAAAAGCAGATGAAATGGGGTTACTGCAGTTTATCACATTGCCTTGAATATCTGTATAACAAGGTTGAGATTTGCTTTATTTTTAAAGTCCTTACTGGTTTATGCTTATTACTTAAAAGAACTATTTTTTTTCTAGATGTATGAAGTAAAATATGGTACATGCCCACAGGTTTAGCATTTGGCTTTGAAGCACACTGAATTTATTATATTTGTTTGTGCAGCTTCTCTTAATCTATTGTGACAACAAATTAGACTCTGATTTAAATTAAAGCAAATCGCAAAATAATTATAAGTGTTTTTCTTTATTTTTCATCTTCCCTTTCCAACCTAACTGCCATCAGACAATCTGGAAATAAATAAGACACCTTAGGGAATTTTCTTTTCATTAAGGATTATCTTTGGGAAAATAAAATAAAACTATTCTTCATTAAGGTCTTTAAGTTTATTCTTCATAGTATAATAAAATGCTTACTAAAATGGGTAAAAATAACATTTTCTCTCTACCAGCATTTTTCAATTTGTTTCTGCATTTGTGATCTTTACTCTGTTTTCCTGTGTTGTGAAATGGATTTGGAGTAAGATGCAGTGAGTGAAACAACTTTGTATTATATGGTAGGAGAACAGCAACAACAAAAACAGTGAGTTAGGGTTTTCTTCCTTATTCAAAAATAACAATTTATCTTGTCTTTTTGGCTTCAAAATTTAGACTGTCACCTTATTTAACATGCTTAAGATTTACTATTGAATGTTCAATCCAACTTAGGCTTAAAAATGAAACAAGTGCCAGAGGCCAAGCTTGAGAAGCAGGTGCCTAGTGCCTGGTCAGCCACATTGCTTCCCACCCGCTCCTTCCCCGTCCCTCCCTTTCCTTCAGCCCCAGCCCGCCTCCCCTGCCCACCAGCTCCTACACAGGGATGCAGCCTTTTAGGCTGCTGTAGAACACTTAATCAATGAGGAGTAAAGATCTGGAGAAAGTATCTTTTGTTTATGACCCATGCGCTAGAATAGCGTGTTCTGAACACATAGTTCCTTCCACATAAGTGGGTAAGATTTCAGTAGCCATTGTCCTGGGAGCACACACACCGGATGTATACATCCACCTTACGGTAGTCAATGTGTAACATCCAAAGGCCATGCTCATCTTGCTTTAATCTATGGAAATGAGAAAGGGTAAATTCAAGACGTGGGCTTAGATAGTGGGAAAAATCAACATTGGAATCAAGATCAACCGTGAGTGAGGACCAATCAGGGCTCCTTTATCGCATTAAAGAGTAGAATGTAGTGTCAAACCCGAATCTCCTTTAATTTGCCGTGGGGTTTAAGTGATGGAAAACTTCTTAGCTCAGGACATGGACAATGAATTTAACTAACATTATTCCAAGCCGACTGAGGCTTTGGAGGAGTATATACACAGGTGTGCACTCGTGTGTGTGTGTGCGTGCGCACACACACACACAATTTCCAGATATAATGAGTAGAACACAAATTTATTATTATATTTTCACAACAAATGTTGATGCACATTTATTGACTTTTCACATTAAACAAAAATTATTCCGTCAGGATGAAATGCAACTGTGCTTCAGACACGTATAAATGGCACATAATGGCTGGTGGTAATGAGTAATAGATGACAAATGAATCCATTTCCCTGCATACAAGAGAGATTATGTGGCATAGCCTGACAAAGGAAAGAAAACAACTCTGCATCCCTCCTGGATATGCTACACTAGAGCTCACTTCACCATAATCATCTAACAAAACAATGATCTAACAGAGGGAAATCTATGATACCACTGAATGGGTCACTATTAGTAGAAACTGTGATCATGTAAAAAGCCACTCACTCCACACTGGGCATTCAGTATTAAGCTGTCAACCATTATTTAATTATTATACAGCATAAGTCTGCAAACTGAGAAAATAATAGCCTATAAATTATGGGGAAAATGGACCACCATTTTCATGGTGTTGATAGGTCTAGCTCAAAATATATCATTTTCCCTAAAAGAGTGGAGCAATCCTGAATACATTAGCACAAGAAAAAGACAACAATAAATAAGGATTTGTGAACAAAATCAAGAAGGTTCAGATAGTGGCAGAGCAAAGCTTAGAACAACGCACTGAAACACATTTTGGAAAATCCTTAAAAGCAAATTAGAGATGAAGATAGCAGAACACTATGTTCCTAGAGTTCCTCTGTTTAATTAACTTGTCTTAATTTAGAATGTATGTGCACACCATCAGGTAAAATACATTCCTGAAACATAAACACATTCAAAGCTCACTGGATTTCATTCTTGGCCTCCTGAACCAAAAGATAAATGTAATTTTGCCTGTGATAATAGGCTTAGTGGGGGAAAAAAAACAGTTATCATATCTTTATTCAAAGGCTGTCCCATCCTTAGCTATCTTTCATGACTTACATATTTAAGTACTCAGGAATAAGAGGGATATGAATATTTACATGAAAATGAAGTCATTTTGAAAAGAAGTGGAGGAAGACATTTCTACTTTAATTTTCACTATTCTCATTTTTATTTGTACTCTTGTAAGAAGTTTATTTCTCTTTTAAAATAAATTATTTCAGGAATGTTGCCATTGTATTTTCGAGTTTTGGATAGTCCATTACCACTGTTTTCTTCTTTGATAGTTATTGTTACAAAAACACCATTCACAGAGAATAGTCAACATGTTAATATCAACTACAACATGTGGAATATTATTTTTCTTACGGGTGATTCAAGATGACCAAGGACAATTAAGACAAAAATTGATTTTTTGACCCATGTAATCATAAATTGAAATATAATAGAGTATGAGGTTATGACATGATTTTCTCATTTCTGTGTTATTTAGGTTATTCTCTTCCTCCTTTCATAAATTGAAATTGTCAAGAAGGAATAGCTTAAATTATTACATCTGCATTTGGGAAATACTATCGTATGATGTTGCCTGAGTTGATGCAGTTTTATTATACATGTAGTAAAAGGTATTGTTCAGTGGTTTCTGCATTAAAATTATTTTAGGAATAGGCCAGGCATGGTGGCTCATGCTTGTAATCTCAGCACTTTGGGAGGCCAAGATTGGCGGATCCCCTGAGGTCAGGAGTTCAGCCTGGCCAAAATAATGAAACCCTGTCTCTACTAAAAATACAAAAATTAGCTGGATTTGGTGGCACACACCTGTAATCCCAGCTACTCGGGAGGCTGAGACAGGAGAATCACTTGAACCTGGGAAGCGGAGGTTGCAGTGAGCCAAAATCACGCCATTGCACTCCAGCCTGGGCAACAGAGTGAGACTCCGTCTCAAAACAAAATTATTTTAAAATAAAACGTATGAAAGTAATAAGCTCCTGAGGATTTAAGATATAAAAGTGTTCATATCTGGAGTTAAAGTTAAGCTTTGGGCTCTGAATAAGCACATTCATAAGTAGGTACTGTTAGTCACTGTCTCTAACAGGGTAATACCGATTAAGAGGAGGAACCCATCTACACGCAGAGGTCTTCCACAGCCGTCCATAGCAGCAGTGTCTTCATAAGAGAGTGATATTTCTGGCAGCCTATTCCACCTCCGAGTCCCTGAATGCAATTCCATAATTAGTTTGCTTGGAACAGACCTCAGCCTCAACGTTCAGACTCCTTCAATGCTTGTCTATGGCCATATCAGCCTGAATGTGCCCAATCTCATCAGATTCCTTCAGTGCTGACAAGGTCCTCTAGAGAGAAATCTCTGACTTAGTTTCCTAATCTGGCATTAATCAAAAAGTGGCCATTCTTGGGGCAGATGGCTACAGTGGCCCAGTGGACTCCATTGGCTTTGAGTTTCATGGGTCCATCCATGAACCAAGCCATACATCAGCTGGAATATCTTTGAACCATGAGCCCACTCAGCTAAAAAGGAAAGAAGGGGTCACCCTCTGTGGACCATTCAGTTACCGCAACAAGAGAGCTACTGGTTCATGGAGTCAACTGATACCTTGGGGCCCCAGTTCAGCTCACTATAGAACATACCATTTCCATTTAAGGATGGAGCTTTGCCCAGCCAGTTATATTATTAGTGGGGTTAGTGAGTATCCACTTGAGAGTCGACAGCTCAAGTGGTAAGGGTAGATACTGCACTACAGTGGACAGGTGCTTCATTTCCACTAGGGCTCCATAACTGGGTAGGTGATGGTATTGGAAGGGAGTGTATCTTGCAGCTGCCCCAGGTAACTGATGTATTCAAAATATGAGGGGCTTATGCACCCAGTAGTGGTCTCTTGTTGCCACAGGTTTCAATCATATGGGTAGGTGTCATTGAGACCTGTAGTGCCACTGGGCTGGTGGGATCCATTGGCCCAATGATAAGGCCCATGTCAATGTATGTTGCACAGCCTCAAGACCCTACTCTGGTGGGGTTCCCATTCAAAAGTGGACAGCTTTCAAATAACCTTGATTAAAGAAAGGGTCCAAAAGAATACCCATATGTGGTATATGTTGTTTCAAATAGCCAAACCAGTCTATGAGCTGTTTAGCCTCTTTCTTGGTGGTGGTGGCTGCCAAGGACAGCAACTTCTGTTTAACTTTATGAAGAAAATTCATTTAATTACCAGTCTATGTGGCTCCCAAGACTGTAGTTTTTGACCAAGTCCCTGAACCTTATCTGGGTTAACAGCCCAGCCTGTGCATGCCATAGTATCTATGACTTTACATAGGGCCTGGTCAACATTTTCTCAAACCTGAAGTGAGGATGCCATCAATATAATGTAGGACAAATACTTCAGGAAATAGTTGGGCTTGTTGCAGATCTAGCCCTACCCACTGATGGCACATTGCAGGGAATCTGAGGTATTCCCATGGAGGCAGAGTGAAAGTGTACTGCAGGCCTTCCATGTGAACACAAATTATTACTCACCTTCATCCTGCAAAGGTACTGAGAAAAGAATGTGAGTCATATAATAGCAGAGCACCAGGCCCCTGTAGGACTGCCACCACCCAGTAATGGCAAAGATGACAGGTCCCACAGGGGCCAAGTATGGCACCTAGCATTCAATCTGTCTTTGTTCACCTTCAGCTCCTAAGCCCCTGAAGCCTTCATATGGCTCAGACTGGGCTAATAAGTTGTGACAGAGAGGTGCATAGCACTCCTGCCTGCAGCATGTATTGTATCAAAAAGGTAATGCCCTATTCTCCCTATTCTCTGCCCGGTCTGCAGTTCTGCTTTTGTGGAATAAGCTGTCAGGACTTGGGTAACTTAGGTGGGGGTGGGAGTGAACTTGACCTCTGGTTATGGCTGGAATCCTTGTTGTGTGGGGCATCCCCCCGAGCCTGTGGTGATGTTTCATGCTGCAAGCAAAGTGTCAGTGCCTCGAATGCACTCAGCAATGGGAATCATGTTCAGTTTCATCCAGAATGACCCAAAGGCCCCTACCACAAAGACATGTGAACTTATCTGCCATGGATCACCACATTTTGTCCAAAATCCTTTGTGTTAGTTCATTCTCATACTGCTATAAAGAACTGCCTGAGATTGGGTAATTTACAAAGAAAAGAGTTTCAACTGACTCACAGTTCAGAATGTCTGGGGAGGCCTCAAGAAACTTATAATAATGGCAGAAAGGAAAGCAAACATGTCCTTCTCCACATGATGACAAGAAGGAGAAGTGCTGAGTAAAGGAAGAAAGAGCCCTTAAAAAACCATCAGATCTCATGAGAACTCACTCACTATCATGAGAACAGCATGGAGGTTAACTGTCTACTTGATTAAATTACCTCCTACCAGGTCCCTCCCATGACACAAGGAGATTATGGAAACTGAAACTCAAGATGAGATGAGGGTAGGGACAAAGACAAATCACATCACTCTTCCCCTGGCCCATCCCAAATCTCATGGCATCACATATCAAAATGCAATCATGCCTTTCCACAATCCTCCAAAGTCTTAGCTCATTCCAGCATTAACCCAAAAGTCCAAGTCCAAAGTTTCATCTGAGACAGGTAAGTCCCTTCTGCCTATAAGCCTGTAAAATTGAAAACAAGTTAGTCACTTCCTAGATACAATGGGGGTACAGACATTGGGTAAATATTCCCATTCCAAGTGGGAGAAATTGGCCAAAATAAGGAGACTACAGGCCCTAAGCAAGTTGGAAATCCAATAGGGCAGTCATTAAACCTTAAAGTTCCAAAATGATCTCCTTTGAACTCCATGTCTCACATCCGGGACACATTGATGCAGGAGGTGGGCTCCCACAGCCTTGAGCAGCTCTGCCCCTGGGGCTTTGTAGGGTACCAAACCCCTCCCAGGTGCTTTCACAGGCTGGTGTTGAGTGTCTGCAGCTTTTCCAATCATATGGTGCAAGTTGTTGGTGAATCTACTGTTCTGGTTTCTGGAGGATGGTGGCTCTCTTCTCATAGCTCCACTAGGAAGTGCCCCAGTAGGGACTCTGCATGGGGGCTTCAATCCCACATTTCCCTTTTGCACTTCCCTAGTAGAGGTTCACCATAACAGCTCCACCCCTGCAGCAGACTTCTGCCTGGACATCCAGGCATTTCCATACATCCTGTGGAATCTAGGTGGAGGTTATAAAACCTAAATTCTTGTCTTCTGTGCCCCCAAAGGCCCAAGACCACAGGGAAACTGCCAAGGCTTTGAGCTTGCATCCTCTGAAGCAATGGCTCAAGCTGTACCTTTGCCCCTTGTAGCCACAACTGGAGCTGGAGTAGTTGGGATGCAGGACACCATGTGTCGAGGCTGCATAGGGCAGGCAGACCCTGGGTCCAACACATGAAACCATTTTTCCCTCCTAGGCCTCTGAGCCTGTGATGGGAGGGACTGCCATGAAGGTCTCTGGCATACCCTGGAAACATTTTCCCCATTGTCTTGGTGATTAACATTCAGCTCCTTATTACTTACACAAATTTCTGTAGCAGGCTTAATTTCTTCTTTTTTATTGAATGATCAGCCTGCACATTTTCCAAACTTTTATGCTCTGCTTCCTCTTGAATGCTTTGCTGCTTCAAAATTGCTCTGACTAGATACCCTAAATCATCTCCCTCAAGTTCTACACATCTCTAGGGCAGGGGCAAAATGCTGCCAGTCTCTTTGCTAAAGCATAGCAAGACTGACCTTTACTCCAGTTCCCAACAAATTCCTCGTCTTCATCTGAGACCACCTCAGCCTGGACTTCATTGTCCATATCACTATCAGCATTTTGGTCAAAGCCATTCAATAAGTCTCTAGGAAGTTCCAAACTTTCCCACATTTTTCTGGCTTCTTCTGAGCCCTCCAAACTGTTCCAACCTCTGACTGTTACCCAGTTCCAAAGTCGCTTCTACATTTTCATGTATCTTTACAGCAGTGCCCTACTCTCTGTAGTATCCATTTACTGTATTAGTCCATTCTCACACTGCTATGAAGAAATACCTGAGACTCAGTAATTTGAAGAGAAGAGAGATTTAATTTACTCACAGTTCAGCATGGCTGGGGAGGCCTCAGGAAACTGACAATCATGGTGGAAAGGGAAGCAAACACGTTCTTCTTCACATGGCGGCAGGAAGAAGTGCCAAGCAAAGGAGAAAAAGCCCCTTATAAAACCATCAGATCTCGTGAGACTCACTCACTATGATGACAGCAGTATGGAGGTAACTGCCCACGTCGTCTCTCCCATGACACATGGCGATTATGGGAACTGCAATCCAAGATGAGATTTGGGTGGGGACACATTAAACCATACGAACCCCAATGTCATCAGTTTATTCCTACCCTTGCAGGGGCCTGGGATTATTAACTTTCAGGCACTAGTATGCAAAAGTTTTGTAAAAGTCAGAATCCCTCACTTCTTTCCTGCTGTCTTCACAGGGACCCTGATCCTGGCAGAGACCTGAGGACATTGGCCCCACCCCTTTTATTGTTTTTGAAGGAAGTAAGGTCGGACTACCTTTGAGTTGGCCATCCTCCTTCATTTACTTATCATTCTTACAGTCATAATGGTCCTCTTCACAGTACTGGTCTGGGTTAAGGGAAGACCTGGGTACTTGTACAGTCCCCCTTCCTCAGACTCTGCTTAGGGATTGGAGGTCTGCTGTGCTGGACTCAGTCAAGATCATTCCAGTCCTGCAAGTCCTTATCCCCTTGTTCCACTATAGCTTTGTCTTCTATATTTCCTGTTTCAACAGCAGTAGGCACATTCCTGTGTGGCTTGGACCTGGCCTCTCCTTCCTCTTTTCTCAATTGTCCTTTGAATTCCATTTTTGGCTCCTTGTGCATGGCTTCTCATTACAGGATTTCTCCATTCCTTTCCCCACAATCATTCCAGGGGAAAGGATTAGACAGATGGTATCTTCTTTTGGGGAGGCTTCTGATGCTTGAAGTCCACTGGTGCACTTGGGGATGAGAATGTGTCACCTATGTCCCCAGGGACAGGGTCACATAGCCAAATATCTATGACGTATACCTGAAGAGCAATTATAGTCTCATGAATGGCTTCCCAGGGGTCTTTCTTTTAGGAAAATCCTTTTTATTTGGGAGTACCACGCTCACACTCCCCACAACACAGATCAAAAAAGGCACGAGTTTATCCTTGTCTCTGTCTTGTTGGTTGTCCTGCTCAACAAGGTCAAAAACGTGGAGCAGTAGGAGGTCAATAGTTATCTTTCCCAGACTGTGCCACTTGGTCTGAGATATTTGGGTCTGCAAAAACCCCTCATTGAACAGGCTCACTAGCCTACTGGTATGGGACTGCCCTAACTTCTGCCCATACCTGTCCTTCAGTTTTGGTACTTCACTGTCAAATAAGGACCTCATTTCAGCTGTTTTGCTCCCAGCAATGCTATGAGTGGATCAGCAACACCCTGGGTGGTGTTGTGTGGAATGAAAACTGGTCTTGAGGCCAAGGAGCAACCAGGATCTGGTGGAGCTCCTTGCACAGGGCCCTTGACTTCTCTCAAGCATGGTCTGTAACCCCTGGGGTATCTTGGGGCTGGCAGGTGACATGGGAGTGCAAAGGCAGCCAAGATGCAGAAAATAGTTTCCCTACTCTTTTCCAAACCCAACTCTTACATCTTGGTAGTGTTCTTTGAGCACCAAAGATCTTAATTTGTTGAAGTCCAGTTTATCTGTTATTTTCTTTTGTCGTGTGTGCTTTTGGTGTCTTATTAAATAAACCATTGCCTAATCCAATGTCACAAATATGTACACATGTTTCATGCTATGAATTTCATTGGTTTAGCTCCTAATTTAGGTTTTTGATCCATTTTGAGTTAATTTTTTCTGTATATGGTGTGATACGGGGTTACAAATTGCTTATTCGCATGTGACAGTTATCCGTGTACAATTTGATGTAAAGTTATTCTTACCTAATTGAATAGTCTTGGAATCCTTGCTGAAAATCAATTGACCATAAATTAGAGAGCTAATCTCTGTAGTCCCAATTCTAATCCATCGATCTCTATGTCTATTTTTATGCCAATACCACATAGTCTTATAATTTCAGCTTTATAGTAGGTTTTGAAATTAGGAAGCATGAGCCCTCCAACTTCACTCTCCTTTTGCTATATGTATATATATTTCAGTGAATTATATATATTTCAGTGATTCATTGTCCCCTGTATTTTCCTATAGATTTTAGGAATGACTTGTCAATTTCTGCAAAAAAGTAAGGCAATTGAAATTTTGATAATGTTTGCAGTGAATCTGTGGAAAATTTGGGGTATTATTGTCATCATAAGAATAATAAGTCTTCTAACTCACGAACACAGAGTTTATTTAGGTATTTAATATTTTTTAATAAAGTTTTTTTTCCTCCTCAGATAAAATCATTCCTAGTTATTTTGTTATTTTGAATCATATTAGAATCCTCAAATTTCTATATCATCTTCTAATGGGGATACTTTTACTTTTTTCTTTCCAGTCTGAATTATTTTATTTCTTTCTCTCAACTAATAGCCCTGGCTAAAACCTCAGTACAATATTCAATAGATGTGTTGAGAAAAACATCCTTGTCTTGTTCATAATTCTAGTGTTATACCATTAAGCATGATATTTGCTGTGGGGTTTTCATAGACGCCCTTCTTAACCATAGTTTCTTTTGTGTTTTCATCATAAAATGGTGTTGGATTTTTCAAATAAATTTTCTGCATCAATTGAGGTGATTATATGTCTTTTTTAATTTATTCTGTTTATATGATATGTTATATTAAGTGATTTTTATGTGCCCAAACAAACTTTCATTCCTAGGATAAATTCCACTTGGTCCCTGTAGATAATCCCTTTTGTATGCCCCTGAACTTGTTTATGCATCTAGATTTGTTTTACTAGTATTTTGTTGAAGATGTTTACGTGTGTATTCATAATGGGTATTGGTTTTTAGTTTACTTTTCTTGTGATATCTTTATATGGCTTTATTATCATGGTAATGATTCTTCATGGAATAACTTAAAAAGTGCTTCCTCTGTATCTTGGAAGACCTTGAGAAAGATAAGTGTTACTTCTTTAGACATTTGATTGAATTCACTAGTGAAACTATCTGGCTCATGCTTTTGTTGTTACTGTTGGAAGCTTTTGATTACTGACATGATATCTTTATACATTGTAGATCAAATTCAAACCTTCTATTTCCTCATGAATCAATTTTGGAAGTTTGTGTCTTTCTAGGAATGTGTCTATTTCATCTAAGTTATATAATGTGTTGACAAAAAAATCCTCTTAGTATTCTCTTTAATTCACGTTTATTTCTATAAGATACATATTAATGTTGCTGCTTTCATTCCTGATTGCAGTAATTTGAATCTTCTCTCTTTTTTCCCCTCAGTCTAGCTAAAAGTTCATCAATTTTGTTTACCTTTTCTAAGAATCCACTTTCGGCTTATTGGATGTTCTCCTCTATTGTTTTTCTATTTCCTATTAGATTTATCTTCACTCTAATATTGAGTATTTCCTTCATTCTATGGCTTTTGGTTGGTTTGGTCTTCTTTTTCCAGTTTCTTAAGATAAAATATTAGATTGTTGATTTGAGATCCTTATATTAGATTGTTGATTTGTGATCCTTCTTTTTTACAGGTATAAATTCCCCTCTGATCACTTTGTTTGCTGCATTCTATGAATATGTTGCTTTGCAGTTTTGGTTTTGTTCCCTTCGAAATATTTTCTAATTTCCCTTACGTTGTTTTCTTTGATCCATTGCTTACTTAGATATGTGTTAACTTCAACATAATTGTGAATTTTTCAAATTTTCTATTACTATTGACTTCTTATTTCATTCCATTGTGGTGGAAAAAGTATTTTCTATGTTTAAATCTTTTTCATTTATTGAGTCTGTTTTGTGGAGAATATTTCGTGTGCACTTGAAGAGAATGTATATTTGTTGTTATTTGGTTGAGTGTTCTGAAGCTATCAGTGAGGTGAAGTTGGTTTATACTGTTGTTCAAGTCTTTTAGGTTCTTTTTACACTTATTTCTTTATTTTATTCTGACTGGATAATCTCAATCGACCTCTGTTCATGGTTGCTGCTTCTTTCTTCTGGGTTCTCAAATGTGCTCTTATATATCCCTAGTAAAAAATTGATTTCAGTTATTATACTTTTCATTCCAGAATTTCTATTTGGTTCTTTTACACATTTTTAAATCTCTTGATTGATATTCTCTATTCTCATGCTTTTTTTTCAGTTTTTCAGACAAAGTTTTCTTTAGTTCTTTTTATGCATTTAAATTATTTGCATACTGGGCCTCAGATAATATTCATTATCATTTGCTTTTTTTCACAGTTGGATTTTAATACCTTGTTTTTTTATATGTCTGATATTTTTTGTTGAGAACCAAGTATTTTCTTTATTATAATGTGGCAACTCTGAAAATCAGATTCTCCTTTTCCCCCAGAGCTTGCTAGACATATTCTTCCTTTTAATGCTTAATACCAAAAATGTTTCCCCATTATCTCTGCAGAGGGGCTCATTATGGTGCACCTCTTCCACACTGAGCCAGGCAGTATTCATATCTGCCTTAGCCTCCCTACTTACTTGTACAGAGCTGTGTTATCAACCAGAGATGTGCACAGAGGGTCTTCTCGAGTCTTTCCTGAGTATGTGTACAGCAAGAATAACCCTAACCCTTTCTGGATTTCAAGGAACGCTAAAGCCCTTATTCTCCAAAGCTTCTCCTTTCCAGGTTTTCCCCACAAGCTGCTTGTTAAGCCTATTATTTGCTCAACTATTAACCATTGCTTCAAGTATCAGTGACTCAATCATTTCCTTGTATAAGTTTTAGAAAAATGCCTACAGGTAACAGCTTTAGCACTGGGTAAGTTCTGAATTAGGTGAGATAAAGACGTTTGTGCTAGTCTTCTAGATAACCACCAGCGGGTCCAAGCAAATAACTATAATGCTTTGCAAATGAGGTCAGTTCTGCTCCCTCCAGTATCTGTACTGAAATCTAGGCTGTCATTTTCAAGGACAGGATGGGACTGGGACATGGGACTAGGAAGTGAAAATGCCACAAAGTTCTCTGCTTTTGCAGAGCTTCAGTTGCTTTTCTTGAATGAATACTCCTTGGTGGCAGCAAGCCTTTGGATTGTTTCCAGAGCTCTGAAAAAGTTGATTCTCACAGTTCTTGCCAGTTTTTTTTCAGTGCTTTTGTGGATGAGGAGCCCTTTACAGTTCCTTATTTACCTATTTTGGCTGCCTCATAGGAATTTGACCATCCACTTCTTCATTAATCTTACTGCTAATCTCAATTGGAAGCAGAGAAGCCAACCAACATAATATGTGCAAACTTGAAAACATGGAATGCATATATGTACATACATTATGATTGTGAATACTTCTCTCATCAATTTCTTTTAATAAACCTACTGATATTATAAATGAAAGTAATTTGCTATATTGAGTCTTTTTCATTTGTTTTTCTTTGATTAGACTCTATAGGGTGTTCTCCAAATGATAACACAACAATACATTACATTGGTGCAAAAATAATTGCATTACTTTCAATGGCAAAAACGGCAATTACTTTTGCACTAACCTAATAAATAATAGAGCTATAATTTTTTTTAAACTCTACTTTTTTCACACTAATTCAGAGAAAATCAAGTAGTGTCTCTTTGTGATTTTAGGACTCATGCATCAAAGTGACAGAGTGGAAGCTTAGAAAATAATGCTCTACTCCCTAGAGCCTGCCTCCAGGTCAGGGCCAGATGGCCCTTGTTCTCTCCTCTGTAAGCAATTGGAGCACTTCTGACCACAGCTGTGCTATGGAGGGAAACGTTCAGTGAGTGGATGTGTGAAATGAAAACCTAAAGAAAGCTTCCTTCAGCAAGTTTAGACAGGTCCTATCTCTGATTTGTGAGCAAAGAAAAGAAAAAGAACATGGTCTCTGAGTCCTCAGGTAATGGCATGTATGCAAGCTTATTTTCCATTGTTAATACTGAAACTAAGTGACATGGACACAATGAAACCCATATTACAAACTGTCTTGAAATGACTGTACTGTCAAATAAAGAAAGAATCCATGTTGCTAACTACCAAAAACAAATATGTTAAACATTTTATGGCATTTTTAAAGAAATAAAGTAAAATTTTATCTGTTGCCTTTCATATCATTGCATATACATCGAACAACAACAGGCAACAGGCCTGTTTCAAGTTGCTGAAGGTTACAGCTGTCAAATAAAATATAAGATGTCTAATTATATTTGAATTTCAGATTAAAAATAAAGTTTTAGTTTAGCTTGGTTGCATGGGACATATATACTAAAATTAATTGTTTAACTGAAATTCAAATTGAAATGCATACCTTTTATTTTTATTTGCTAAATTTGCCAAGTTTACTGGGGGATACAACTGTGATTAAGACATGAATACTGGCTGCTGTTTTGAATATTACCAGGTAAGAAGAGGAGTAATTAGATACAGAGTTAGAATATAGAAATTTTCAATCAATGAGTTGCTTCAGAGGCTATAAAACCACTTTTTAGGGTGGTCAGAAAAGGTTTTTGAAAATAGAGATGCAATGCCTACATTAAACATTGAGTCATCAATTAGAGGAAAAGTGTAAGGGAAAGAATGCTTTGGAAAGAAAGAATAGCTTGCATAAGCTCTCAAAAGCATAAAAGAACTTCATTGAAAAATTATAATTAATTCATAATTACAGAGCTTTGGGCAGCAGGTGGAAATTTGATATACAAGTTGTAAAATCTCATATAGATGAGATAAGCAAAGTCAGAAAGACAGAGATGGATGCCATATTCAATGAATTATATATAAAAAGGATATTGGTGACCACATGTCCATAGTTCACTAGCTTACTTCAATTAGTTTTCTTTCAGCTTTCAGAAGAATAGTGTATTTGATTTTGATTTTTTAAATTAATGTATCACCATTATTGTTTTTGTTTTGCCTAATTTCCCCTCACTAGGAGGCTGTTTTCAACAAATACATCCTAATGTTCCATATACAAGGTATAAGTCATGGGGGCAACGTCTCAGTCAACACTTTTATCTGGCAAATTTTTGCAGTGTTTACCAATTTTTTATTATGCAGGAAATTGCTTTTTACTGCTTTGGAAAAATAAAAGTTTATTTTGTAGGTGAAGCATCAATTCGTATTTTAAGATTAGAGAAAATGTGTTTATTTTCTTCCTCAAATTCTTTAGGCATTGTTTCTCTCTACCTGCTTAGATAGCCAATGTGCTCATGGGAAGCACTAAACCAAGCAGCTGAAGTGCTTCTACCAAATAAGAGTTGCTTCTGCAACAGGCTGGAGGAGGCAGTATTTCCAGTGTAACACATTTGCTGAGAGCACCAGTGAAACAAGAATCATGGAATCATTGAGCATTAGATCTGCAAGGACCCTTGAGGCAGCTCATGCCTTGTTTTCAATTGAGAAAACGGTGGCTTTGAGCAGGTTATTGATTTCTCCAAAGTCACACAGCTAGTTGCTGTCAAAATCAGAACTAGTACCTAGTTCTTCTGTCCTCTGCATGGTGCTTTGTGTATTACCTTTCTTACCCAAAAACTTCCCAGATCTCAGTATTACCAGGGCTGGAATGGCAGATTTTCAAAGATGGTCTAATGACAAGAGCAACAGAGAAATGGGGGGAAAGATAGCATCAGGGAAGAGCAGACAGAGAAGCTCAGTGTTACAGAACTTAGGGCGCACTAGAACCACAAACACAGAAGACACAGACAGCAGCTGGGGAAGAGTCCCTACCAAGATCCAGCACGTAGTCAGTCTCTAAAGGCTCAGCATCTCATGCCAACTGGGCAGGGTACCAGGAAAAACAACTGCTTGCAAGCCACAGTCCAGAGACACGCAGAAGGAATGTGGAAGCTTGAAATGTGTGATCAGTGAGGGGCAATGCCAACAAACCAGGACCAGAGTGAATACATACACTCATTCATGCAGCGACTGGCTGAAAACCAGACCTAAGGCTCTGGCTGGCTGAAAGGCTACTCTGAAGCCTCCTGGATCTGCTCTTTCTGTCTTAAGAGAAACTTGCTTCATCTGAGCAGAGTGAGAAAGAGGTAACTATTATTAAATCTGTTCATATATCTCACTTTTATGGAGCATCTATGAGCATGTTTTTCACTTTACATTAATTCTAACCAAAATTTATTATGCTTGCTGTTATTATCTTCATTTTACAGATGAGGAAACGGAGCCTTAAAGATTTTCAATATTTTATCCCAGGTCACATAATTGTAAGTAAGAGAGGCAACTCAAATCTAATTCTGCCTAAGGCCAAATCTCAGTTATTTTCCACTTTGCGTGGTGAATCGATCCCGACAGGAGAATGGAGGTGAGGTGAGCGTGGTGCCTGGTAGAGGCAGCCCCACTGAATTATAGGGGAGGCGGACCCAGAGCTTGGTCTACAGTAATAGGGGTGGAGTTGAGGAATTGGGGATGAGGATGGAACTGGAGCATTAAATGAGTCCTATATATCCAGGGAGGACGTCCACTTTTGAGGCTGGAACGTATTTCAGGGCTTATCAAGAAATGTTCATCTTGGCCAGGCGCGGTGGCTCATGCTTGTAATCCCAGCACTTTGGGAGGCCGAGGCGGGCGGATCACCTGAGGTCAGGAATTCCAGACAAGCCTGGCCAACATGGAGAAACCCCATTTCTACTAAAAATACAAAAATTAGCCAGGCATGGTGGTGGGCGCCTATAATCCCAGCTACTAGGGAGGCTAAGGCAGGAGAATCTCTCGAACCCAGGAGGCAGTGGTTGCAGTGAACGGAGATCGCGCCACTGCACTCCAGCCTGGGTGACATAGCAGGACTCTGTATTGAAAAAAAAATAAATAAGTAAATAAAAGAAATATGCATCTTAGAGAATCATGAGGCCCTCTTGTGCTGCAACCGGCTCATGTGAACTTGTGAGAGGTGGTGTTACATTTATAGGAGTTTTTCCAGCTGGTTCTTAAATACGGCCATTATTAAATTATATAAACAAAGCTACAATTAAATTGATTGTACCAAAACCAAGGTAAATATTCAAAGCTCATTATTTTCTAGTGATTTTTACTCTATTTTGCTCTTCTGGGTGTGCTAGAGTTATTTATGTCTATTATTTCTGCAGTGAAAAGGGCCTGCTGCTTCCTGCGCCCCTCTTCTGAGCTCTATGCTCCGTGGCTTCACATGAATAGCAGAAACTTCTCCATGATGGGAGTATTTAAACAACAGAAATTAACAAATGCTATACACTGGGGCTTGATTGTTGTTTTGTGTACTGCCTATTTCAGAGAACTGCTTTCGAAAAAAAGTAAGGCAGATTAAGTAAAAGTGTATTATATCTTCCATTACCTTGTAAATAGAAAAAATATTGTCAAATCATAGTTGATTTACAACTATTACTTGGCTATGAATATAAGATACAAGAGTTTGGCAAAACTAAATAAAAATCTTTCTGTGAAAACCAATTGGCTATACAAAATTTACAATAAAGATGATGTATTGTTTATTGCTATTTATAGATTATATGGCATACTTTTATATATCAATAAAATATTTTAAAATTGATCTACATATACCTACATACACATTTTATTTTTTTCTGGAGGACCAATTGTTACATATTTAGCAGTCTACCACAGAATGAGGGTGGTGATCAAATTACTGAGGTAAGTGCTACAGGATGGCACCAGTCAACATACGAATGTCAGAAGTGGAATGGAGTCAGTAGACAAAGCAGAAGCTGACCACACTGTTTAAAAGCCCTTGTATTATTTCTTGCAAAGAAGCTGCGTCAATAGTGATGGTCTTATCAATGTGGCCTTTTAGTTGAAGTCTCTCTTGGCATCATAAATAGGCACTTGCAGAAAACAGAACAGAATATTTGAAGTTGAGGAGATTCAGTAATGCTTATGGACATTCACCAAAACTGTAGGATCAAGGCGAAGGGGAATTGGAGGAGAGATTATGAAAATCCACGTCTCTATTACTGCCTTTGCATGGAGTTGGACACATTTACAAAGATAAAGTCGCCTGCCTTCCAATTATTCAAATGCAGAACTCTGGTAAATATATGCATTCCCCTTATTTTTATCTTGATTTATTAATCTTAGCCAATATAAATCAACAGGAAGTTGGTTTTCTAGATATGATGCATCTCGGATAAATTATAATTCCACGTGCATTTTTCATTAAACCCTTCCTGTTCACAGAAACACTTTTGTTTATGTATAAAGTTTTTCATGCAGTTTTATTAAAAATTGAGCTTCTCTCTTCATTAATCTATGGAGTGATATTGCAGAAAACTGTCATTTAAAAATCATTCTATTGCTGTGTAAACTCCAGCAACTTTTCATACTGTACTCTGCACACTTTATTTCTCAGGCCTGGGAACCTTTCCTCATTAGATTCCAAGTCACTCCATCTTCTATGATGTGAGTTGCTTTATTGGAAGATTTATTTTTTTCCCCAAGACTTAAGAATTTTCTTTACCAAGTTAGGAGACTTTTTGATAATATATTTATCTTAAAGATTAGCTGCTTTAAAGCAATTGGTTTTATTCAAAATCAGTTTTCTCAAGTAGATAACTTTCCTGTTTCACATATGATAATTGAAAGAAAAACACTCATTTTTCTGAAAGCTTTGGGGGGAAAAAACGAAAGTAAGGATAGATCTAAAGTATTTTGTTGAATAAAGTCAATCATACACAGAGAATTATAACCATGAGAAAGAATGAACTTTCTATGGCAAATAAGAAATGATAAAGCCATTCAATATCATTTTATTCTCTCCCCAAATAATTGAGCTATACTATCACAGGCATATGCCCTTACCTCCATGAAGGACTAGCTATGTTACAAACACCGCAAATTGTGAGGAACTCACAAATTAGATACGGAAGGGTGATATATCCTCTGTCATGAAGATATTAAATACAACACAAAATTGGATTACATGACAACAGACTTATTTATCAAAAGCATTGAATTAGGCCTCAGATTCCTGTTATAGGAAAGGCATTTTCATAAATTCAACTGCTTGAAAGTACATACTAGTGAAATATTTGGTGGATTTATGACTAGCTGGAGTGTTGATTCCAACAGTACCATGTGTCATTTATTACATACAGCTTTATTTTGGAATGAGGTTCATCTTTTCTTTCTTTTCCTTTTTTTTTTTTTTTTTTTTTGAGACACAGCCTTACTCTGCACCCAGGCTAGAGTACAGTGGCAGTGGCATGATCATGGCTCACTGCAGCCTTTACCTCCTGGGCTCAAGATATCCTCACACCTCAGCCTCCTGAGTAGCTGGGACTACAGGTGCACACCACCATGCGTGGCTAATTTTTGTATTTTTTGTAGATATGGGTTTAGCCATATTGCCCAGGCTGGTCTCAAACTCCCGAGCTCAAGCGATTCTCCCGTCTCAGTCTCCCAAGTGCAGAAATTACAGGCATGAGCCACCAGGCCCATGGCTCATTTTTCAATAAGATTGCAAGGCTCACTAGGTCAGGGCTTTGTCATAAATGTCTTTATATCTTCTGCATATTGTACATTGCCTGTTTGATACACCCAGAAAAGATTACTTACTACTTAAGATTAGTGCCATACCAGTCCGTTAATAAGGTAGTGTAAAGAGATACAAGTAACATAAAATGTAAAATATGCCTTTTATCTTTCTTGGAAAAAAATCAAACTCTACTAGCAGAGTACTAACTTCATTTCTAGGCTAAGAAGGGGCCGGAGCCATTGCACAAATATCAGACAAGAGTCACAAAGTAACTCGAGGGCAATATATGGTTGAAATTATCAAAAAAACCAAAGCACTTATTGGTACGTGACCATACCAATACAGTATGAAGAGAGGGTTTCTTTTTGTTCTGAAAAGCAGATTAAGCAGTTGGCCACTTTGAATTGTGTAAGAAAATAATATAATATCCTTTGTTTGTTCCTAACCTAATCAAATGATTTCATTGCTTGAGACCAGAGTGCTATTTCTGCATGGACAGTGTTGGCATACACCTGTGGCAGATTTCAGAGTTGCAAGAAAAAGCTTGCTGAAAATCCAGCCCTGTCTTCATTGAGGCTGGAAATTACACTCTTAATAATGTTTCCTCTGTAATAAATGTTAGCTGCTGCCTACCGCACTCCTTTACAATTCAAGGAATCTTATGTGATGTAATTTAGTTCTTGAAATCCATAGGTGCTAGTGTTGCTTGTTTACCAGATTGTCTCTACTCTGAGGGGAAAATCAAGTGTCACAGGATACATGTAGTATTGATTAATCAGAAGAGAAAGTTACAAAGAAGAGAGAGTAGTACAAGACCCTCAAGGAAAAGAAGAAATAGTCTAATAATTAAAAAACACCTAATATTAAATATTTTTTCCTTTACTCATAGAAGTAAAATGAAATATATGCATTTTCTATCTTTTATTATTCTGGAGTTTGATGAAGTCTAGAGATTGAAATTAAAAATAGTATTTAGTTCTTTCAGAATGTGTTATTATATGAAGGAAAGCAAGCCTCTTGTTATGCAGAAGAGAAGTTAATGAAAAATAAGCTGTTAAATCTTCTTAATTGTTTAGTATTGATTAATAAGCTGTAAATAATTGTGGTGGTGATATTAACTGATGCAATCACAGGACAATAAATTTATGCAGGATTTTGCAAAATACAACTCCAAGTGTGCTTTAGAAATAAAACAATAGCCTCAACATTATTTACTTTCATAGAAAACAAAATACACTCCAGGCCGGGCGCGGTGGCTCACGCCTGGAATCCCAGCACTTTGGGAGGCCGAGGCGGGTGGATCATGAGGTCAGGAGATCGAGACCATCCTGGCTAACAAGGTGAAACCCCGTCTCTACTAAAAATACAAAAAAAATTAGCCGGGCGCGGTGGCGGGCGCCTGTAGTCCCAGCTACTCGGGAGGCTGAGGCAGGAGAATGGCGTGAACCCGGGAAGCGGAGCTTGCAGTGAGCCGAGATTGCGCCACTGCAGTCCGCAGTCCCACCTGGGCGACAGAGCGAGACTCCGTCTCAAAAAAAAAAAAAAAAAAAAAAAAAAAAAAAAAAAAAAAAAAAAATACACTCCAAACAAGTTTAATTATAAGATCAAAATTATCACTTTAATGGATAAGTTTTTTTCCTCATTAAATGATTTTAAGTATTTGTCTTAGTTTATTGAGTTACTTTATTTTGGATCTAAATTGTAACCTATCATTTAGAGGCATTTATGTCATTTATCAGCCTAAAAGCAGAAGATATTCTCTAGCATAATGCTATATATGTCACATTTAAATTATTTCCATATTTTTATAATCCATAATAAAATTGCTCTCATTTGAAAAGTAATAGTGTATGGTGTAGCTCAAAATATTTTCCCAGAAAAAAAATTATTTATTGAATCATTCCTCCGTTTATTCCACCAATATTTATTTCATGCTTGTTGTACTACTCATGCTAAACACTATTAGGAATTCATAGTGAACAAAACAGTAGCCTAGGGAAGAAACAGACAAATGAAACAACAGAAAAGCACAATGATAATAATATGGGTCGGGTATGGTGAGACAAAAATAGGAGCATAGTTTTTTAGATTAAAAAAGTGTTTGAAAAGGCTTACCAAAAACAATGTTTGAACTGAATACTGAAAGATAAAAAATAGCCAAGAAGAGTCACAGGGAGGGTGGAGGGAAGAGTCTGGGCAAAGCCTACTTCCCATTCACCATCCACCCAATCCCCAGGGCTGGCGCATGTGACCTCATGACCCATCAGCTATGGGGGAAGGCAGAAGTAAGAATCAATGACTTCATTCCGGGGTGGGGGTGTCTTCTGTAAGAAATACCTCTTAGAGCAAGACAAAAAGTTTTGGTTTGTAGATTTTAATTTCATATTATTTGTAAAGCATTTTTATGCAGACGCTTGTTGAATAAACAAATTGAAACTCAGGAAATCTGGCTGAAATGGAGATCTAAAGCTTGGGATTATCAACATATTCCTGGCTATAAAACCTCAGGGAGAGTTGAAATCACTGAGGCATGTACCCAGCCCCATGGAGACACCAAAAAATGTTGCACAGAGACAGAAATCACAGAAAAGGAAAGAGATGTGGTAATGGAGAAGGCATGAATCCATCCACAGTGATTTTAGGAGGTTTGGTGATTAAAGGGAGTTGAGAATTTAAGGATAGTGTGACCTGTGAACTACCTACAATCTCTAATTTTATTGGATTTGGTTTATGATGGAAGATATAAATCATAGGAGAGCTGAGGGGAATTATCCTGTACAATAAAATGTTTTACTATATAAGAGATGTCATCAAAGAAACAAGGGTGCACATTCTCAATTTCATGTTAAGGAATTACCTTTGATCACATAATGTTTGTACCTTTTTCTTTTTCCATGCAAATAGGAAGGAAGAAGGAGATGAGGGGTTGGGATCCAGGAAGAGAGGGCATACGTCAATGAGGGCATTTTATATATATATAAAAGACAAAGACATCAAACTTTTTAAGAGTAAGTAGTGGTAGTGCTGACAGATTTAGCAAATAAAAAAATACAGGATGCCTAGTTAGATCTGAATTTCAGAAAACAATAAATAATATTTTAGCATACATATGTCCCATGCAATATTTGAAAGAATAGGTATTACTGAACGAGGGAAGTATTGGGAATGAGCAAACACAATAAAACCATTTTCCAATATAATTGTTCACTGTAACTTCATTTTTAGAATTGCTAAAACTAAAATTATCATACTCAGCTTTTAAAATAATACCTCACTCATTTTAATGAGATATATAACACTCCAGAAGTTGATTTAATGTAATGGGATTTGATTTTTGTTTTAAGTGTATCTTGTACACAGAAGGTCTACTTAAAATATGCACACTCCTTATATAATTTTACAAATGTTCAGATAGACATGGAGATTTTAAAGCTATCTGTCAATCACTTTTTAACCCCGGTCTAATTTTAAATATAGTATTTTTTAAAGGTTTACAACATGATTAACTGATATATCTATGCATAGTATAATAATTACCACAATTGGATAAATGAACATATCCTTCACTGCACATGGTTATCATTTAAGTTTAACATTTAACACTTAAAGAGCTACTCACTTAGAAAATTTCAAGTATACAATAAAGTATTATTAACTATGGTCACCATACTCTATATTAGACCAGAATTTACTTTTTATATAACTGAAATTTTGGACCCATTGTTGAATATCCCCCCATCCCACTTCCCACCATAATCCTCAGTCCCTGGCAAGCACCATTTTACCCTATGATTCTATTTATTGGACAATGTTAGATTCCACTTATAAGTAAGATCATACAATATTTGTCTTAAAAATTATGGTACTTTTATAACTTGTATATCTGTTGTACCTTAAATGTATGATTTCATATGTTACCTTGGTTTATTATCATAGCTACTTTAAAAAAAGGTAGATCATTATAATGATTAACATGTTATAATGGGGAAACTGAAATTTGAAGTGATTAATTGATTTACTCAGTCATTTAGATAGTAAAAGTTGTAGCCAAGATGTGAATCACAATATTGTGACTTCAAGTTCTCCAAAGAAACACTGCCCAATAATTTTCAAGTGGAGAATATCCTGGGGACAAAGTGTCTTCATTAGAACGATCTCAAAGTGGCAGGTCTCATGACTGATGGACTGAGGAAGTCAAGACCATATTTAGATGTGACCGCAATGAGGTAGCTTTCTGGAAAGAAGAGACATCTTGCATAGTGTAAATGTTTTGTCAGATGATGAAACTGACACTAGAGTGATACAATAAATTGCAAATAAATAACAGAACCAGGATCCAAACTCATTTTCTCTGATTGCAAATTCTATCAGCATTTCTATCAGACTCTCTTCTACCAATGTTAAATTAAATATGCATGGATTACATTTAAGTAGTTTATAGAGACTTCAAATTGAACATACACACACATACACACAAATTTCTATGCACACGTGTAACAGAAGAGTACCAAATATTCTTGAAGAAGCACATGATAACTATGTAGAGTCATAAAAATGCTGCTCTTAAATGGTTCCAGTGAAATATGAAGATCTGGAAAAAGCTGGGAAGTGATACTTTTACTTCGCTGTCCTTGTTGCTATTAGAGTGCTGTGTTCTATCCTATGCCCCACAATGTAAGACGCTTGTGAAAGTACACAGCACAGCAGCAAAAATCACTAAAAGACAGGAAAACAGCATCTATGAGGTTAGCCTAAGGAAAGTAACCCTGATGAAGATGCAGAATATGGAAGTTCCAATTTTAAAAGTACCCTCATTCATCTCAAGGAAAGTATGATATTGATATGGACAGGAGGCAGGGAAATTCTGAGTAGAGAAGGGTGGGGTCCCTGGCGAAACCCCACGCTCAAACCTGGACCCACCGCCCAAAGTGAGAACATGTATTCCTGTTTTCCCACCTGAATGTTGACTTTTCCAAAACCACCCACCCTGCCTCCCATCCTATACCCATAAAAAACCCAGGCCCCACCGGCATAGTGGCAGAGTGGCAGAGAAGGGGAGAAGAGAAGAGGCAGCTGGACATCAGAGAGAAGCAGCTTGATTTCAGAGGAATGGCTTGTCGGTGGGACTTAGGGGAAGAGTTCGGCCAGGGACGGTCAGATCCAGGTGGAAGACCACCTTCCCGCTCCACTCCCTTTCTCCCTTTCCAGCTCTCCATCCCTCTGAGAGCCACTTTCATTGGCAATAAAATGTCCCGCATTTACCATCTTCAATTCACTCATGTGACCTGATTCTTCCTGGATGCTGAACAAGAACTCGGGATATAGAGGGATGTCACACTGAGCTGTTAAAAACTTAACTGTCTGCGGACAGCAAAGCTAAAAGAGCTCACTGGGATATCAGGTTTTGTGGGCACCACCCTAGGTGCTGCTGCAGGGCTGGTGCAGACTTCCTTCCTGCTGGTGCCCCAAGGCACTCTCCCGGCTCCTCTACCAGCTCACCCTCGTGCCCCCTCTCCTGTGAGGGGCTGAGAGCTGCAAGCTGAGTAGAGGAGACACCCTCTTCGTGAGTCCCGCGAAGGGTCAAGGGAACTATCCTGTTTCAATATTTTCTGCCTTTATGTTAAAATTAGAAAAACATGTTTAAATTAGCAACATGTATGCTTCCTGTAGGTAAAACATTTCACATACTGATAAAATCATAAAGCCTTTTTGTTTGTGGCATTTCATGGTGTAAATAACAACAACAAAAACGATAACCAAATGGTTGGATAAAATGTTCTGATAATGTTATTTTTGAATTTGATACCAGTAAGGTGGTGAGACACAAGGAATCGGTTTTAGCTCTCACACGTTCTCACATATTATAAAATCTTATGTGTCATTTTTTAACGTGGTATCATTTTTTAGCACAGCTATTTTAAAATGACTTTTTAGGCTCTGTTTCTTTCATGTATTTTTCTTTTACTTAATGGACTATTTTTTAGAGCACTTTTAGATCCACAGCAAAACTTTAGTGAAAAGTAGCAAGATTTCCCATATAGTCCCTGCCTCCTCATACATTTGTGACAACTGATGAACCTACATTGACATATCATTATCACCTGAAGTCCACAGTTTAAATTAGGGTTCACTCTTGGTGTTTTAAATTCTGTGGGATTTGTAAACATAAAACTCCTGCATGTGCCACAGGTGAAATAAAAGCATATTTTTCTGAGACCAAGGGTCGAGTGTCAAGCCACCTCTACTATTCCTGACCCCAGAAGTAGTGACTCCCAGCACTCTAGGAAACCTTCCAACTTTGGTGCCAGTTTTGAAAAACACTCTTGTGGGGCAAAGTACTCTATCTGGAGTCAGATATATCTGGATATGGCATTTCTCTAGCTCTGTGACTTTGAGTCACTTTAAATTTTCATGTTTCATTTTCTGTATTTCCAAAATAGAAATCATACTCAAACCTCACAGGTTTCTGGGAAGGATTTAAATGAGGGACCATATATGCAATATTTACCATAACACCTGGCACAAGCAGTAATTCAGTAAATCCTAGATTTCCCTAAACTTTCTAAACCTTACATTAATTGTGACTAACTTCATTAATGCTAATTCTATTTTCTCTATAGAACTATGGTGAAGGTATATGACAAAACAGCATTAACAAGTTTTAAAAAACAGAAATGAGCAAGATTTATTATTATTATTATTATTATTATCAACAGAAGTCCTGAAATACCCCAAAAGGCCAACCTCAAAAACAGGTTAATTTTGATATGAGGTAGATACGCTAATAAATCTCAGATAATTTTTTGAAAATGAGCAGAAAGCTGAAATCTGCATTATTACTTACAAAAACTATCTGTAGATCTTTAAATTTATCATCCTATCTCCTGCCTAAGTTCTTTCCATGTGAGGTTATTTCTGCATGGGAAAAATGGAGAAGACAAAAACGTTTCTATATGTCTCATGAGCATAAGTGACACCCCCAGTAAGTTAAGGAGATACGTTTAGCCATTATCTTATGGCACATAGCACTTTGCTTAAAGTGCGTGCCTGTAAATGTGAGATGCAAATGTTTATGCCTATATATGGCTTGTTATTCTGTTATTTGACTGAATAAATTTGAATGCTATGCCACATTTTATTTATCTTATTTTCTCTAATTATTAAAAGAATTTATTTTCTTCTTTACCATCCAGTTTGTGTGAACATAACAAGAACAAAGATTTCGTGATTATAAAAAGCATTCAAATTCATGTTTGTGATGGAGTACATATCTTCTCATTATCCTTTGTGTGGATTTGCAGGATTATACAATAAATTATGTAATTTTACTTGGTCTTCAGTTAATTCTATCAGAAGCCAAGATTATAATTTACAATGCAGTGAATTAATGTTGGAGTGTTTTGTTGTGATTTTTAGCTTACCGTAAATAATCATCTCTATATTATCTTACGTTGACTTCTCATAAAAGATTAATGTAGAATTAGTGACAGCGGGATTCTCATTGAATACAAACCCCATAAAAATGTATGCTTCTCAAGCTGTAAATGGAGACTCCAAAAGGCACTTCTGATTTACATCTGTTATCTCTCATTATAAGACTCCTAGTTCTGCTTCAAACACATACATGACGGGCACAGACACATTTGGTGTAAAAAGCAAGAAGTGTGAGAAAACGTCTTCAGTGTAATATACTGTTTAGGATAATGCGTTGATAGTTTTTTGTTAACATGAGCCATGGGAATATTGAAGCGACCATGAATCCAGGTACATTGATAATAGTGAAACAGCCTCGCATCTCAGTGTCTTCTAAAAGACACCCGCTATGTAACTTCACATGGCATGAACTGATTTGATAAGTAAAATAAAAATAACATGCAATATTGTTAGACATTTTAGCTTGGAAATGATCTAATCAACTGGTCTGCATTAATGCATTTTTGCCACAAAAGTTATAAATTATACATAATCCAGCATAACATTAAAACATTAACATAATTTAACAATATACATCTATCACTTGCTAAATAAAAAGCTGAAGACTTCCTATCTGACAAATTTGACTTTGCTGCTGTTTTATATGCTAGCATAAATTTATTGTTAAAAACATTTCAATATTGTCAATTCTAATTTTTTTGTCAATTAAGTAAGGAAATACCGACTTGTTCACATCGTTTGCATATTTTACCATCAACAAAAACCTTGTCTTACACTCTATATTGTAATAAAGTTCTGTGCCAAAATATGTCTGTCCTCAAAGTATATTATGTAAATAGAGTGAAAGATGTCGTCTGTTTTGCACTTCCCCTGGGTTTTATACATCCTTAACTTCATAAAGTAGAGTTCTACAAAACTTTCTTTTCTATAGAATGTTGTAGGAAATGATTTACCACTTTACTATAAGCTTGTCTGGCTGGTGGATAAAAGAAAGGAATTATTACCCTGCTTCCCACACCACACCATTACAATCTACTTGTTAAGAATGCTCCAGGGCGAGTGCCACCACCTTATGTTGTGGTGCTTTTAGACTAAGGACCATATGCGGTGCTATCCCAGGAAACAGCAGGGTTCAGTTACAGGGTTGTGTGTGTGTGTGAGTGTGTGTGTATGTGTGTGTGAGTGTGTGTGTGTGTGCACGCACATATCTGTTTCTCTAACAGCCCCTACATTCATGCATCATTGCCATCAGTGCTATATATTTAGTATAATTAACGTGTTTCTTGTGCACTTGTTAAGTATGCTGCATACAGAGCTGTTTATACACATCTCAAGATTCACAGCATTATAATGTAAAATGCAACCTTTTGTATTATATAGCAGTATCACCCACAAATATGTTTGAACATCAACCAAATTTATTTTGGAAAAGATGAAAAAGATTTTACTCCACAGATACTTTTCCAGCTAAAGAGGTGCCCTTGAGGGCATGTACTTTATCTTCTCTTATAGGCAGAAGAATATGAATTGAAGGCAAGAGTGTAGACTCCACCTTGTCTACTATGAAAATGTCCATGGTCCAGTGGCCCATAACCTATGAGGTTACACTAAACATCTCTAGTACATTCCTGGTATATGAATTTAAATTTATTTGAACCTATAGTATGTATTCTAAAGCTATTACTCTCTGATCTCTAGGCTAATACAAAGATAAGGGGGAAACTTACAGCAAAAGGACTGAGAATTTCTGCTTCCTCAGAATCAGAATCTTGGAAAACCATGAAGAATACTTTGGAGGTATATTCACTTTGGATTTGGAAATATCAGTATGAAATCATGACTACTGTCATAGGCTGAAAATGGCTTAAAAATACATAGTCACTTCCTAAGGAATCCGTATTACATTAAATGGCTTTCGAAAAATAGAGTCATTTCCTAAGGAATGTGTGAGTATTACATTATATGGCAAACCAGTGACTATTACCTTATATAGCAGAGGAGAGGATTATGCCGAGGATAATGAGAGCAGGCACTTATCCCAGATCACCCACAGGGACCATCGTGCTTGGATTCTTGTAAGCCCTTGCTGACCAGATGCAGAGCAATTTGGGTATCAAAACGAAGGTGCAATGGATTGTAAAACTATTGAAATATACATACGTTTAAGTCCATACTGATTACAGATAAAAAGAAAGACAGAAAGACAGACATGAGAGAGAACTAGGGGAAATTCTGACATTCAGCCACACAGGGAGGAACAGGCCACATGAAGGTGGAGGCACCAATTGGAGTGATGCTGCCACAAGCCGAGGAATGTCGGCAGCCACCAAAAGCAAGAAGAAGCAAGATGGGTAGCAGCCTATCAGCTCTGGAGGAAGTGGGGCCCTGCTGACACCTGGACTTGTGACTTCTGGCTTCTAGAACTATGAGAAAATAAATTTTGTTTGTTTTAATGCAGTTTGTCATAATTTATTACAGTAGCATCCTTCAGTGTGGCATCCAGTTGAATGGAATATAGAATAATAGATATCTATGGAATATAGGAAATAGATATCTCTATTCCTATGCAATGTGTGTGTATATATGTGTGTATGTATGTGTACATATGTGTGTGTGTGTTTATGATTGTGTTAATTTCCTGTGGCTACTGTATTTTCTTCTGGTACAGAGATGACGTCTTTCACACAAGAGTTTGTATCTCTTGTTTTGGGGAAGAAACGGGGGGATGAGATTGCTCTTCTTGTATCATCTATCTATCTATCTTCTTATGCTGTGTGTGTATGTATGTATAGATATTTATTCCTATTTTATGTGTGTGTATATGTATGTATATCTATATATCATTATCTATCTATCTATCTATCTATCATCTATCTATCTATCTATCTATCTATCTTCCTATGCTGTGTATGTGCATATATATATATGGATATATATTCCTATCTTATGTGTGTGTATGTATGTATATCTATAGATCATATCTATCTATTTATCTATCTTCTTATGCTGTGTATGTGAGTATATATATATGGATATATATTCCTATCTTATGTGTGTGTATATGTATGTATGTATATCTATAGATCATATCTATCTTCTTATGCTGTGTGTGTGTATATATATAGATATATATTCCTATATTATGTGTATGTATATATGTATGTGTATCTATAGATCATATCTATCTATCTATCTATCTATCTATCTATCTATCTATCTATCTATATTATATATATGAACTCCTAGCTCAGATCAGGGAAAGGACCTGGAAGAAAAACTGTCCCTGTAGCAAGGCACATAACAACCAGGTATGCAAAGCTTGACTTCTAACATGATTCCTCCCATGGAGAATCTGGTCTCTTTGAAAAAACATCCAATCCCAAGACTAAAACTGGGATGGCACAGAAAACACTTGGGATATCAGGATATCTTTCTGTGGAAGGAAATAAGGAAGTGCAAAAAAAAATAGACAGGTAAAGGTAAAAAATAAAGCAAGAGCCAGTTTGAAGGAGTCCACGCTGACCAGATGTAGAACAATTTGGGCATCAAAATAAAGGTTCAATGGATTGTAAAACCATTGAAATATAGAAGTGTTTAAGTCAATACTGATAATAGATAAAAAGAAAGACAGACAGACATGAGGTGGAGAGAAGGTTCCCCCTTGGGTGGCATGCAGAGGGCCACCTGTGCAGAGAGCTGCAGACGTGGCAGATCACGGGTTTGAGGTGAGGATCGTGAAGATGGACAGGCATCACTGGAGGCAAAATCCAGGAGAAAATATTGATTAGGGGCAGAACGTTTACATATTCTCGACGTGTTTCTTTATGGATTGCGTTTTAATTGCAACGTTTCTCCATTTACTGAGAAACAATCAACTCCTTGACTGGCTGTCAAAATGAACATCACCAACATACCATATTTTCCCAATATTTCCATTTGGAACAATATGAGAGAAATAAAATGTCTCCACATGAAATTCCCACAAGGAGTATATAGCCTGAATCAACACATAAGGCAGCATCTGACAAAACTAAATTGAGGAACACTGTATGGACTAACTGGCCCAATTCCTTGAAAATGCCAGTGTCATGAAAGAAAATAGGCTGAAAAATAGTTTTTAAAGAAAGCCTGGGTTCTAAGTAGACATGAAAAAAATACAGTATGTGATCTGCACCTGGATGCCACAATGAAGGAAGAAAATGCTTCATGAAATAATTTTAACTTTGATACAATCAGGATGTGAATGGCTGAGGAGGTGGAAATATTATATGCAGGGTGGCAGAATAGGACACCTGAAAATACGCTGCTTTGGCGTAGGGGTTATTTCGAGCTAAAGTCAACAAGGCAACAACAGATGCAAGAAGAGCAATCTAATCTCCCCCTTTTCTTCTCCAAAACAAGGGATACAAACTCCTGTGTGAAAGATGTCATCTCTGTACCAGAAGAAAATAAATTTTCTTCAAGGAGAAGTCATAGCTAAGAGAGAATTCTGTACAAACAGAACTTGTTAAAATAATTCTTCTTTTATTTTAGCCTTCCCACATAGTAAACTATGTGGGACTAGTTATAGTTATATATGTAAACTAGTTATAGTTCCACAATTGCTTATCTTTGCTCAACTTAGTATAAAACCATTTAGGTTTTACTAATTCTTTGGGTCTTCATTTTCTTATGAAGAATCCCTTGTTAAATCCAGAACTTAATAACCCAGCTGTTATGAAACAGAATATCTTCGCTCTTATGAGATACTGAAGATCCTGAAGTTTTAAGGAATAAAATTGCTACATATTTTCAGCATGATTCTGAAAAAAGAATGATATGGAAGGAAAGAGGAAGGGAATGAGAGAAGGAAAGAGACAGAGAAGCAGACAGGGAGGGAGGAAGAAAAGAATACGATAAAACAAAGGTTAAAAATTGGTGAATCTGATATCCAGTACCTGATACATAAGCAGAATGAAAGTTACTGGTGCCATCTTTAAAACAAGGGGAAAAACTGAAGAATCAGAAAATCAGTGTCTTTTCTTGGATCAGCCAGACGTCTCAGGGCAAAGTGCCTACCAAAAACTAGAGAGACAGATAAAGACATAAACAGACTGTGCCTATGTGTTGGCATAGGGGGGATATGGAAAGTCTGTAACTTCTGCTCCATTTTTTTATGAACCTGGAACTGCTCTAAAATGAACTCTAGTTAAAAAGAAATTAAATACAAATAACTACAACAACAACTGATAATAGAACCAACAAGAAATTAAACACTGAGGTATGCATCTCTCCCATCATGATCATGATGTAAGAATCTTGCCTATGCAGGTAATAAAATTTTCTGCAATGTTTTCTCATAGATAATTTATAATTTTTACTTTTAGGTCTACCATTCCTATTTCTAGTTTGTCAATGTTTTCAGTTATGAATAAGTGTTGGATTTTGTCAAATGCTTTTTCCATATCTATGGAAATAATCATGTGAATTTTCTCAGTGTATTAATTTTTTTTTTTTTTTTTGAGATGGAGTCTCTCTCTACCGCCAGGCTGGAGTGCAGTGGCGCGATCCCAGCTCACTGCAACCTCTGACTCCCTGGTTCAAGTGCTTCTCCTGCCTCAGCCTCCCAAGTAGCTACGTTTACAGTTATACGCCACCACGTCCAGCTAATTTTTGTATTTTTAGTAGAGCTGGGGTTTCACCATGTTGGCCAGGATGGTCTCGATCTTCCTGACCTCGTGATCTGCCCGCCTAGGCCTCCCAAAGTGCTGGGATTACAGGCGTGAGTATTAATTAATTTTTGAATGTTAAACCAAACTTCCATTCTTGCTATATGTACATTTAGTCGTTATGTATTAACTTTTATAAATTACTCTTGTCAGTCATGTTCCTGGTTCATTTATTTCTCATAAAATAATCCAGTTAAAGCACGATTAATTGAAAATATTTTCCATTTCTCCATTGAACTGCCTTAGCATTTATTTTTTAAAAACAACAGAAAAGTTTGTGATGTTCTACTCCATAACTTGCTCCTTTGCTACTCTGACCACAAATCTATTTGTTTATTTTGTCTATATTTGTATCAAATCTACACTATGTTCATTATTATGAACAGATACTAAGACTTGAAATCATCAGATTAAGTCACTCAGTTTTGCCTTTTTCCAGGTTTATTTTGACTATTCTAGATATTTTATATTTTAAAATATGTTACATTTACATATAAAATTTACAATAATTCAGTCAACACCAAAACAACTGCCAAAATATCCTACTGGAACTGTGATTGGACTTAGAGGAATCTCAAATGTGGAAGTTAGATAAGGGTGTGTAGAGTTAGCATTTCAAAAATTATTGAATCTTCCAATCTGGGAGCTCAGTATGCTTCTCCATTAAGTCTTTTAAATTTATCTCAGAAAAGTTTTAATGCATATATTTTACTATAACAATATACGTGTCTGTTATATATCTATATTTATACCTATAAATTTTGTTTCTGGTGCAATTTTAAATAGAACACTTAAGATTTTAATTTTCCAATAGTTTGCTACTAGTACATAGAAATGCAATAGATTGTATGTCCACTTAGCATTCTTTTTTTGATAAATTCACTTACTATTTCTAGCATTTTTTGTAAATTCTACAGAATTTTACATAAATAGTCACACTTGTAGACAAAGATCATATTTGTCTTTCTTTTTAGTATTTATGTATCTTATTTTTTTTGCTTTATTGCATTGGGGAGGATCTTAAACTAAGACTGAGTAGAAGTGGTGAGCACAGACATTCTTGTCCTCGGCCATGGAAACACAGAGTAAAAGTTTCTTTAGTTGCCAGGTTGTAAAAAGTGTGGATAAAAGGGAAGTTTCCTGAATATTTGATTCATAGCAGCATTCGATTTTACCCTTGAAAATGTTTACAAATTATCTACATGGACGATGAAAGTGAAATCATTTTAGGCAGAGGGAAGAATAACAGAATATGCATAAAGTCACTACACGACTTTAAAGGAGATTCACAATAGAGATTATAAAACAGACTGTTGGGTTATAACGTTTTGGAAATAAGCATAACGTTATTCACCCACGGATGTGTGTCCACTGTGTGTAATGTTGACTAGTATTTATTTATTTATTTTTGGCTTCTGCATCGATTACACTACCTTCTTCTCTTCTGTTGAGATATACCAACATCCATAAATAATTTTATGAATATGTTTGTTTACCAAAAATATCAGAATCCCCAAAGGAATCAAATTGAATCTATTAAAATTATGATTTATACTGACATTATTTGTACCAATGACTAAAAAGGAAAGTATATATAGAACTAGAGTTTACAAAGTAAAGAAGAAATGAGGAAACACTAGAAAACATAATCTTACTCAAGTTGCAGGACATATGAATCAGTTGTAGGGAATGCATGATTTGTCTATGAAATAGAATAAATATTACATATTGAAGGGCCTCAGATATATGTGAAATGCACACATACACTTTGATAATATGTATGCTTGCATTTGTGTGCACTTAAATCATGTGTGTAAATCATGTAAAGTGCCATATACTATAATATATAGTATGCCATTTTCCTCCTTATAGTAACCAACCTATGGGAATAAAAGTGTGCATCTGAGATTCTTTTATAACTTCATCTGTAAAACGGATGCTATTTTAAGTTAAATAAGATCAGAACTTCCATGGCTAGTGAAAAATAAAGCTGTAAAATAATAACTAACAGTGTTTTCCTGTTGAAGAAAGTAATTAAAATCTACTTGTGAACCATGCAATTTGTGTGGATTTGTAGATGTGTAGTAGATTATTAAAACAATTATTACTTCTCCATGGGTTAAGCTTTGAAACAATTAGAAAGACAAAAATTTGGAGGAATGTGATATACATTGTTGTAACCTCAGAGTAACTTAAGAGATTATTGGCTTCAGGTAATGAAATTTCTGTGGAGAAATTAGTACACCACATATTTTTGAAGATATTTTACTAGCTATCTTTTTTTTAAAAAAGCAGTAGGCCCAGGACCAAATAATGAATTTCATCTTTTTTTAAAAAATAGATCTTTTCTATTTAAATCAATTCACTGGATCTTTTCTATTTAAATCAATTTCTACCTTAATTTTTTCTTGGAAGACTTGGCCTATATTCCCAAAATGTATATGCAGAAAATGTAACAATTTATAATATCCTCAGGTATATTTGTTAGTTCATTTCTAAAATAACTTATGAGATAAAATATAATCATATTTCAGCTGGCATACTGATAATGTTGACACTGTTCTAAATCCAACACAGTCTCTCACCCTAACACAATAGAAACAGAAACTAGAAAACATTCGTGATAATTACTTTGCACATATATACTTAGAGATTGCTTGGTAACCTATGTAATATATAATATATATTGAATATTTGTAATAATTTCTCTAAATGTGAACACTGTTATTATTGCTGTGTACTTCACGAAGAAGCTTCTGAGCCTGAACAGATGTGCATGAAGTCTATACTCCCTTAAGTGTTTGCTTCCTGACAGTTTTTCCCTATTGATACCATTATAACTTCCTGCAGACCCAGATCATCACTCTGTCTGCAACTTAGGTGTCTTTTTTGCATTTTATATGCATGTGCATGCATTTATTTTGTTTGCTCTTTTTCCCTTCTCTGAAACTTTTTATTTGTAGAGAAAGGCTGTCAGATTTGGATGCAATATGGAATATGCTGAGTCACTGGCCTAACCCATGAATAGATATCACATTCATACAAATCATATACAAATGTAACTTTGTACTTCAACATAGAGGGGGGATAGTTTACAATAATTAATATCAGTATTGAGAAAGTCATCTACAATAAATTATCTGTTGTTCTTATTTTTTCTTCTAATGAGTTTTAGAGGAAATTCCACGTATTATTCCTTTTTTGTTCATTGGAAGACAATCAGTTATGGAGACATTAGGGCTACTATTGCTAAAATATTGTTAAAGATAAATGATACATTGTATTCTTCTGTTTACTAAAAAAAGAATCTTAAATGAAACAAGTCAGATATAGAAAGTCAATGTGGGAATTAAATAATGTATACACATGAAGGTAGAATGTGGAATGCCAGAAAATGGATACTCCCAAGGGTGAAGAGATGAGAGAAATGAGATATTAAAAAAAATGACTGAATGTGTACCTTGTGTGTTATTTGGATGCTGGATACCCTAAGAGCCCCGACTTCACCACTATGAAGTCTACGCATATAACAAAATTACACTTGTACCCCAAACATTTATGCAAATTAAAAAAGAGAAATTATCCTCTTTTTAACCCACAAGCTAGATAATAAGGCAATCTACTTACTTCATTCATAACCAGTGCAGGAATGGTTTAAAGTCTACTGAGAAAGACAGGGCAACCAAGACACAGAAAGATAAGTATCACATGTTCTTACTCATACGTGGGAGCTACAAAAATTGAGCTCATGGAAGTAAAGACTAGAATTGTGATTCTTAGAGGTGGGAAGGGTATGGGGGAGAGAAGGATAAGGAGATGTTGGATAAAGATACAAAATTCCAGCTAGATAGGAGGAATTTCTATAGCATTGCAGGGTCACTATAGCTAAGAGTAGTTCATTGTATATTTTCAAATAGTTAGAAGATAGAGTTCCGAATGCTTCCAAACACAAAGAAAATGACAGAAGCTGGAGGTGATGGATATGCTAATTACCCTGATGTGATCATTACGCATTACATACAATGTATCAAAATATCACTCTGCACCCCATAAGTATGTATAATTATTACATGTCAATTAAAAAACAAGAAAGAAAGACAGGGCTTGAATATATACAGGATCCTTCATATGAAGCCATCACTTTCCATAAAAATGTACATTTAATTAAAATACTACTGCAACTGATAGACATAATGACCAGAATTTAGTTTACAAAGAATTAAACCCGGCAAGATGTGAAAGCTTTAAGCATTAAGTTTCTTTCTTTTTCCAACTACAAATCATTATACAAGAATTAGATTTATGTGTAACATTGAAGGAATATGTGTGTGTGTGTGTGTGTGTGTGTACACAGTATAAAAAAATTACATAAGTATATAAGTGTGACTTTGTAATTCCCTTACTTAAATATAGGTTGAGAAGTGCTGAACAGTTAAGCTTTGTTTTGAACTGCAGAGGAGTGAAACACCATTATGTAACAGCCTGGTCAGAGGAAATGGAACAGAATGGAATACTGTCCGGTAAGAAAACAGTTGACAAACACCATCCACACAGAGGCTTATAATGTATGCTCAGGAGTTGGGTGAAGACCTGCTTCAGGGACTCAGAGGTGGCCATAGTCATCGGGTACACAGGTGACAGAAAGATGAACTAGATACAGTCTCAGCCCTCAAGCACCCTAAATTCTCATGTGTCTCTTGAATTTTTTTCTTGTATGATCTCAGGATTAGGCTTATCATTGTTGCTATGGTGGATAAACGAAAGAAAACAGAAAGTAGGCTGCGCACGTTGGCTCAAGCCTGTAATCCCAGCACTTTGGGAGGCCGAGACGGGCTGAGCACGAGGTCAGGAGATCGAGACCATCCTGGCTAACACGGTGAAACCCCGTCCCTACTAAAAATACAAAAAAATTAGCCGGGCGTGGTGGCGGGAGCCTGTAGTCCCAGCTACTCGGGAGGCTGAGGCAGGAGAACGGCGTGAACCCGGGAGGCGGAGCTTGCAGTGAGCCGAGATCGCGCCACTGCCCTCCAGCCTGGGCGACAGAGTGAGACTCCGTCTCAAAAAAAAAAAAAAAAAGAAAGAAAAAAAGAAAAGAAAAGAAAACAGGAAACAAAAACGACCATGTAAAGGTGTTCCAGAGACCAAGGAGCATATAAGAGAAGCTTCAGTCATTCCAGACCAGGAAAGGCAGGTCAAGCATTTGACCTCAAGTTCTTTGAAGGTAAGACCTGGCATGCAATCTTCCCTGGCTCAGGAATCGGCATGGAGAAGGGGTCCAGCCCAAGGTGAACACTACACAGAGGGAAACTCTCGAGGAGAATAGTATGCATGCAAATGATGCGGGACCTTTGCTCCTTAGTTCATCTAAAACTGGGTTCCCGTCACACGACTAGGAAAGATTAGGCACGTGGACACACTGAAAGGTGAGGAGAGCAGAATTTATTAAAAGAAAGCTCTCAGCAAAAAAAGAAGGGGTCCTGCTAACACGCTCCCGCCTCACAGACTCAACACCAGGCCACCCCACAGAAGCTGAAGAGGCCAGGCTCCTCGCCGCTGCACAAGGCGCAAGCTGCCCGTGGCTCCACCCCATGCTCCTAGCGCGCAGCGGGGCCCCCAGTCTGTTGTGGGACTCGGCAGACAAGACCCGGGGCAAGTTCCTCCATCTGCACAAAAGCATCTGAGGTAAACACTGTGGGGTGGGTCAGAGATTCTCTGGGGGCCCCACCCCACTCCCCATCTGCCTCCTGCATCTATTACAAAGGCCTAGAAAAGAACAGACACACGGAAGGGAGAGTACAGCTGCCCCTTGCACAACATGGGTTTGAAGTGCCCAGGTCCTCTTATAAGCAGATTTTTTTTTCCAAAGAAAAACTGATCAAAAATACAGTAGTCTCAGATACAAAACTACAGGTATGGAGAGCCGACTTTTCTTCCATGCGGATTCTGCAGGTCCTGCTGTAGGACAGGAGTATTTGTGGATTTTGGTGTAATTGGATCCTGGAACCAATCTCCTGCTTCTACCGAGGGAAGACTGAATTTGGATGAAATTAAAAGGAAAAATAAACACTTCAATTAAAAGGCTCCAAAAAATAGATAATAAATGTAATGTGTTGGAGAAAGTGGTTATAATTCTTTCATACGAATATTTTTCAAACAATGTCTCTACAGGAGATAGCCTCTCACTCTACCACAGCCATCAACTCCCTTCAAACCTGTTTTCCAAGTGTTTCCATAGAGAAAGCGGAAGACTGGACCCTGTTTTCTACTTGAAAGGAAAAGCGACAACCCCACGGTGGAAATCTGGCCTGGTCACCGTCACAGGGTCAGCATCAGTTTAGCCGCTATTATTCCTGTGGGAACCCGGGTACCCCCTCGTAGGAAATAGCAGGAGACCTCCATTATTTACTGAAATGCACAAGGACATCACGAACAGCGAGAAATCCCCTTAACAGCGCTTTTCTGAATTACCCTAAGTTCCTAAAAACAATAAAGAATATATATTACCTTTATAATAAGGAAAAAAAGTTAGTTTAAATGTGTGCCAGTGAAATTTCTATCTGCCCATCAATGTTCAGATTTCCTGTTATCACTTCCAGAATGCCTTCATTACTTTCTTCAGGGCACAATTCTCTATGAAACTTCATGTCCCAAGAATGAGCTCTCTCATTTATATTATTATTTATATATGCCCCATGTCCCTTTTAAAACATCAAGTTCTTGAAGCTGCTGAATCATGTCTAAACATCTTCATGCTTCTCAGAGGAGTGGGAAAAGTGCCACGATTTATAAATATTCATTCAACTGAAAGAAATAAAAGTGCTACTTTGGATTGCTTTATCACATATATATATATTTTTATATTGAGGTCGTAGGGACCCTGGGGTTATGTCCTGGTCCGATTCATTTGCATTGAAAATACACAAAAGAGGGGACCATTTGTATTTAGTCTCCTTTCCAAATCTCTGAGTGCTACTTCACACCATAACCTGACACTAAGAACCAGATGTTGTAAAGTAATGTCCCAGTGTTATTTGAATTCATGGGAGATTTGAGAGAAGGTGGATTGCTGAAATAAAAATACAAAACTCTGAGAATCTCGTATGCAGGTGTGCTTGCAGCCTCACCAGAGGGCTCAATATTATTTTGATGTCCATGTTGCTTAACTGAGGCATAGTGCCATGTTGAATAATATCAATACAGAAACTTCTACTTCAAAATGTTCATGACTTTGTAAAACTGAACAGTAAAACACTATTCTGCAACAGTTTGAAAATTGTGAAGTGTTGACTCTTGAAATATTGCTGAGATCAGCAAAATCTATAATTGAAAAAGTACAGGTCCAGCTTTAGTGGCCTAACCAGAGGCTCGACTTAATACTGAAAAATTAAAAATATCTTCTAACTTGTTTTTTAAGGTGTGCTCTAGGATTTTCCCCCCTGACATATTTTTTTTGTTATTTTAACGTATCATTAAGATAAAATATTTCAAAAACCAAGGAAAAAAGGCTTTTAAAAGTACGTGAATACTCATATTCTCACCTCTTCTTCAATAATTATAATTTAGCCATATTTGCACGAGGATATTTTCGATGACGTAAAAAAATAGCAGAGGCCGGGCGCGGTGGCTCACATCTGTAATCCCAGCACTTTGGGAGGCCAAGGCGGGCAGATTGCGAGGTCAGGAGATCGAGACCATCCTGGCTAACATGGTGAAACCCCATCTCTACTAAAAAATACAAAAGATTAGCCGGGCTTGGTGGTGGGCGCCTGTAGTCCCAGCTACTCAGGAGGCTGAGGCAGGAGAATGGCGTGAACCCAGGAGGCAGAGCTTGCAGTGAGCTGAGATCACGCCACTGCACTCCAGCCTGAGTGACAGAGTGAGACTCCATCTCAAAAAAAAAAAAAATATATATATATATATATATATCAGATACAGTTGATCCTCCCTTTTTATTTCCTCTTCCAATCTCTTTCCTACTTCTTTTCTCCCCAAAGATGATCAATATTTTTAATTTTTTATCTTCTAACAGTGTTGTTCAACTGGCATTTCTAAAATTTAAAGAGTTCACATTTGGTGTAAATATATACTACATATCATGGTGCATCTTGCTCTTTTCATGAGATATTTTAAAATATGTATCCACATGGGTGCACCCTCCCTAAGATCATGTCACTGATGCACGTCTGTTTGTCTTCTAATCCATTGGTTTACCTCTTTTAATTGTGATGGAAATTCATGTGGCTTGGAAAGTTCCCTCCCACAACATCCTCACCTAATGTGGGTGTTGTCAGAATGCTATCTTTTTCTCAATCTCATTTGTCTGGAATACTACCTTATTTTCATTTTAATTCTCATTTGACTTAATATGTTTCAGTTTTGTCATTTTTGAAATATTTGGTTTGCCATACCATTCCCTCTTCTCTGAATTACTTGTGTATATACCTTGACTATTTCTCTATGGCGTTGTTTGATTATTTGTATATTTGCCTTACTTTATTGACTTTCAATTAAAATTTTGAATACAAATTACTGGTTGGTTCAATGTAATGCAGACATCACTTCGGGAGTATTATCTTTTGAACATGTATATGGCATATTTTATTAAATAATGTTTTAAGTTTTAATGTCACATTTATTGATCATATGTTTAATAGTTTCTGCTGTAGCACATTTTACCATACTCTGAAGTCATTAGAATATTTTTTGTATTATTTTCTAGAAGTTTTATCAATTACCTACCTGGAATTAATATGTTTTTAGTGGTGAAATAAGAAGAAATAATTTTTCTTCACTAGATCTTAAATAGTACTGCCTTTCCACACTAATTTGCGGTGCCATCGGGGTTATTTATCAGGTCCTTATATGTAAGAATCTGTTTGCGTTGTCTTTCCTGTTCCATTGGTCCATTTTATTCTCTGTGTTGGTACCACACTTTCTTGACATACAAGTTATTGTTTTCAAGTATATCCAGGTTATTTTCAGTTCATTAGTCGTTCATAAAATTGTAGGTCAACTTCTCAAATTGAATTTTAAAAAATTATATGGGGGTTCAAAACACTGAAATATGGGTTAGTTTCAGAAATAGTGACATTTTACAATATCCCTAAGCATATTATATTTCCCATTTTTATGTCTTTTGTATTTGGTAATATTTAATATTAATTCCATAAATGGTTTCACATATTGGTTAATATAGTATCTTACAGGTTTGATTATTGAGATGATGGATCCTTTACTTTCTTATTACATTTTCTATTTGTGTGTGTGCACACATGCACATGTCTGTGTGTTGATGAAAAAGCGAAATCAATCTTGTTTTAGACAATCTTCAAATGCATTGTCTAATACCTAAGTTAATGTAATCATATGTTCTGTTAATAAGACATGTTTTCTTTTCTCTAGTATTTTTAAGTTTTGTTGCTATCATTGGTTGTATGCTTCTTTCCTGGCATTTTGCACTTTCGGTTAACATTTCTAGGTGGATGTTGAATAAAAATGATGACAAAGAGGAAACTCATTTAAACAACACCAAAACACTTCAATTAAAAGTCTTCTAAACTTTAATCACTAAGTCTGCAATATGCTTAGTTTTAATACAGGTATTTTATCACATTAAAATTTTGACTATTCCCCCATATTTTTAAAAGAAATATACATGATATGTTATATATATACATATATATTTATTTGCAACGCTAGTGTTGTTTCAACCCAGTTTTTAATATTAACATGATTTTTTTCCCTGTTTAAGTAGATAGATTCTTCAACAATCCATTTAATACAGATTTTTGGAGCTCAACTGCTCTTGGAAGATGATTTTATTTTTTATTACTCTTGATTTATTTAGCTGAGTATAATATTGCCAGTTGAAAATTATTTTCTCTGATTACTCTGAAGTTGTTAATCATTGCCTGTAAGTTTTTTAAAATTTTGGTAAAAAAATATGCATAACGAAATTTACAATGTAACTCTTTTAATTTATATTAACTACAAATCAGTAGTGTTAAAAATACATGTATTAAATATATATATTTGGTAGTGTTAAATATATAAAATATATATTCAGTAGAATTAAATATATCTATTTAAGTTACATTAACACTACAATTCAGTAGCATTAAATATATATTTATACATTGAATTAATTTATTAAATTATTAATATTTATTAAATTAAATTAATTATAAAATCATTTAATACAGATTTTTGGAGTTCAACTGCTATTGTAAAATAATTTAATTAATTTATTAAATTAAATTTATATATATAAATAAATACACACATATATATATGGATGCATTGATGAACAGATCTTCAGAACCTTTTCATCTCACAAATCTGAAATTCTACAGCCACTAAGACCCTCCCCTTTGCTTCCTCCCCACATCTCTTGGTAACCACCTTTCTATTTTTTGTTTCTGTTCATTTGACTACTTTAGATATCACATTCATATATGTGCAAACAGTTTTTGATTTTTTGTAACTGCTCTATTTTACTTAGCATAATGTCCTCAAGGTTCATCACGTTGTAGCATAGAACAGAATTCATTTCTGGGTATTTAGTTTACTTCCACCTCCTGGTTATTATCAATAACGCTGCTATTGACTTTATGCTATTTATTGTTTCTGTTTATCTAATTTTCTTCATATATATATGTTTCTTGTAAAAATAATTTTTTACAAATTTATATTAGTACTAGTATTTAATATTCCTACAACCTACCTAATTTTATTTTCATCTTTTGTGGTATTCACAGTCACCTGCAGTGAAAAAAACTACTCATTTTGATATTCTGGGAAATTAACATGTATATCTTTTATAGTTTCTCTGCAACATTTTTATTTTTATTTTTGACTTCTTTTGCAATTACTACTAGATATATTTTGAGAATTTAATTTTTATTCTACTAAATAACTGGGATGTAAAAGTAGGTTCCGTGACTTCAGATCCAGTGCTCTTTTTATTATATCTCAGGGGCCAGGATAAAAATATAAACTTGGTTTTCCATCTTTGGTAACTTTCTACCTATCCTTGGAGTCTCTCTTTTACCCATGATTCTTTGTCATAATCTCCTCAGAGTTCTGCTAAATCCATAGAAAATTAATGAAGGTGATTCCTGCTACAAGAAAACACAAAGATTCTACAGGTGTTTCTTTCTTAGAGACCTGAAAAGAATTACTACGAAGGTATTATCAAAGAGATTGCTATAGTTGGATTTTTATCCTACTAAATAAAAGTTAAATTCTCTTACTATTCTAACCTTTCTTAATATTTACATTTTTGACTCTGTACGCTACATTTTGTATAAGCCCTTTATTTCTATTTTGTAATTCACTATTTTTTGACTGTGTTAATCATATTTAGTCTAAAATATATCCCAATTATTTGCTATATTAAATTTAAAGGGCATACTTCCAATATATGTAATTGATCTTCTTAAAACTCTACCTCTTCTTATGTTAATATGTCTGGTTTTTATTCAAACTTTTACACTACAATGATTTGTCTAAGTTATTTTTTGAAGCCAAGTAGCTTGTAAATTATAGAGATATCTCAATTTCTCAAACCCACACTGTTTTATATAATTATTTCTAATAAAAATACAGTGGTAACTGGAAGTAATTTGTTCTATAATGAATAAAAAGAATTCAGGAAAGGAAAATTATTATGTAGAGCCTAGTTGTCAATCTCAATTAGGTATGAAAATCTTATACAAGAAGCAGAATGAACTTCATTTTCTTCCAATACTGATCCTGAAATTCAGTGACGTGATAACAAATGGCCTCTTCTTTAGGAAGTCTTTTTTAGGAGGGCCTTCATTTCCCATGACCACATATGGCTGATGAACTTCTACTACTATTTGTTTTCCCAGAATATCCTTTAGTCTAAAGGACTTTGGAAAGGGAAGCGTAATGAGTAGATAGAATGAATCCCAAATCTGGAGCTTGCATAAATTATAGAATATAATTTTTAGGTACATATCAAAGACAGCATTAGATAAATTAAAAGTGAACTTAATTCTCAGAGAAATACTCAAGAATATCTAAATTAATATATACATTCAGATGCAGTTAATTTTTATAAATGCTTCCTGAATAGTTACCATTGGCCTGTTAAGTGTTTCTATGTGCCCAATTAGTTATCACGTACAATCTGAGGAAAAGAGGTTATCTTCATTCTACTTCAGTGTAGAAGAAAAACTGAGGCTTATAAAACCCAGCTCACTGCTCCAGGTCATATAATAACTGGCAGAGCTGGGATGTAAAAGTAGGCTCCATGACTTCAGACCCAGTGCTCTTTTTATTATATCTCAGGGGCCAGGATAAAAATATCAACCTGGTTATTCATCTTCGGTAATTTTCTACCTATCCTTGGAGTCTCTCTTCTATCCATGATTCTTTGTCAAAATCCTCTCGGGATCTGCTAAATCCATAGAAAATTAATGAAGGTGATTCCTGCTACAAGAAAACACAAAATTCTACAGGTGTTTCTTTCTTAGAGACCTGAAAAGAATTACTACTAAGGAATTACCAAAGAGATTGCTATAGTTGTATTTTTCTTAGAAGGTAAACAATTTTAAGTCTAAAGGCAATGGAAATATTAAAGGCAACCTGAGGCAACTTCGTGTTTCACCTCCTTCCAAGGTTTAGCAGCAAATGTCCAGGAAAAAAAAAAAAAATAGTCCAAGAGGCAATTTGGCTCCTGTCAAAGGACACAATTTTAACAAATTAAGTGGTAAAAATCAAATAGACTCTTCTTAGCAATTCATGGATCAGTCATCATTTCCTCTAAAAATGAATAAGCTCACATGAGCTGAACAGAGCGGGTGGGCTTAATACTCGGAAAAGGCTGAAGAAATTGGAAACCAGGAACAAAAAGAGGACTGGTCTGTTATTGCTGAGTAGTATTCCATTATTTGGATGTGTGCTCCCGTTCTTTTTATTTATTTTTGTTTTTCATTTTTTTTTTTAACTTTTAGGTTTAGGGGCATGTGGACAGGTTTGCTGGATAGGTAAATTGCATGTCGATGGGGCTTGCTGTGAAAATTATTTTGTCAGCGAGGTCATAAGCATAGTACCGAACAGGTAGTTTATCCAGCCTCACCCTCCTCCCATACTTCACCTTCAAGTAGGCCCTGGTGCCTGTTCCCTTCTTTGTGTACACATGTATTCAAAGTTTAGCTTCCACTTATGAGTGAGAATATGTGGTATTTGGTTTCTTGTGTCTGCATTAGTTTTCTTAGGATAATGGCCTCCAGCTCCATCCATGTTGCTTCAAAGAACGTTATCTCATTCCTTTTAATAGCTGCATAGTATTCCATGGTATATATGCAGCACATTTTCTTTATTCAGTCTACCATTGACGGACATTTAGGTTGATTCCATTCTTTTGCTATTGTGAATGAGCTGCGATGAACATGTGCATTCCTGTGTCTTTATGGTAGAATGATTTATATTCCTTTCGGTATATACCCAATAATGGGATTGCTGAATCAAATGGAAATTCTGCTTTGAGTTCTTTGAAAAATCACCAAACTGCATTCCACAATGACTGAACTATTCATAGTTTATATTCCCACCGGCAGTGCATAAGCGTTCCCTTTTCTCCACAACCCTGCCAACATCTGTTATTTTTTGACTTTTTAATAATACCCATTCTGGCTGGTGTGAGATGGTATCTCATTGCGGTTTTGATTTGCATTTCTCTAATGATTAGTGATGTTAAGCATTTTTCCATTGATACACTCAACAAAATGGATCAATCTCAAAGGCATGCTGAGTGAAATAAGCCAGAAGAAGCAAAATTACAGGCACTAAAAACAGATCAGTGGTTGTTTGATGAAGGAATGGCCTGGCTGAAAGGAGCAGCACATGGGAGTTTGGGGGTTACATGGAGGTTCTATATTTTAGTTGTGGTGGTAGTCCCGTGAATGTATACAGCTGTCAAAGCTCAAGAACTATAAAACAAAAAGGGTAGATTTTACGGTATGTAAGTTATGCTTCAATTGTAAAAAATCCTTAACAGATAAATAATGTCTTGAAATTTTAAATAAATAGGCTCAAACAGAAAAGGAAAAAAAAGGACTGATCATTTCAAAGTTACTTTTCTTTTAGAAACTCTTGTTTGCTCGAAGGATTTGAGTTCCATCTCTCTTCTGATTTTTTGGAAAGGAAATGTCTTAGGTTTTGGTGGAATTTTTGTATGAGTGACCATTCAGGTGAGCTGTCTGTTAACGACCCCATCCTAGTGCCCACTAACGCTGGCCACTGTGTTCCTCAGAAGAGCAGTGCCAAGGTACTTCGGAAGTTTAATGAAGTTGCATGCTCCCCATTACTGCAGGCTCCTAACACTGAAGAGAACTCACAAAAGCATAAAGAATGTCTTGCCCTGAAATGTCCCCCCAGTGAACCCAATGTGTATTTTATTTCTTGTTTGATTTTCCTCCTAAGAGAGGTACTTTTCCTGAGGTTTCTTATCAAATCCTATCTTGCCATTTACATTGCTCACTTGATTGTAAAAGCTCAGTTAGATATAAAATTTAAAATCAGCGTAATATAGAACTGTATATATGACAAAACTACCATAGACATAACTGCCTTTTAGTTTATGGAAGCATAGGGTGAATAAAATGGAATTAAAAGTAGTGTATACTCATGCTTCCACTAAAAAACAAAGATAATTTTTATATTATATATATAATATGAAAATCGAGACCAGTTCTCCTTATTAATAATGTCCAGTAACATTTATAGTTGAAATATTGTGAATAATCAAATCCTGCAAACATTTATACACTTCAGTTCCAATTTTCCAAGGGATTTGGAAATTAATTTTTAAGTTAGTTTGACTAAAACTGCCAGGAGTTGCAAAGCCACAGGGGTAGTTAAGCACGGATAAATCATACATTGAAATTGATGCGATCTGACCAAATAGGAGTGGGTGGCCAGATCCCAAATCTGAGATGATAAGTTTGTAGTTTCCTTTCAGCTGACCGGGCTTCCCAAAATATTCCTCCTGATCTTTGCCCTTGAGTCCCCTGTGATTTCGGGTTTGTGGTCAGAAATCTGGAGCCCACGTTGAACTTGTCTCTGCTGACAGATTTCTCTTTACTTCTTTCCAGAATAGCCTTTGAATAATTTATTTAAACTACATTTAAAATTTATTAAAGCTAAAATATGTTATTTTCTATCACAAAGGATGAAGCTTAGGGACTCAATTGATTCATTTCTTGACCAATGATTTCAATTTATGGTAATGAGAGTCCTGGTAAGTTAGGTGACTTCCCCAAGTTAAAAAATAAAATAAAAACGACAAACACAAACATACAAAAAAGCCACACACACACACACACACACACACACACACACACACAGAGAGTATAAAACAGAGCTTGTATAGACTAAACTTATCATTTGTTATTATTACTATGTTATTATCAGTCTCTATTCAATCCAGTCAAGCATCTAGTCTTCACGAACATCAGGAGAGCATTAGGAATGTTTAATCTTAATTTAGATTTAGTTCTAAAAGATGTCAGTATTCATATAGCATAAAGATAATCGATTTTCCCACTCAATAAATACAAAGTTTAATTTGGTTGATAAAATTAATGGATGGGTGTGTGAAAAGTAATTATCTAAAAATATTAACATACCAAACATATTATGAAATTGATCCTTACGAGAATGCACAATTTACCTTACAAAACTGCACGGTAAAGTGTAGGAGAATATCACCTCATCTCTGCAAACCTTAGTTGTATCTGTAACATGAAAAGAGTTAGATGGGTGACCTTGGAAGTCCTTTCTAGCTCTCACACTTTGCAAAAGGGTGACTTAAGCATGAGGAATACATTTCCCCAAAACTTCACATGATTCTCAGTTCTATAATATCAAGGGTAAAAAAGAATAAGAAAAACATGCACAGCCAGAAATAGTAAAGGTGGAGGTAGCTTTTATGCCCTCGGTACATAACTTGCCTGCTTTGGTGTATCTCTCATTCTTGGAATAATTTGCAAATTTGTGCTAGGAATAGAAGTAGAAACTTCTAGAATATCTTCTCTCTCCCTGTCATAGAATGATCTCAGGACTCGACTTTCTTTAACTTATACTCCTTTTAATTCCTTCTCTGAGTGAATCTTATCTCAATTATCTTTGGTCAATCACTCAACGATACCAAGCTGTAATCTAGCTAGCAAATAAGTTTCAAAGTATTTTATAAATAGCACAAATAAATAAATAAATGTGATATTAATCCATTTGCCATAAATCATTTCTGCACTAAATGCATGGCTATTTTCAACCTCATTTTGTAAACAGACCTTTAATGTTGGCAAATGAGAGCACAGATATCCTGGAACAAAGGGAAGAATCAATTCTGAGGCTGAGGCAGAGCAGTTGGGAGGAGCTGCCTTTTCTTCCCAAGGGTGGAGTGCCTTCCCTGTTCTCACTACATCTGGCAGCACAGATGGCAGGAAAATTAATAGGAGGGAGACAGTATTGACCTCATGTGGATATAAACAAGTCCTGAGACTACACAGGCAGGCCAATCTGATAATATCCTTAGAAGAGACCTTGAAAGTTCATCGAGTTCAGCTCCCTGCTGCTGACAAAGCCGTGCTTGACAAAGTTCCATGTCCTGGGCTAGCATCCTTTAGGTCCCATCCACAGAGATGCTAGGATAGGTCACTGAGAAAAACCATGCCGTCCATGTCCCTAGGTAAATGTGGAAGTAGTATATGAACATCTGTTTTATATCAGTAAATTTTCTTGGCGATAGGGGTTTGGGAAAATGACTGCTTAACTTCTTTCTATCACATGCATTAAACCCATTACTGGAATCATCAGAAGCAGAAAGCCTATAGAAAGATGTTATTCTTAAACACTTTAGTAGAGTTAATTCAACTGACTTGTTTCCAGGAGATGTTGGTAATTGACATGAATCACTAAATAAATGTCATCTATTGATTATAAAAGCATTGACCAAAATAGTGATCTGGGTTTTGTAAACATTGTTTGTGGCAGCTCTAGACAGATATTTTTAGTGGGCTGACCTCAAATTGATTTCCACTCCCGTCTCTATCACCACCCCTCATTACAATTGCCTTTGTGTGACAGTAGGCCCTAATTCAAGGCCTGTTGTAAGATTTTAAAAATGGATTTGCCTTTCTGATTAAAGAGACACCTACATCTCATGTGGTATCTTTCCTTTTTTAGTTTTCCTGAACATGGAGTTGATGATACAGTCGCTATCCCTTATCCGTGGTTTCACTATCCATGGTTTTAATGTCCCATAGTCACTCATGGTCTGAAAATATTAAATGGGAAATTCCAGAAATACACAACTCTTGAGTTTTTAATTGTGAGCCATTCTATGTAATGTGATGAAATCTTTCACACTTCCGCTCCAACCTACCTGGAAGAAGAATTGTCCATTTGCCCAGTGGTTCTATGCTGTCTAGGCTTCCCACATGTGAGTCACTTAGCTGCCTGGGTTATCAGATCAACTGTCATTGTATCACAGAGCCTGTGTTCAAGTAACACTTACTTTATTTAAGAATGGCCCCAGGCAGGGCGCGGTGGCTCACACGTATAATCCCAGCACTTTGGGAGGCCTAGGCTGGTGGATCACGAGGTCAAGAGATTGAGACCATCCTGGCCAACATGGTGAAACCCCGCCTCTACTAAAAATACAAAAAATTAGCCAGGCGTGGTGGCAGGCGCCTGTAGTCTCAGCTACTCGGGAGGCTGATGCAGGAGAATGGCGTGAACCCGGGAGGCAGACCTTGCAGTGAGCCGAGATCGTGCCACCGCACTCCAGCCTGGGCAGCAGAGCGAGACTCCATCTCAAAAAAAAAAAAAAAAAAAAAAAAAAGAATGGCCCCAAAGCACAAGAGTAGTGAAGAGTAGTGATGCTGGCATATTGTAATAATTGTCCTCTTTTAGTGTGTTATTATTGTTAATCTCTTATTGTGCCTAATTTTTAAGTTAAACTTTATAATAGCTATGCATGTATAGAAAAAACACAGTCCTGTATATTGGGAGTTTGCTATTATGTGTGGTTTCAGGCATTCACTGGAGGCCTTAGAATGTATAACAGGGGACTACTGTATATTGCAACCATGGAAGTAAAGCAAGAGAACGGCAAAATACTAATATTGCTAATATTTATTTTCAGCAACTTTCCTGGCAACAAGTTTTCATTATGTGAAATTAATAAATTTTAATTCTAAGCCACATTTAATTCATTAACTTTATTTGAACACACACCTAAGTGATGCACTTACTATTGTGTAAATATTCTTGTAATATCTTAAGAACAAAAAGTCTACGCCATGGTAGTCAGATTAATATTAATCTATCTCTTTAAGAATTACTTCCTCTGTTATATTTAGGTTTATAACCCGGAAAGCACTTTCAAACGCTACATCCCCATGAAACTTTTTCCTTAGCCTCGAAAACTTTTTCACTCCAAGCAATTTTACTCTATCTCAACTAAAGTGGCTATTCCTCCTGCATATTATCACCTCCATTTAAAATTAAATTTGAAAAAGGTGCTAGATAGTCATGCATGTCTGAAAAAATGTACAAAATAACACAGAAGAGTAACTTTTTGATGAGAAAGGTTTAATGGTTCTCTCATTTAGTTTGCATACAAATCTTCGAAAAACCTTGATGAAACACTGATATTTGACCCCACTTCCAAAAATGGATCCACTAGGTCTAATTGTGGAGTCTAGGAATTTACATTCCTAACCAGTCCCCAGGCAATCTTGATGTTGCTGGTTTCAGGACCACATTTTTTGTAGCACAGATATAAATAATTTCAAACAGTGCTCATTGACAACACCTGTTATACTCGCACTTCCTGCAACATGGGGAGGCCCACTGTCTTTGGGAAAAGTGTTGCCACATGGTATCTTAAAGCTATTTCTATTTAATATGACCAGTGCATTAAAATGGCAAAGTGCTAATTGAAATTTAGGCCAATAGTCTGATTTTCAAGACATACAACTCTCAAACGTATCGAAAACATGTATGCAAATAACAAATAAGTGTTATCTTACTCCAGTTCTGATGGCTCTTGTTTTAATGGGCTCCCACCATTTCTATCTCTGAAAATCATTGTGATCCCTGCCTGCTCTTATGATGTACAAATAATCCTTAAAAGCATGTTAATGCTGTAATAAAAGAACATGCAGAGTTTAAAATTCACAGAAAAATACATGACCATGTTGTGGTACAATGACATTTTCAATTTTTATAAACATTTCTATTTAAATAAGGAAGAGTGTGTGTTCCTCACTGATCAGTATTCTTTTCTTCTATTTACAGTTTTAGTCACTCACACACACACTTGTGCTCACAATGACAAGTTTTTTGTGCTGGTGGAGGCAGGGAAGGTATCACTTTATGCTTGATGGAGAGGGCAGGCTGCTCTGATGAATTTCGTGCAGCAGGTGTCTGATAGACTATTATTTAATCTCTGCTTTGGGAAAGAGCAATCAAATGATAGCTGTTGGTATTTGTTTAATAAAAACTCCAGATGTTGACAATGTTTCCCCATGGCCATTGATATATAAAAATTTGCACACAGCTGCAAAAAAGAAAAAAAAAGAAAAGAAAAAAAAAGAAACCAACCATCAAGCCCAACAACTTCATGATTATCACTGGGAATAATTCTTTTTTCTTTGTGTGTTTTATGCACAGCCCTTATGGCATGACTCACATATTTTTCAAGTGTTAATTTGAGCAAGCTAAGTGACATTTATTTGCATTTATTCTCTTATACTTTTATAAAGAGCTCTGACACACACGAATAGGGGGATTTTAATGGGACAATAGAATGTCATCATTTCAGGTCTACAGTTAACCTGAAAATACATTATTATGTGGGGCAGACTTTGGAAAAATTTCTGTTGTACGAGTATGTTTATTCAAATTTTAAACACAGACAAAGATAATAAAGCACAAAAATGCTGCTGATTGGTTAAACAGTAATTCAAATTTGGATTCCCCAAGATTTATATTTTTCCTAGGGTATTTAAAAAAAATCTTTCCTCATTTTTATTATGTACTATCAGCTAAATGCCAGAAAGGGAAACATCCTAAATTTGTTCCACATCCATAGAAATATTTTTGGATCTATTTCTGAATTGCTTCAGAATTGATAGACGGTTTACACTGGAGAGAAAAGACGAGTATCCTCTGGATTTTGTAAGACACATGAAGCTGGCATACATGTTATAGAAATGAAAATATTGACAGAAATACATATCACATACATTTCTTGATTACTCCTTTCAGTTACTTCATGGGTATACTCTGCTGGGAGGGTGCAGGTAATTCTTATCAGTTTTTTAGGGAATGACACTCCAGCCTGAGACGCCAGTGGCCAAGCTGCTCTGTGGCAATGCACATCGTCCTCCAGCTCAGGCAGAAGGTGAAATTTCTAAGGTATTCAGTCACCAGGGAGGCAGGGATTCAGTTCTGCCTGCTCTCCTGACCTTCGGAGTCCTTGCAAGTGATCTCACATTTATAGCAGGGTTGCCTGGCTTTTCTTTCTCTCCTGCAGCCCCATGCTTGTCACTGTTTGAATGTGAATGGCTACAGCTACATAAAGCAATACTGAAATCACTAACAAAATATGGTCGAAAAATTGCATTATAAACACTAGGTAATTATAAAATACAGTATTAGATGCCTATTGCTGCTAAAACAAATCACCATAAACATATTGGCTGAACACAAATTTATTATCTTTTAGTTCTGGAGGTCAGAAGTATGAAATGGGTTTAATCGGGTTGAAACAAATCTGTCCTGAGGGCTGTGACCTTTCTGCAGCCTCTGGGAGAGATTCTGTTTCCCTGTGTTTCCCAGTATCTGAAAAGGCATTTTTGGCTTCTGGCTCCTGTCCCTTCAAGACAAGCAGAGGACCATCTACACATTGCTCTCCAACTCTGACCTTCACTTCCCTTGCTGTGTTTGTTTTCTCACTCCTTGCCTCCTTCCCTCTTGTAGAATCCTTGTGGTTACATTTAGTTCACCTGTCCAAGCCAGCATAACCTTCTCATCACAAGATCCTTACCTTAATCACACCTGTAAAGTCTCTGTTGCTACGTAAGGTAATAAAGGACCCACAGGTTAGGATGTAGACATCTTGAGGTGAAAAATATTATTGTGCCACAAGTACTGTAGAAATTACATACTCTCCTTGCAAAATTCAAATGAGAGAATTTAATTCAGACATGCTATGCTCTGTAGAGTTAATTATAGGGCATGGCCATTAAAAAATAGTTCTGTGATTTATATAGTTTCAAACTATTCTTCCAAAAATAGTATATACATATATACTCATATGTGTATATACTCGTAAACACAAAACCTATCTTTCTGTAGGTTGTCTGTTTACTCTGTTGTTAGTTTCCCTCTCTCTCTCTCTATATATATATGTGTGTGTATATATATGTGTGTGTGTATATATATATGTGTGTGTGTGTATATATATGTATATATTTATATATATGTGTATACATATATGTATATATTTATATATATGTGTATACATATATATATATACATAAAAATGATTAAATATAGCCAAGGCCTAAGTTAGATAACTTAAGAGGATGCAGGCAATTCTTATGAGTTTTTATGAGTAACATCACTATGAGCATATAAAATTATTACAATGTAAAATGAGAATATTAATTTATATAACTTAATATAAACTGATTTGCAAAGAAAAATATGTAATAGAACACGTGTAATTGACTCTTGTTCTTTAGGGTCTGTATTTTATTTACTAATGCCATTTTGATTTGATGGTAGAGGATAATTTGTAAAAGAAAGCAAGGAAGAACAGAATGTGGTGAGTGTGAAATATGGGACATAAAACTCTTGGTTATTCTATTATCGGAGGGACAAGAGCACCATTAGGAGCTAAGGTAAATACATGTGCATGTGATGAGTTTCCTGTTATTTACTGTATAAATTTAAGTTCTATAATACATATGGCACAGAGATGGGGTAAAGTGGTAACATAAATAGAGAAGGGGTGACCAAGGTCAAATATAGTGAAAGGTTTTAATAAAGATTAATTATGAAATTGAGTCACATCTTGGTTGCTGTGTAGAAACCTGCTGTCATTTACTTGGAAGTTGTTGGGTCCCCATAACACTGATACGTGTGTGTCTGGGTGCTCAGTGAACCCAACCACTCGACATGCCCTTAATGTATTAGGTTGGTGAAAAAGTAATTGCAGTTTTGCCATGACTTTTAATGACAAAAATCAGAATTACATTTGTATCATCCTATTCGTTTCTACAGTTCCCAGTGTGACATTCAGAAAATCATTTCATATGTGGAATGCGAGGTATTTTTCTGTGGTTTTCCAAAATGCCAATGGTTGTGTATATGGAAAAATATGGATATTAAAATATGCAACTCCTTATTCATAAAGAAGGGCCACAAAGAAGCAACATTTCAATACTTTTCCTGTGGTCCCAAAATAACTCGAATATGCAAACTAGGTATCCATCTACAAACAAATTATCTTGGGATTCCACATTCCTCTTCCAGATTCTACCTTTCTGTTTTTTTTCCTTCTTATCTAACTTCACATTCATTCATCAACTCAAAGCTAACAGCATTGAAACAATTGTCAAAAGTCAAAAATGTCTTTGCTGCTTAAACATTAGTCATTAATTTTGCTGAGTTTCTCAGCAGCTGCCAACATGCTTGATGCATCTTCTGGCTTTCAAATATTTTCTTTGGCATTGGTAACACACACTTTCATGGATTTTCTACTATCATTTGGCTGGTGCTTATCAGTTCCCTTCACTGGTCTCTGCTCTTCCATTCATCCTGTGTCACCTATTGCATAATCTTTGATCCTCAGCAATCTCCCCAACTCTCATAGCTTCCAATACCAACAACACACTGTTGATAGCCACATTTATATCTCTATTTACAACCTCTTTTCTCATCTCATAGATAAGCAATGGTATAATAAAAATCAGACACATGGCACACACTTATTTTATTTATTTTTTCTTTCTAATGCTTATTTTTGATTCGGGGGTACATGTGCAGGTTTGTCACATGGGTAAATGGGTAAATTGTGTGTCATGGGGGTTTGGTGTACAGATTATTGTGTCACCCAGGTAATAAGCCCTGTACCCAACAGGTAGTTTTTCGATCCTCACCCTCCTCCCACCCTCCATCATCAAATAGACCATGGTCTATTGTTTTCCTCTTTGTGGCCATATATAGTCAATGTTTAGCTCCCCCTTCTAAATAAGAACATGTGGTATTTGGTTTTCTGTGCCTGCATTAATTCACTTAGGATAGTGGCCTCCAACTCCACCTATGTTTCTGCAAAGGACAAGATCTCATTCTTTTTATGGTTATGCAGTATTCCAGGGTATATATGTACCACATTTTCTTTATCTAGCCTACCATTGATGGGCATTTATGCTGATTCCATTTTTTTGCTATTGTGAATAGTGCTGCAAAAAAATCATATGTGTGCATCTTGCTTTTCTGCAGAATAATTTATATTCCTTTGGGTATATACCCACTAATAAGATTATTGGGTCCAGTAGTAGTTCTGTTTTAAGTTATTTGAGAAATCTCCAAAATCTCCTGCTTTCCAGAGTAGCTGAGGTAATATACATTCCCACCAGCAGTGTATAAGTGTTCCTTTTCTCCACAACCTCACTAGCCTCTGTTATTTTTTGAGTCATTATTAATAGCCATTCTGAGTGGTGTGAGATGGTATCTCATTGTGGTTTTGATTTGCATTTCTCTACTGATTAGTGATATTAAGCATTTTTAATATGCTTGTTTGCCACTTGTATGTCTTCTTTTGAGAAGTGTCTGTTTAAGTCCTTTGCCCAATTTTTATTGGGGTTGTTTCTTGCTCATTAATTTGTTTAAATTCCTTACAGATTTCTCATATTAGACTTTTGTAAGATATATAGTGTGCATTTTTCCCCCTTCTGTAGGTTCTCTGTTTACTCGGTTGACAGTTTATTTTGCTGAGCAGAAGATCTTTATTTAATGAAATCCCACTTGTCAATTTTTGTCTTAGTTGCAATTCCTTTTGGAGTCTTCATTGTGAAATCTTTGCCTGGGCCTATGTCCAGAATGGTATTTACTAGGTATTCTTCTAGAGTTTTTATAGTTTTAAATTTTACATTTAAGTCTAATCCAGCTTGAAATTGATTTTTGTATATGGTGAAAGGAACGGATCCAGTTTCAGTCTTCTGCATATGGCTAGCCAGTTATCTGAACACTATTCATTGAAGAAGTAGTCCTTTCCTCATTGCTTGTTTCTGTTAGCATTGTCGAAGATCAGATGGTTGTAAGTGTATGGCTTTATTTCTGGGCTCTCTAACCTATTCCATTGATTTATGTGTCTGTTTCTGTATCAGTACCATGCTGTTTTGGTTACTTTACCCTTGTAGTATAGTTTGAAGTCAGGTAGTGTGATGCCTCCAGCTTTGTTCTTTTTGCTTAGGATTGCTTTGGCTATTTGGGTTCCATATGGCTTTTAGAATATATTTTTATAATTCTGTGAAAAAATATCATCGCTCATTTCACAGGAAAAGCATTAAATCTATAAATGGCTTTGTGCAGTATGGCCATTTTTTTTTTTTTTTTTTTTTTGAGAAGGATTCTCCCTCTGCCACCCAGGCTGGAGTGCAGTGGCGTGATCTCAGCTCACTGCAAGCTCCGCCTCCCGGGTTCACGCCCTTCTCCTGCCTCAGCCTCCCGAGTAGCTGGGACTACAGGAGCCCACCACCAGGCACGGCTAATTTTTTGTATTTTTTAGTAGAGACGGGGTTTCACTGTGTTAGCCAGAATGGTCTCAATCTCCTGACCTCGTGATCCGCCCGCTTCAGCCTCCCAAAGTGCTGGGATTACAGGCATGAGCCGACACGCCCGGCTGGCCATTTTAACAATATTGATTCTTCCTATTCTTGATCATGGGATGTTTTCCATTTGTTTGTGTTACCTCTGATTTCTTTAAGCAGTGTTTTGTAATTCTCATTACAGAGATCTTTCACCTCCCTGGTTAGCTGTATTAATAGGTAATTTATTTATTTATTTATTTATTTATTTATTTATTTATTTATTTGTGGCTACTGTGAATGGGATTACACTCTTGATTTGGCACACAAGTTGGAGGTTATCAATGTATAGAAATGCTACTAATTTTTGTACATCATTGATTTTGTATCTTGAAACTTTGCTGAAGTTGTTTATCAGATCCAGGAGCTCTGGGGCAGAAACTATAGGATTTTCTAGGTATAAAATCATATTGTCTGTGAAGAGAGATAGTTGACTTCTTTTCTTCCTATTTGGATGTCTTTTATTTCTTTCTCTTCCCTGGTGTCTCTGGCTAGGACTTCCAGTGCTATGTTGAATAGGAGTGGTGAGAATGGGCATCCTCATCCTGTTATTCCAGTTCTCAAGAGCAATTCTTCCAGCTTTTCCCAATCAAGTATGGTGTTGTCTGTGGGTTTGTAATAAATGGCTCTCATTATTTTGAGGTATGTTCCTTCCATGCCCAGTTTTAACATGAAGGGACATTGAATTTTATCAAAACCTTTTCTGTATCTCTTGAGATGATCACATGTTGTTTTTAGTTCTATTTATGAGGTGAATCATATTAATTGATTTGCATATGTTGAACCAACCTTGCATCCCAGGGATAAAGCCTACTTGATCATGGTGGATTAGCCTTATAATGTGCTATTTGATTGATTTTGTTGAGGATTTTTGCATCTATGTTCATCAGGGATATTGGCCTGAAGTTTTCATATTTCTTGTGTCTCTGCTAGTTTTGAAATCAGAAGAATTCTGCTTCATAGAATGAGTTAGAATGGAGTCCCTCCTCCTGAATTTTTTGGAATAGTTTCAGTAGGATTGGTACCAGTTCTTCTTTACATGTCTTGTAGAATTTTGCTGTGAATTCATCTGGTCCAGGCTTTTTCTGGTTGGCAGGCTTTTTATTACTGATTCAATTTTGGAAGTCGCTATTGGTCTGTTCTGGGTTCATTTTCTTCTTGTTTCAATCTTAGGAGGTTGTATGATTCCAGGAATTTATTCATTTCTTCTAAGCTTTCTAGTTTGTGTGCATAGAGGTGTTCCTAATACTCTCTGAGTGTTTTTTTGTACTTCTGTGGGGTCGGTGGTAATGTCAGCTTTGTCATTTCTGATTGTATTTATTTGGACCTTCTCTCCCTTTTTCTTTCTTTATTAATCTAGCTAGTAATTTATCAATCTTATTTATTCTTCCAAAGAACCAACTTTTGGTTTCTTGATCATTTTAATGTTTTTTTTTCTATCTCAATTTTATTCAGTTTAGCTCTGATTATGGTTATTTCTTTTCTTCTGCTAGATTTTGGGGTTGGTTTGCCCTTGTTTTTCTAGTTCCTCTAGGTGTGATGTTAGGTTGTTAATTTGATCGCTTTCTTTCTTGCTTGCTTGCTTTTATTTATTTATTTCTTTCCTTCTTTCTTTCTTTCTTTTTCTTTCTTTCAGACAGGGTCTCACTGTATCACTCAGACTGGCATGCACTGGCATGATCACAGCTCACTTCAGCCTCAACTGAGCCCAAGAATCTTTCTAACTTTTTTATGTGGGTGGTTAGCGTCACACATATTTTAAACTAAACATATTCCAAACTGATAGAAGATATTTTGCCTCAAGCTTGCTTCTCCTCCAATGTTCCCTATCTAACAAAGAAGCTAATCTCCATTCCCAACAGAAACCACTTGTTAAATCCTGCTGATTTTACTTCCTACACATTTTGAAGCCCTCCTGCTTATTGCTACTGCCACTGCAAGTCTCCTGGTGCAAGCCACACTCATCTCTTCAACAGATAACCTTATAATTATTCTGTGCTCATATCTTTTTTATTCTATGCTCCACTCAGGAACTAGAATGATTTTTTAAAGAATTAAATATGATCTACAAGCCACTTCATACTTTCGGCTCTGTTTAAAACTCCAGAGTTAGGATCAACTTTATCTCTACCGTCCATACACTACTCTTAGCCTAGTTCTAGGCATTACCCTCTATTTGCACTGATCTTCTTTCTACTTTTCCAATGCCACAAGACTTGTCCCTATCTCAGGACATTTGTATTTGCTATTCTCTGCCAGGAACATTCTGCTTACATACCACTTTTTCATATACCCCTGTCTGGTCTCATAGACTGCATTAGGCATAACTTGATAATCACATGGCATGTTTTATGTGTGTATATCTGAATTTATATTGCATGATTGTTTCATGGACCAAAATCCAGTCCATCGTTCCACTGCCATATCTAAGACTGACACTTCCCTAACACACAGTGATTTCATAAAAAGTTTAACATATGAATATATCAATTCATAGATGATATGAATAACTTTTTTATTACAGAAGCTGGGAAGGGTCAGTTGCAATGAAAAAATTTCAAACTATGCTGTCAATAATATGAGATTTTCTTATGTAAAAACTGCAAAGTTATGCCTCCTGATGAAATTATAAAATAAATCACTGAAAAATAATACATGCAATTTAAAGAAATATATTCAACATTTTGAAAGAGTTCATGGATTAGACCAAAACTAAAATGCTAAACTGTAAATTCTCATATGAAAAGTTAAAAGAAAATTAAAATACTCAAAAATAAAAATATTTAAAAAGAAAATAAGATTGATAGTTTAAATATTAAACTACAAAATTAAGAAAATAAAAAGCAAAACTACAAAGAGAAAATTTGAAACCAGAAAAATATAGTCAAGGTAATAAAAAAAATCAATCAAATTATGCAAAGAAAATATTAATACTAAAGTATATTAAAGCATGTTTGAACTGGAAGCATTAGAAATAAACAGGCTGAAAGAATTACAATGATGTTTGAAAATTTACAGGAGCATAAAATGAATACAGATATAGGTAAATAAAATAAAAGTGTGGAAATATGGTTATATAAATTGAAATTCAAAAGAAAGAATTATAAATTGCTAGAAAATATACTATAACAGTAAACAGCCAGTAGATTTTTATAATAAAGAAAAAAATTCTTAATATTCAAGAAAAGACATAACCAAAAGCAAAAAAAAATGAAAACAGAATCTTCTGAGATGAAATATTTTCCAGAGCACAGAGAACAGGATGAGGCCCTTAGAGGTAGAAAGAGAAGGGTGAGGGAAAGAGAGCAGCTCATCAACATTTGGGACAACTCACATTAGGCAGTTCAAACTGTCACCACCAGCTGTCCTTTCCAGGTTCACCTGGAAATACTGCTGTAGTAGTCTATTAAAATTTTAGTAACATTTTGCATAGAGTAAGTTTTCGAAGAGTATTAAAGAAACTGAAGATTGAGTCTACACTTGGATTTAGTATTTCAATAACTGTTACCTGTTCACAATTTTCACCCACCAACCATTGACTTTAAAATAAATCACATAGGACTATATATATATGAATATATGGTACTATGTTTATATATAAATATAGGTCTATATATACACACATTATATTTATATGACTATATATAGTATATATTTATTTAAAACTCTCTATCTTATATATAAATATATATTTGTCCTTAATCACAAAACACATTTGCATATAACATAGTTGAAATCAGAAAATAATATCTGTAGTTCGGACTTCCTTGATATTAATTCTCTCAGAAAAATTTAACAAAACCTGGAAAATAAGATGAGAAGTACTAGAGAGTACTAATTTCAACCTCTACAAACAAAGTATTTAAACCACGCATTCATTCATTTTATTCACTTAAAAATGTTTTCCAATTATATGACTTCTGGGCATGTGACAAGCCTTGAATATACATGGCCAAGAAGCAACTGAAATCCTCTACTTTCAGGAGCCTGCATTTCTTGTAGAAGATATGTATTAAAAAGTATTTGATCTCATCCTACATGGCAACTATAATTATGAAGGAAGCGCAACAAACCTCAGGTAAGTATCATAGGTAGACTCTACCTCATTTAAGGGTCTATTTTGCCACACCAAAAAGTGACTTTTGATCTGAAGCCCACAGCATGAGACAGATTGCCTAGGCAAGCACGCCAAGGGTACAGAAGTAGGAGTGTCTTAAACAGAAGAAACAGCATATGGAAGTGGTTTTCCAAATTTAACATGTATCAGAAACACCTGGAGGGCTTGTGAAAGTGTAGACTGCTGGGATCTGCGCACAGGGTTTCTGATTCAGAAGTCTAGGATGTGACCCCAAAGGTTGCTTTTCTAATAAATGCCCAGATGAGGTTGATACTGCTGTTCTAGGAACCTACTTTGAAAAACATTACTATATAATATATTTTTGACATGAGAGAGCACTGATCAAGTGAGGGATGAAAATAAGCCAGCATTCTTAAAAGACGAAAGAAAATGGGAAGCAATCTCAAGGTGCAATTTCTAGGGAGATCAAGACCACGCCATCGAGCATTTCTTAAGCTTTCGTTAAAGATCTTTATCTATAGGTATTGGAGAGACATCAAAGCTTTTAAGCAGGAAGGAACAATTTGATGGGTTAAAAAAATTTCATTCTAGCTATGAATGTAGGTAGAGAAGGGTTGGATAAGCATACAGGGCTGAGAATATCAGCAAGAGCATGGTAGTTGTGATGGTCTATGGTGATTAAGTGAATAAAAAAGGCACAAAAAAATAGGAGCTTGACAAGTTACTTGGAGTTAAAAACAAACAAAACAACTAATAAACAAAGTGGATCGTTTATTTTAATGAGACCAAATATAGCGCACTGATTTAAAAAGAAATAATTCTGAATTTTATCGGTCTCTTGGATAAGGAATAACAGAAGAAGGGGATACTTCTGATTCCAATAAAATAAAGAAGTAGGTTACCATGAAAATCTTCCTACAAATAGCTAAACACTCTGGATTAAATCCAGCTTTTTAAAATAATGCTAGAGCTAAAATTGGCAGCAAAATCTGCAGGGGCTATAAGTTAAGAGGAAGCTAACAATCAGGAAACAGAGAGGTTGGCAATTGCTCAACTGAGCCCTAAAGTGATGAGAGGCTTGGGAAATATCAGACATTTCTGCCCCAAAGATTGGGAGGAAATCAAACTCATGAATGGGATGAAAGCCCTGACCTTTGGCAATGCTAAAATCTCAGTGACAAGATAACTTAGGCTGCCCAAAACATGAAGTTGAGAGATAATATAATGATGAGGCTACTTATGTCTATACTTGGGGGCTGAGGGTAAGGGTATTTTTCCAAAAAATGTTGAGTTCTCATGCTGGCACCTTGCTTTCTATTCATTTGATTTTATATTACTGAAGAGCTGTTTAATGATCAGGCCCATATGAATATAAAAATCAGCCCCAAGACAATGACAATCTAGTATAAGCAACAGATACAAACTCAAGGCCAACTTGGAGAATACTTCAAATACTGAATAGAAATAAGTAAAGGAAAAAGGAAATCATATCTAATAAAAAGAAATTATCCACCATACAGAAAAGGAGCAGGCGTAACAATAAGCAGGGTTAGTCGCCACAAAACTTGAGATAAGAGGAAAACTAAAAAAGTCTAATGAAATCAGTAGTCTTAAAAAGATGACATGATAGGAAGAGAAGTGTTAAAAAAGAAAAAAAATAGGTATGAAAGAGAGTAACACATACCGGAAAAGGGATAAAATACATCCTTTGAAAGAACAAAGAGTTATTCAAATTGAATTCTTAATGAATTACTTAAACAGCAGATTAGATATTGTTAAAAAGAGGAATAGGGAATTAAATGATATATGTGATGATATTACCTAGTGTAACCATCAAAGATGTATTGCAAATGATAAAGAAAAAAATGCTGCCATGGCAATATTAATATCATAAAAATATACTTTAAGAAGTAAATAAATGCAACTAGGAATAGAGAAAGCTAATGAATAATAATATTTAAAAAAAAGTATAACAAGTATACATAAGATGTAATATCCTAAACCGGTGACACATACTGTTATAAGACCAAAGTATATGAAATGAAATTCACAAATTTATCCCCCAGAACCAACTAATGCACAACATAATTAGGAATTTTAACATCTTCTATTTATAATAACCCTTTTTCAAAATGTTTTAAAACAAGTGATCCACACAGACATGAAAAGAATTAAAGAATATAAAAATATAATTAGCAAGGTGAAAGAGAGATTGTTACATCACATATAAAAACATGAATATAATTTTGAAGTGTAGATAGATAATTCCAATCACCAACATAGGACACAAAAAAAGTCTCAACAAATACAAAGACAGATGACATATCATGCACACACCATAAAATGCTGAATTCATATTTTGAAAAATCACCAAAAGCATCATACTTTGGAAAACAAAAAATATATATTTAAATAATTCATGTGTTATAAAACAAATAACAGAACATACAAAAGACACAATACTGATTAATGATAATATTAGCAAATGATATCTCAAAACATGGAGGCTGCAACTGTAGCAGTACTTTGAGGGACATTTTCCATTTTAAAATTAATTTCCACAAAAAGGCTGAGAAATGCATGATAAATATTTAGTTCAGAGAGTTAGATAAATAACAAAAGGGTAAGCACAAAAAATATTTGTGTAAGAACATAATCAATATAAGATATGTCTATGGAAAATATTTTTTAACCTGATTCTTTAAAAAACAAATACTGTTGATAAAACTCTGCCATGATGAATCAAGAAAATATAAAGAATATAAACATGCAAACACTAGAAATTAAAATAATGTAAAACAATAAATTCAATGGCTTAAAAATCAAAATCGTCTAAATAGCTTTACAATCTACATAGAATAGAAATTTTCAAAAAGTAAAAATTATTAAAACTGATTCAAAATGAAATGTAAGCCTCAATAAACTACTTGTAAAACTTAAAGCTGTAGTTTAATTTCTCTAGTTTAAAATCTATTTAAGAAATTTCTATAAAACCCTAAAAGAAGTAATCTCAAAATTATATAAACTGTCCCAAAGACTTAAAAGAGGCCAGAGAACTGAGAAAGAGCTTCCAAACTCATTTTATAAGGCTACCATAGCTGTAATAGCAAAACTAGGCAAAGATAGCCTGAAAAAGGAAAATTATAGATAAATCAAAGTCAAGATTAGATATGCAGAAATGTGAAGTGTAATATTGGCATCACAGCACTCTCACCAAAATTATGAAAGTGAATAAAACACCATGAACAAACTAGGTTTAACCTCTAATGGCCATAATGGTATCATTAGCATTAGACAAACTATATGTTAAATTCTTACCATATTAACAGATTAGAGAGGAAAAGGTGATGTGATCATTTCAATTCATGTAAAAATAATAATAATTAACAACCAATATATCTAACTGAACCAGTGCATTCAGAAATTAAGGAGAGAAGATAATTCCCTTCATTTGATAGTAAATAACTATCAAACTATCCAAAATAATATATAATGGTAAAATTTTAGAAGCAGTTCAATTAGATTATGAAACAGACAAAAGTTATCACTATTACTATGTGTGCACAGCGTTTTATTGGAGGTCTTGCACCACGGAACAACATATAAGTAGGAAAAAATAAATAAATAATTAGGAGGAAAAACTCAAACAGCAAAACTCTTGTTATAAAAAAAGATGAAAAATGTGATTCTATAATAGAATATTTGAGAGAATATGAGATGATACCAACATTAATAGAATTCTTATAACTGAGTAAACATGTCAATGTATAATAAAAATGAAGATACTGTCAAATTCTGCTGCATACCTGGAAGGGGGAAAAAAATCTAACCAATATATATGTATATTTTTGTTGGTTTGTTTTTCATTTTGAGACAGAGTCTAACTCTGTCACCCAGGCTGGAATGCAGTGGTGCGATTATGGCTCACTGCAACATCAGCCTCCTGGGTTCAGGTGATCCTCCCACCTCAACCTCCCAAGTCGCTGGGACTACAGGTGTGTGCCACCACACCCAGCTATTTTTTATTTTTTTTGTATTTTTTGTAGAGATGAGGTTTCTCCATCTTGCCCAGGTTGGTCTCAAACTCCTGGGCTCCGGTGATCCACCTGCCTTGGCCTCCTAAAGTGCTGGGATTTCAGGTATAAGCCACAGCACCTAGCCTATGCTAGTTTTTAATAAAGTCAATTACAATAATTTGTCAAAGAACTTAAAAGTAAGACATATACTTTTAAAAACATACATGTTTCTCATAAATATATAGAAGTATATTATTCAACGTATATTTTTCTCAAATCATAACTCCATGCAATTCCAATAAAATTTCCACCAGTTTCTTTCTAATGAAACTGAAGAAAAAACGATGTAAGCTTCATATGGAGGAAGAAAAGCCCAAGAATGGCCAAAACAAATTGGAAGAACTAAATTTGTTATTTACTACTTAGGTAAATTCATTATGAAGCTACAGTAATGGGAGGCGGTGGTTGCAGTGAGCCAAGATCGCTCCACTGCACTCCAGCCTGGTGACAGAGTGAGACTCCGTTAAAAAAAAAAAAAAAAGTGTGTTATTGGTATCATGGTAGACAGTATACATGTTCTGAAGGAACTAACCATGCAGCATATGTACATGTAAAATTTTGTAAATGTATTGTAACTTTTTACGACAGGTGAATTTGCAAAGCAGCATGAAAAAATATGTTCTTACTGCATAGCCTACACAAATAACATCTATAAGGCCTCAAAAGGAAAAAAACAAACTAAAAGCTAGATAATTTTTCTATATTGAAATAAACATGTCCTAAATTGAAAGATATCCACATCTGGGAGATGATATTTTCAAAATACATAACTGAAGAAATGATTAGCATACTGAGTATATAAATAATTAAAATCCTAATTATGCACAAGTTTAAAAAATAAAAATTATCAAATCATATAAACAAGTTATTCATAGCTTTCAAGACAAATGAATCAAAAAGAAGAAAATATGAAAGATAATTGCTTGTACAAATAAACAGAAAAATGTATGCTAAAACATAACTATCAAATTAGTGAAATATGCGCAAATTGGATAACTCTAAGTATAACAACACGGAGGAACCATCATACTCATACGCACAAGGATGTATGCCCTCTGATGCTTATAGCTGTATTATTTGCCATCAAAATAGAGTAGAAAGTTCTCTAATACTAGGAGGATAAATAAAGATGTTCTATTGAACAATGGAATGATAATCAGTAGTTTAAGTGTATTGGCTAGATATACATTTTACAGTCTTTATTTTGAATGAACAAGCCAAATGATCCATATAATAAGATACAGTTTATGCAAAATTTTAAAAAAGTAGAAAAGAAATGATACTATTATTTTTGTATATCTCTATCGTCTACCTATGTATCTATCTATCTGTGAACCATCTGTAGAAATTTCTATATCTAAACATAGCTATAGATATGTTAAGTCTAAAGTAATCTTGGATTATGATATAAAACAAGGGATACCACTGGGCCAGGGAGAAAGATCCTGTTTTAGGCAGTATTAAGAGCTGCATTTAAGGGAAAGAAAGAGAAAGTAAAAATCACAAAATATTAACATGTACTTGCTACTATTTTTTATACTTTTTACTATGTTTGAAATATTTTATAGTTAAAATGTCCTTCAATCTACCTTTAAAAAACAGGAAAATGTGTATTTTGTAAAATACTAAAGTATTGGCACTTTCTCAAAAAGCAGGGGCACTTTTCTTACTCAGAATTCTACATGAATCCCCACTAAGAGTCCATGCTTAATAAAAGTTAGCCGTATTTATGACACCACACAGAGGAAAGGAGAGCTTCTGGAAAACAAGTGATATATTACTGCTACAGAGTCTGAGCCACATTGCCATAGTAGAATTGAGACGCCACTATAAAACGTCTTTTAGGGTGCAGGCAGTAGCTCTCGCCTGTAATCCCAGAACTTTGGGAGGCCGAGGCGGGTGGATCACTTGTGGATCACTTGTGGTTAGGAGTTTGAGACCAGCCTGGCCAACATGGTGAAAACACATATCTACTAAAAATACAAAAATTAGCCAGGCATGGTGGCGGGCGCATATAATCTCAGCTATTCGGGAGGCTGAGGTCAGAGAATTGCTGGAACCCAGGAGGCAGAGGTTGCAGTGAGCTGAGATTGTGCCATTGCACTCCAGCCTGGGCCAACAATAGCGAGACTCCATCTCAGAGGAAAACACACACACACACACACACACACACACACACACAGAAACAGTCTTGTAATTCTTTGGGTATATATGGGATTGCTGGGTCAAATGATGTTTCTGGTTCTAAATCTTTAAGGAATCACCACACTGTCTTCCACAATGGTTGGACTAATTTACACTCCCACCAACAGTGTAAAAGTGTTCTTATTTATCCACAACCTCGTCAGCATCTGTTGTTTCTTGACTTTAATAATCACCATTCTGACTGGATAAAGAAAATATGGTACATATACACGATGGACTACTATGCAGGCATAAAAAGGAACAAGATCATGTCCTTTGCAGGGACATAGATAAAGCTGGAAGCCATAATCCTCAGCAGACTAATGCAGGAACAGAAAACCAAACACTCCATGTTCTCACTTTTAAGTGGGAGCTGAACAATGAGAACACATGGACACAGGGAGGGGACAACACACACTGGGGCCTGTCAGAGGGGTACAAGGGAGCATTAGGGAAAAGAGCTAATGCACGCTGGGCTTAATACCTAGGTTATGGGTTGCTAGGTGCAGCAAACCACCATGGCACACATTTACCTATGTAACAAACCTGTACATCCTGCACATGTACCCTGGAACTTAAAATAGGAAACAAAAAAACATCTGACAGTACTTAAATGTCCATGGTCAGGTAACATACAAACAGGGTTGAAACCCAATTATTTAATTACAAGTTAATTTCTGAAAATGTGCCCAACTGGTTATGATAAGTAAGGCACAAGGCTTGTCTTGTTGCCTTAAGTCTATTCAGGAGAAAAATCCTTGTTATGAGTGTGGTCCATGGATAAAAAGCATCAGCACCATCTGGGAGCTTGTTAAAAATACAGAATCGAAGTCAATTTCCTAAACCTATAGAATCAAAGTCTGCCTTTTAATGGACAGATGTATGTGCATTTGCATTTGCATTTGAAAGGCATCGCTGTAAAAGTAGTTATTGGAATAAATCTTGATGCTTCCTTGAGGAGACATTTAAAAAGCACTCACTCATTAAAACATATCAATTGTTCTGCCCATTTTCTAAGGAGACAAGTGAAAAGAAAAACAACATACCTTCAGTAAAAACCACTTTCAAAAAGGCAATTTGTATCTGATTTATCTGAACACAGAAGATTAAAATGAGCTTGAATGATTTGTTTATTTTATATTCCATTTTCAATCAGGAAATAAAGTCAATTATCCAATGCCATACTTTAAGTCAAACCTCCAAGGTTTTCTGACAAATCAATAGAAAGCAACAAATTTCTTTTTCTTAAGAGATAGATAACAGGAATACTGGATTCTACTGTGACCTGTGTCCAGATCCCAGTTTGATGCTGAGTCTGATACAAAGTATCTTTATGACCAGAGGAAAATACAACAAAACAGAATAAACAAACTATTAAGCTTCACTGTGCCTTAGTTTGCTAATGTAAAAAAGAAAATATTATACAAACACCTTTGTGTTTTGTTAGACAAATGAGTACATGCAAGAGATGTTTTTCTCAGTTAAATATTAATTTGCATCCATAATAGCATTTTTCAAATCTCACCCTCGTTCCAAAGGTAAATTTCCTGCCAACAATGGTTGACAGAGACTGTTTTTTTTTTTTTTTTAACTTCAATTTTCTGTAGAAAAATGTGATGCTGGAGCCTATTTTATACTTTGCTTTTCATTTTTGGTGAGGTTTCAATTCTACATACTGTTCTTCTGATCTCTACAATGAAAGTTTTGTTACAAACCAAAGAACACCAGAAATTTGTGTGCAAAACAAGACATCCTATTCAGAGAGCATAAAATGTTTCATCTTGACTTTTGATGAAAATCTTAGAAAACTAGAATTGATTCAGTGAAGCTGCACTTCACTGCTGAACTTCACTGTTTTAAAAGTTTCAATTTAAAAAGGAGAGCATACGTTGAATAATGAGTATTTTCCAGGCATGTGAATTGTTTTAAATGAATCAATGTTATGTTTAGACAATTTCAGAAAACGTAATGCAGGATCATTGATATTTCTATTTTTTAATAATAATCATCCTCCTAAAGAAAACAAATATATTTAAAATTAGGAAATCACAATTACAACGTCTAGCTCAAAACCCTACAAATATCAGGGGAGGTTGACTATTCTGTAATAGTATACATTGGATCCCTTCGGTTATTTTAGCAAAATTTAGCTAACGAAATTTACATTATGTGTTAAACTATTTCACATTCTCTGAATAACTCAAAGATGAAAACATCGTATCTAATTTATTTTGTTAAATTCTTCCTCTTACATCTTTGTATTGTACTATTGTTGCTCTTTCTGATGCAAGTACCAGGAAGACAGCTATTTAATTCTTGTCTCCCTTAGAAAAGTATCTGTGAATTAGCACTGACTTTAGCAGGAAAATTAAAAAGAAAAAGAAAATACAACTGTGTTAAAACTATAGCTGTGTGATTTCTATCAATAAAAAATAAAATTCAAATATGATTGTTTTTTCATGAGTGTTGTTGATAATGTCATGTGAATAAATACAGGGGGCAAATGTTTAAAACTCCTACCTAAATTCCAGGTTCAATTCCAACAGGTAAAGTGATTGGAAATTATCACTCTTACCCTTGTAACAAGAAAAAATACTTGACAAAACTTAAAATCAATGACTTTACTTAGACTCATCAGAAACTGAAGTTTCAGGGCAAATTGCCTGCCCCAAATCTGGAGAGACAAGAGAATACAGAGAATTATAGCCAAGATCGATCAATCAGTTTACCTACAGCAGAAGCCCCTGGAGCCCCACACTGGTAGGAATGCCTAAGTGGTAACTGATGAATTGCTGGAGACAGAGTGTAGACCAACATGAAAGCGGCCAAATACTTAGGAGAAGAACAACTCTTCATAGGATTTTCCTCTAAGAAGCCAACTGGGTTTTTCATTGTGAAGAGGCAAGCAAAAACGAACAAACAAACCCCAAACCGATAAACAAACAAACAAACAAAACTTAGTGTTTCTAGTGGGGAGGGGCAGAGAAGGAAAAAAAAATTGGAAACAAGCCCAGAGAGTTCTCCAGAACAAAGACCTACCTATTAGCAGGGCTGAGACTCTCCAAGATATTTTTTCTACTTAGGAGAAGAGAATTATCCAATGAGGACATACTCCAGCCTTCCTGTATTATGAAGAAAGAGGAGAGAGATGGTGAGAAACAGTAGTGAAGTTCACATCCAAGGTGCACAGAACCACCAAAACACTGACACTGAGCTTAATCCTAAAATTACATGTTCTCTTCTCTCCACAATTCATCACATCAGCCCAGCTCTAGAATAATGATGGATTATAGGTAAAACAACAAGGCAGAGATGCTAATTAAGAAAGAGATTTTAGGGTAACCTAAAGACAAAAGGGGATACAAAAATAAGTGCACAAGAGAAAACAGACACTTCTAGCCCCAAGAAGATGTAAATTCTTCATTACTAGTCACCTAACTGTAATGTGTCAACATACGCAAGGCAAAATAAATAAATTAACTAGTGAAAAGAGAAATAGAGACAAATCCACAATTACAACTAGACTTCAACATCCATCTTTCAGTAGTGTTAAAATAAAAATGTTATAGACAAATTAAATTTAACAGTGTTGAATTGAGCAAAGAATGATTTCCAAATTGGGGAGAATCCCATCCAAATAGGTTCAGAATGACTCCTGAGCTGCCATGAGGTCAGGAAGGATTTATGAACAGAGAAAGGAAAGTGCAGAAAACAGAGGTGGAGTACAGAAATGGCTGGATTGGTTATAGCTTGGTGTTTGCCTTACTTGAGCATGGCTTGGAGAGTTGGTCATGTGAAAGGAAAACATCTTGGGCCTCCAAAATCACTAAGCTATAGGGAAAAGTCAAGCTGGGAACTGCTTAGGGCAAACCTGCCTTCCATTATGTTCAAAGTCATCCCTCTGCTCACTGAGATAAATGCATATCTGATTGCCTCCTTTGGAAAGGCTAATCAGAAACTCAAAAGAATGCAACCATTTGTCTCTCACTTACCTGTGACCTAGAAGCCCCCTCCTTGCTTAGAGTTGTCCTGCTTTTGCTTCAAGTTGTCCTGCCTTTCAGGACCAAACCAATGTTCATTTTACATATGTTGATTGATGTCTCATATCTCCATAAAAATGTATAAAACCAGGCTGCGTTCTGAACACCTTGGGCACCTGTCATCAGGATTTCCTGAGGCTGTGTCATGGGTGTACATCCTCAACCTTGGAAAAATAAACTTTCTAAATTGAGACCCGTCTCAAATCTAGGGGGGTTTATAGTCACCAGTGAGTGGGTGAAGTATGGCTACTGTGATTGGCTGAAACTTGACTACTTGTTACAAGAATAGGTTACTGTCTGTTTGCACACCTAGTTATGTTTCAGATCACTACATACAGAGAAACCTTTAGACCAAACTAAAATACATAAGGAGGCAGCTTTAGGCTAACCTAAACTTCATAGTTCATAGATTAAACAGGTACAAAATCAGTACAAATATAGGGGACCCAAACAGCACCATCTAATTGAACTTACACACATTCACTCCACCACCCATTCATGATAGAAACTCTCAGCAAACTAGGAATAGAGATAAACTTCCTCAACTCAATAAACACCATTAACAAAAACCCTACAGTTAGTGTCACTGTCCAATGGGTTCTTCCTGCCTGCTGCACAAATAAAGATCACAACATTGAAGTAAAGAAAAAGTTTAATTGATGTTAGGATGGCCACACCAAGGATCAGAGAGAGTTATTACTTAAATCAATCTTATCGAAGGCTCCTAGGTTAGGAGTTTTTCAAAGGCAGGTTAGGGGAAGTCGGGGGAGTAGCTAGCAATGGGTGCTTGCTGCTGATTAGTTAGGGTGGAGTTGAAATCATCATAGGGAGTCAAAACTGTCCTCTTGAGCTGAACTGCTTTGGGGTGGAGCCACAGGAGTGGGGTTGGCAAATCCAGGTGGAGCCGTGGGTGTTAGACATATGAAAAACCTGAAAACGTATCTCAAAAGGCTGATCTACAAAAGTAAAGTTGCATATCTCATGGCCAGTCCACATCTTGGCAGAATTCAGGTTCCTCTTCTCTTGCTAGCCGGATGGCCTTTCATTAGCTTTACAAAGCTGATTGAGTTTTGTAGAAGGGCTATTATCATTTAAATTATAAACTAAATATCTCCCAAAGTTAGCTTAGCCTAATTCCAGGAACAATTAAGGGAAAGGCAAGATGTGGCAGTGGGAGGTGTAGATCAGGTCTCTTTCACTGTTATAATTTTCTAATTGTCATAATTTTTGCAAGGGTGTTTTTATTAGCAGCTTACTTAATGATAGGAAACTGGACACTTTCTCTCTAAGTTTGGAAACAAGATGAGAATGCTCCCCTCACCACTCATTCATTGCAGTACTGGAATTCTTAACTAATGCAATAAGGTAAGAAGAGAAAGGAACATTTACGTAAATTGAGAAAGAAAAAACAATATTCTATTGCAGATGCCATGATTGTCCATGGAGAAAATCCAAAACAGGAAAATGAAATAAAATAAAATAAAATAAAATAAAATAAAATAAAATAAAATAAAAAGCACACTTAGAACTAATAAGTAATTATAATAGGGTCACCACATACAAGATTGATATGCAAAAATTAATTGCCTTCCTATATACCAGAAATGAAAAATAGATATTTAACATTAAAAACACAATACCTTTTATAATAGTGCTGAAAATGGAAACACTTAGGGATAAATCTAAGAAAGAAAATACTATCTATATGCAGAAACACTGATAAAATAATCAAAAAAGTTATAAATAAAAGGAGAGATGTTACATGTTCTCAAACCGGGGTAGTATAATTTTTAGAGCAGTCTTAGGTTCACAACAAAATTAAACAGAAGATACAGAGATTTCCCAGATACCTACCACCCCTGCACATGAATAGCCTTCTCCACAATCAACATCCTCCACCAAAGTGGTACATTTGTTATAATTAATAAACCTACACCAACCCATCATTTTCACCAAAGGTCCACAGTTTCCATTAGAACTACTCTTGGTGTTTTATATTCTGTCTTGACAGATGCATAATGGCAGGTGTTCACCATTATAGTATTATACAGAGTAGTTTCACTGCCCTAAAAATCCTCTGTGCTCCACATATTCACCCCATTAGTGCTCTCTACTAACCCCTTATAATTACTAATTTTTATACTGCCTCCATTGTTTTGCCTATTAGAGAATGTAATGAAGTTGAAATAATACAGTATGTAGACTTTCAGATTGGCTTCTATCACTTAATAATATGTATTTAAGTTTTCTCCACATCTTTTCATCACAGGGCAGCTCATTTCTTTAACCATTAAGTGATATTTCATTGTCTGGATCTACCACAGTATACTTATCCATTTACATACTGAAAGATATGTTAGTTACTTCCAAGATTTGGCAATTATGAATACAGCTGCTATAAGAAATTGAATATAGGCTTTTGTGTGTACCCAGTTTTCAGCTCTTTTAGCTAACTAACAAGGAGCACAATGGCTGGATCCTATGCTAAGAATATGTTTAGTTTAGTAAGAAACTGCCAAATTGCCTTCCAAATTCACTCTACCATTTTGCATTCCCACCAAAAATGAACGAAAGTTTCTGTTGCTCTATATTCTCTCCAGCATTTGGCATTGTCAGTGCTCTGGATTTTGGCCATTCTAATGAGCGTGCAGTTGTATCTCATTGTTGTTTTAATTTACACTTCCCTGATAACATATATTGGGGAGGATCTTTGCATACGTTCATTTGCCATCGGCCTGTCTTCTTTGATAAGAGTTTTCAGCAATTTTTAAATTGGGTTTTGTGTTTTCTTATTGAATTTTGACAGATTTTTGTATGTTTTGGATAGCTCCTTTACTAGACATATCTTTCTCAAATATTTTCTCCCATTCTGTGGCTTGCCTGTTTATTCTTTTGATAGTATCTTTCTCAGAGAATAAAACTTTATTTTTAATTAAGTTTAGCTATCATTTTTTTTCTTTCAGTCATTTTGCCTTTGGTGTTGTATTTAAAAAGCAGTTGTCAAGCCCAATGTCATCTATGTTTTCTGACATGTCATATTCTAGTCGTTTTATAGTTTTGCATTTCAGTATACAACACATTTTGCATTAGTTTTTGTGAAGGGTGTAGAGTCTGTGTCTAGCTGTTGTTCCTCCATCACGATGGCCCTACCTTCATGACAAGATCAACTTCCCAAAGCCCTAGCTCCTAACACCATCACTTTAGGGGTAAGGATATAATTATATACATTTTGTCGGGGGCACAAACAGCTTAAAGCCCTCCTATTTAGAAAGGCAGTTGACTTTCATATGTTAACCACATATCCTACAACCTTACTACAATCACTTCTTAATTGTATTAATATTTTTGTCAACTATTTCAGATTTTCTATATAGAAATGTCTTCTGTGAACAAAGAAAGTTTCTTTTTTCTTAAAAATATGTACAATTTTTAATTTTTCTTTTATTGTCTTATTGCATTATTTAGGCTTTGAGTACAGTTTTGTAAAGCAGTAGTGATTTGTTGTACTGGATGTGGTAGTGCACACCTGTTATCCCAGCTCCTCTGCTGGGGGCTTCTCCATGGGAGGATAGCTTGAGCCCAGAAGTTTAAAGATCAGCCTAAGAAACATAGTGAGACTCTTCTCAAAACAAACACCGAGGCAGTGGTGAGAGGGAATATCTTTGCCATGTTTCTGATCTTGGTGGGAAAGTTTTGGGTTTCCCACTGTTGAGTATGATGATAGCTGTAAATTAGTATAGACATTCTTTATAAAGTTGAGGAAGTTCTCCTCTATTCCCAGTTTACTTATGGTTTTTATAATGAAAGGGTGTTAGATTTTGTCAAATAGTTTTTCTACATCTATTTATATGATCATATGATTGTCTTCAATTCCTGTTGATATGATGGATTATATTAATTGATTTTTTAATGTTGAACCACCCTTGCAAACTTAGGATAAATTCCACTGGTTGTAGTACATAATTATTTTCAAATATTGCTTGATTTGATTTGCTACTATTTTCTTGGGACTTTTGCATGAATATTCATGAGAAATTATTTTACAGTTTTGGTACTTTGTCTGGTTTTGGTGTTAGGATAATGCTTACATCATATAAATAGTTACAAAGGATTCTTTCCACTTCTATCTTCTGAAAGTGATTGCAGAAAATTGGTGCATGTTGTTTGGTAGAAATAATTAGCAAACCCATCTCAGCTTAGATTCTTTTGTTTTAAAAGGTTATTAATACTGATTCAATTTCTTTAATATATATAGGCTTTTTCACTGTCTATTTTTACTTTTGTGAGATTTGGAAAATTATGTCTTTTAATGAATTGGCCTATTTCATCTAATTTGTCAAATTAGTGGACATAGGTTTGTTCATAATATTACTTTATTGTCCTTTTAATATCTATGGGATCTGTAGTGATATCTCCTCTTTTATTTCTTACACCAGAAATTTGTGTCCTCTCTTTTTTTCTTAGCCTGCCTTGAGACTTTTCAACTTCATTGATATTGTTGAAGATCCAATTTTTAGTTTTGTTGATTTTCTATATTGTTTCTCTTTTACATTTTATTGATTTCTGTCATAATCTTTATTATACCTTTTTCTCTGCCTACTTTTGATTTAACTTGTTCTTCCTTTTCAAGTTGTCCAATAAAGAAACATAGATTATTGATCTTTTGTTTTACAAATATATGCATTCCCTGTTATGCTTTTCTCTTAAGCACTGATTTTTCTGCTTCTCACATTTTTGTAGGTGATATTTTAATTTTTGTGTAAAGAAAAAATTTGAAAAAACATTTCTCTGGAAATTTCTTCTTTAACCTCTGTGTTACTTGGAATGATTCGATATTAAGATGCCAATTCTTTTATAATTTATCTATAGATACATTACAATTCCCATAAAAAATTTTAGCATTATACTCTGTGGATATCATCAAACTGATTCTAATGTTTATATGGAGAAATAGAAGACCTAAAATACCCATCATGAGGCTGGGCGCAGTGGCTCATGCCTGTAATCGCAGAACTTTGGGAGGCCGAGGCAGGGGGATCACCTGAGGTCAGGAGTTTGAGACCAGCCTGACCAACACGGAGAAACCCCGTCTCTACCAAAAATACAAAATTAGGCGGGCGTGGTGGCGCATGCCTATAATCCCAGCTACTTAGGAGACTGAAGCAGGAGAATCACTTGAACCCAGGAGGCAGAGGTTGCAGTAAGTCGAGATCGTGCCATTGCACTCCAGCCTGGACAACAAAAGCAAAACTCCATTAAAAAAAAAAAATACCCATCATGACAGCGAAAGAGAAGAACAAATTTGAAGGGTTTATACTACCTGACTTCAGGACTTACTATAAAGCTACAGAATCAAGACAATCTGATATTGGCAAAAGAACAGACAAACAGATAAGTAAAACTGAATTGAAATCCTAATAAAAGACCCAAACAAATGTAATCAGCTGGTATTTGACAAAAGTACAAAGGGTATTCAACAGAAAAATATATAACATTTTTAATAAACGGTACTACAGCAATTGGATGACTGTGTGTAAAAAGAAGAAAATAAAATACCCTAGACCTAGATCTTACAAGTTTCACAAAAATTAAATTGAGAAATAAAAATAAAATCCTAAGCACCACAATCAACTGAACAGACCCCTCCGCCCCCCCCCCACTTGTCCAAAGGGACTTCAGAGAAACCTTGAAAACTGAATTATCAGCCATGACAGTTTGCGGGGATCAGATACACCTGGTTATACCCTCCGCCCTCACTAATCACCATTAGACATTCGTCCCTAAGGGCTAAACTGAAACCAGCCCTTTTGAAAGACTCCACTGCTGATATCAACAAACTGTCTGGTGCTGCCCTGCCCTTTTGTGATTTCAGCACAACCACTGACCAGCATTTCTTCCAGATAAGAGACCACCAACCATGCAGTGGTTCTGGCCCAGTCTAAATAGAATGTGCAGTAAAGCATATACATCCTCTACTTCACCTTTTGACATTAGATGGCTAAAAGTTCCACCCTTGGATCATACTAATGCTGCCATTTTTTGTACCTGAGACCCTTGAAGGAGCATGGTACATGTGAATATTTTTCATTTAATAAATATTCATGACACATCCTACAGCTTATTAAATATGTGTATTCTCCCTCCCTGCTCAGAATAAATTCTTGTTCACTTTTCCCTTCCCTAGAAGTGTCTGTTGCTGTCTTCTGGCTGGAGACTACGCTTCCCAGCCTGTCAGAACAGCCACTCTGAAGGCCGCATCCCTTTATGAGAAATAAAGCTCTACTTTCCAAATGTATAAACCTTGTCATTCTTCAATTGACAAATTTAAATGAATCACAGGTATAAATGTAAATAAGATACTATGAAACTTCTAGAAGAAGATGCGAGAGAGAATCTATGTGTTCTGGGCTTTGGTGATAAGAATTTAGATGTAATACCTAAAGCATGACCCATAAAAAGAAAAAGTGGTCAGTTTTATGTTCTTATAATTTAAAAACATCTGCTCTGCAAAAGACACTACTTAAAGATTGAAAAGACAAGCCAGAAGCTCAGAGAGAATATTTGTAAGCCATGTACCTAATCAAATAATTTGTATCCAAAATATACACTGAACAACAAGAAAACTTATATATAAAATAGGCAATAGATCTGAAAAGACAAGCATATGAAAAAATGCTCAAAATAATTTGTCTTCAAGAATTGCAAATTGAAACCATAATATGAAATTCCTCTACACACCTATTAAAATGGCTAAAATCCAAAAAGCTGACTATACTAAATGCTGACGAAGATGTGGATTGACAGGAACTCTTATTCATTGCTGGTGGAAATGCAAAATAGTACGCCCACTTTAGAAGACAGTTTGGCAGTTTCTCACATATTTAAACATAATATTACCATACATCCCAGCAACTGTGCTCCAAGGCAGTTCTCCAGTTACTTTGAAAAGTTATATCCACACAAAACCTACACACAAATACTTATAATGTCTTATTCAAAATTGGCAAAAAGTAAAAGCAATCAAGATGGTATCTAATAGGTGAATGAATTTAAAAACCTGTGATACATCCACACGATGGAATATTACTCAGTGATAAAAAGGAATAACCTATTAAGGAACAAAAATACATAAGGGAACTTAAATGAATATGGCTGAATAAAAAAGCCTGTATAAAAAGATCAACATACTATGTGATTCCAATTGTATATGTCCCAGGAAAGGCAAAGCTATAGAGGAAGTAAAGTAATCAATGGTTGCTAGTGGTTCAGTCTGGGGTAAGGGATAAATAGGTAAAGTACAGAGAACTATTCTATATGATACTACAATTGTGGATACATGACAATATGCATTTGTCAATAAGAACTATACAATACAAGCAGTGAAATTAAATGTGTGCAAATTTACTTTAAAATAAAAAATAAAAGGTCAAGGAATTTTAGAAAGAAATGCAACATCTGAGGGAAGTAAGTACGGGGAATTGGTGATCAAAACAACTTTTGAAGTGAGTGGAGTCTGTAAGACTAAAGACCAAAGAATGTGCAAATAAGCACTGTACTCTAGCTGATAAAGTTGTATTCCATTAGAGTATGTATTAGGGTTCTCCAGAGGAAGAAACCAGTAGGATATGTGTAGAGAGATATATTAGGGAAGATTTATTATAGAAATTGTGTTAACAATTCTGATACTGCTATACATGTTTACTGAATTTGAACAATTAAGTAAATAAATGAATAAATGGCAGATTATGGGGCTAGGTTTCTTATTGTTAAAATTGGGATTTACAGGCTGGGTGCAGTGGCTCACGTCTGTAATCCCAGCACTTTGGGAGGCCAAGGCGGGTGGATCATGAGGTCAGCAGTTTAAGATCAGCCTCACCATCATAGTGAAATCCCGTCTTTACCAAAAATACAAAAATTAGCTGAGCATGGTGGCGTGCGCCTGTAATCCCAGCTGCTGGGGAGGCTGAGGCAGGAGAATCGCTAGAACCCAGGAGGCAGAGGTGGCAGTGGGCTGAGATCGTGCCATGGCACTCCAGCTTGGCTGACAGAGCAAGACTCTGTCTCAAAAATAAATAATTTTTTTCTAAAAAACTGGGATTTACACATAAACAAGGTGAGAAGACTAGAATGATCTATCTGATAATATATTATAGTTAGAGGAACCAGTATTAATTCATGTTTTACTTAATATAGATACAGATGGCTTTATAGGGAGATATTTATAAACTTGTGCATACACGTGAGGTGCTCTGTCAACTGACAGGGCTAAAATAAACGACATCCTAGTAGCAAAGAGCCCATCAGGTCTTACTTTCTAATGTTATTTTCCAATAATAAATACCATGTCTCCTTGAAGAAATGGCTGATTCTAGGGTTGGAGGAAAAAAAAAGAGAGAGAGAGAAAAAAAAGCCTAGAACATTATATAGTGTCAGAAATTACTCAGTAAAACTGCTATTCATGGGGTATGTTATTTTTTTTCCATACATTTGCTTACATTGAACCAGGCACTGTGCTAGGTTCTTGTAACAATTTTCTCTTTTAATCTATAAAATCAGCAATTGTCAGGCATGCAAATTAAATAGTTCAGCTTGCTTATTATAAGGTAAAATAAGGTATAATTATAGGTTATAAAATAAAATCATAGCTCAAGTAAGTTATAGAACTAGAAATCAAACAAAGGTCTGTTTAACTCCTAAGTTTACTTTCTTTCCAACTAAATCTGGAGATTTCTACATTAGAAATAACCCACTCACAATTATTTAGATATATCTATGATATCAGCAAGAACAAGGAACATGTATACACTCAAGGAGCGTACTTTTTAAGTTATTAAAATTAATCTTTTTGAGTTAAAGTCCTATTATTATTTTTGAGGCAGGTTCCATCTATGTAGTAAACCAAGATGGACTGACTTTTAGAAAATTCATCATATGATGAATAGTCATGGCATTAAAGTAGAGAACGAATAACTGCCAGGTCATTATAAGGAAGTATAATACGCATTGAAAAAATCAGATTTACTCATCCTGAGAGGCATATTGTCCTCATTCCTACCTAGGATTTAATGCTAAAGACATCAGTGACAAGTAATAGAAGCCAAGGTCTATGTCCATCTATGGCTTCTCGTAGACAATCAAGCAATTTTATTTACAAATGGACAGTTGCTCATGAAAATTAATGATAATTACAAAATAAATCATTATTATAGCATGCAAAACTCCTACAGTCTTCAAATAATATCTAATATGTTGCCAACTGTTACTTGATGATAATTTTCGAAATATGGGAAAATAGTTTCACATAAGTATCTTTTAAAATATTTTAGACACTATAACATTTACTTATTCCCATATTTCTTAAATATAGTGAACTGGGAATGGTGACTACAGACTCATGGATCTCTATCTTCTACACAATTGATACATCAATGGAGACAGCTGTTTCTCTCTGGATTAATGACACCTATACAATTTTAACTGCATTTATGAATAGTGGTAAGCATTGGTGATAGAGGCTAAACCAAACTTCAAGATCAGTGTTTCATGCATAGTCACTTGAGTATTATAGATATTGCTATTCAATGGCAGCCTTCGTATTTCCACTTAAAAAAATTATCTTCTTGGTAATAATTGTAGAGAAAGTATCTATCAATATTGAATTACTCTACCTTGAAACAGGATTTAGCTATGTTCAGTTGAGTTGCATTTTATAGAGTGTAAAGTAAGGATTAATTAGTATGAAACTCTTATTAGACAATCACAATTCCACAATGGAGCTCGGAGGTTCTCTGGCCATGCTGGCCTCAGTGATATAATATAATATGAGACTATCAGATTTTTATAAAATTATTACTTTGTATTCAGAGATTATTGAAAAATATATGCATGGTGATATGTCATATGATAATTATTTTCTTCATTTTCTATAGGGTAGAGAATGAAAACATTATCAAGACAGGTCTAAATAATGCTAAGTGCAATATTCATATTGAGGGAATGTTTGCAATTTGAATTTACTCACTGTCATCATCACTTTTTCAAATAATTTTTAAGACTTTTTTCCTATGTGTGCAGAATCTTCTTCAGACTGCTGCTTTTCTATATGAGCATTTTTCTTTTCCATAAATTTCAAACTAGAATTTCATGTATATTTTCTTAGTTGTTTAAAGGAAATTGTCTTTGGCCAGCAATCATAATGCTTGGAATGTTTCCAGGTGTCTGCACTAATTTTAACTGTTCTGCTACACAATGTAGATTGTTTGAGTGTCAGGCTATTGTTGGGATAGTTCAGATATAAAGTAACCATTTTTTAAAACATAAGCCTTTGTGATATTTTGTTTTTCATTGTTTACAATCTCTAATACATCATTATAGTAGTTTCTTACATTAAAAAAAGAAAACCACACACAAAAACTTATAGACTAATATTTCTCATCAAGGTTCTCTTTTTAATGAATATTATGTTTTTATAAGGTATATTTTGTTGTTCTAAAAACGTTTGAAATTTGATGAGTGAGAAAGAGCTCTCACGTTCATCCATAAAAAAGGTAGATGACCTATAATTTCTTCCATAGTGACTTAAGCAAACTAGGTCTAAAAGCTAGAGTGAAACATAAGTTTAATCCCTTATAAATCTTCTATTTACAAAGTAAACAAACAGAAAAAACTTTAAGAAATCTTTTAATTCCAGGAAGAATGCTTTTTTTTTTCTATTGATACCTATGTCTTCTTTACTTTGTACTTATATTAAGTTCATTAATCCACTTATACAAACAGTCTAATAGCTATTCTTTGCTATAATTTTTGTGTTAAATATCCAGGTCAAATTACAAAAAGCAAAGCTCTTGGAGAGAAAAATCTGTGTATGAAGTTAGTAAGTAATCCGACCTTATGAAAACAGCAAGGGCCTCACAATGCTCCTTCACCCATAATTTATTTTCAGCCCTTCAGTTCTTTTGTTCCTTTTCTTGCTTTATTAAACTACTAAGTTGTAAGAAACCTTAGAGGAAGTAACTATGCATTATTCAAAAGTGCAACCTCCACATGATCCATGAGAGTTTCTTAGTCCCAAAGAAAATATAGGCATTTCCTATTAAAAAAATAAAATTAGCAAAATGTATTTTTAAAAAATCCATCTTTATTCACCTATGGAACCAGATAATGAAGAAAAACTACAAATAGGAAACATTCAATTTTATATATAAAATTTTAAGGACTCAGGCAAGATTGTCATTATAATTTCAGACAGAGGAAGTTTTGGTAAATATAAGAACACGAGAAGTTAAACTGGATACAAGAACCTAATGCCTCTTAATCAAAATAAATCTTAAAAACATTTATACCACCTACATTGCATTATAAGAGGTTTTCTATTAATAGTTATCCTCTTTTACAGTTCAAGTATATATTAAGGGCAAAACAGGTCAATATATGAAAGAAATATTTAAAAGAATCAGGTCATCAAAAACATTACGCTATCAAGGTTTCCAGTTTCTTTAAAAAACAACCAGAAAGTAACATATTATAAATCAAAAACTAATTATAAAAAGAAAATTACAAAATATAACAGTAAATCTAATTGTGATTTATTTGGCATTTTTACTTTGATTCAGATAAAAGTTTCTTTTGTAGTTCTGATTAAGCATCACAAGATTAATGGCACACTTGGATAAGTACTTGAAAGTTCTTTCAAGCTGGTGCTTTTGGAAACCTGACTTTAGAGGCTCACTCATAAATTGCCCAGAACTGATCATAGTTACATAAACACTTAATAAATGCAATAAATGCAGACTTAAAGAATTTTCTCTCTTCTCTGGTCCCTTTTTTGTTCTCCCTCTCTACTAAACTTCCTTGGTGATCTCATCCTTCAGAGAGTTTGTTTCTACTGCTGTCTGGCAGCTACAATACTATGCCCAACTTCACATCCTTAAAATAATAATTACTCACTGCATTTCCCTTTTATTTACCTAGTTCCTAATACATTTTCATATTAGGCTTTGCTATTGAGATCTATTGGGTACTCTACAGTGTAGTTTTCAAATCAATTTCTGCCCCAATTCTCAAGCAAATTGTTATCCAATCATTTGTTGGTAAATAATTCTATTTTGAGACCTAGAGATCTTGGATCCAGAATTCTGATTTAGGTAATAGAATTATACTTGAGCAAAGAATCATCTCTGGATTTCACCAGAAAGCTGCATGTGGAAAGGGAAAAGATACAAAATATGTCACCCTTTCACCACTTATTTTTAATAATGCGGATCTGGTTTGAGCTATTCAAGCACATGGCATCATTTTCTGAAAAAGGACGATGTAGAATGTGGCAGGTGGAATCTCTTACTTGTAATTCCACTGGAGATATCCTAAGAGAGAAGTTGCAGACCATAGATGCTAAGTAGAAACATGAACAAAATTTGAAATAAAATGCAATCAGTTCATTTCTGTTCAATATAGTAACTCATGGAATAATTTACTCTGAGTGTCTCATAGAATTACCATAAAACAAACATGCTCTGCAAGGATTTCCATCTGAAGAAGTAAAAATAATAACATTATTCATTGTCATCATGTTTAAGATGAAACCCTTTTCAAACAAGAAAGAATAATATACATTGATTATTCATCCATTATGTTATGGGTTGAATGTGTCTTCTCAAATATACATATATATATTTTTTTCGGGTCCTAATTTCTAGTATCTCAAAATGCAACCTTATTTATGAATAATATCATTGCATATGTAATGAGTTAAAATGAGGTCATGCAGGAGCAGGGTGTGTGGTAATCTAATCTGACTGATGTCCTATAAGAAGGTGGCCACATGAAGACAGATACACAGAGAAAACTCCAGGTGATGATGAGGGCAGAGAGCAAAGTTGTTCAGTTGCAAGTTAAGAAATTCCAAAAATTTGCTGGGTGCTGTGGCTCATGCCTGTAATCCCAGCACTTTGGGAGGCCAAGGCTGGCAGATCATGAGGTCAGGAGATCGAGATCATCCTGGCTAACATCCTGAAACCTCATCTCTATTAAAAATAAAAAAATTAGCCAGGCGTGGTGGCATGAGCCTATGGGGGGAACCCACCCCCGATATTCAACATGAGTCCTTTTCTATTTTCCCCAGGTGTCGGCTGGTCTGAGAAATAAAGGGAAAAAGTACAAAGAGAGAAATTTTAAAGCTGGGTGGCCAGAGGAGACATCACATTTCGGCAGGTTCCATGATGCCCCCTGAGCCGTAAAACCAGCAACTTTTTATTAGTGGTTTTCAAAAGGGGAGGGAGTGTACGAATAGGGTGTGGGTCACAGAGATCACATGCTTCACTAGGTAATAAAATATCACAAGGAAAATGGAGGCAGGGTGAGATCACAGGACCACACGACTGGAATGAAATAATGAAGTCTCAGGCACACGTTGTCATTGATAGCATCTTATCAGGAGACAGGGTTTGAGAGCAGACAACTGGTCTGACCAAAATTTATTAGGCGGGAATTTCCTCGTCCTAATAAGCCTGGGAGACCGGGGCTTATTTCATCCCTTATCGACGACCATAAAAGACAGCCGTCCCCAAAGTGGCCATTTCAGAGGCCTTCCCTTAGGGACGCATTCTCTTTCTCAGGGCTGTTCCTTGCTGAGAAAAATAATTCTGCAATATTTCTCCTATTTGCTTTTGAAAGAAGAGAAATATGACTCTGATCCACCCAGCCAACAGGCAGCCAGACTTTAAGGTTATCTCCCTTGTTCCCTGAACATTGCTGTTATCCTGTTCTTAAGGTGCCCAGATTTCATACTGTTCAAACACACATGCTCTACAAACAATTTGTGCAGTTAATGCAATCATCACAGGGTCCTGAGGCGACATACATCCTCCTCAGCTTACAAAGATGACGGGATTAAGAGATTAAAGACAGGCATAGGAAATCACAAGAGTATTGATTGGGGAAGTGATAAATGTCCATGAAATCTTCACAATTTATGTTCAGAGATTGCAGTAAAGACAGGCATAAGAAATTATAAAAGTATTAATTTGGGGAACTAATAAATGTCCATGAAATCTTCACAATTTATGTTCTTCTGCCATGGCTTCAGCTGGTCCCTCTGTTTGGGGTCCCTGACTTCCTGCAACACAAGCCTGTAGTTCCGGCTACTCAGGAGGCTGAGGCAGGAGAATTGATTGAACCTGGAAGGCAGAGGTTGCAGTGAGCTGAGACTGCGCCACTGTACTCTAGCCTGGGCAACAGAGTGAGATTCAGTCTTAAAAAAAAAAAAAAAAAAAAAAAAAAAGGAAAAGGAAAAAGGAAAAAAGAAATTCTAAAAATTGCCAGCAACCACCAGCAGCTAAGAGACAAGGAAGAATTTTCCTAAAGATTGTAGAGGGAGCATGATGGTCCCGCTGCCAAGTTTACTTTGAACTCTGCCCTCCAGGACTATGAGACATTAAATTTCTATTGTTTTGAGCCACCTTGTTTATGGCATTTTGTTAGGGCAGCCCTAGGGACCTAACGTATTTCCCTTCTTGTATTTTAAAGCAAACATTGATTTAGAATTGACTATGTGCATACCATTGTACTAGCAGCAGGTAATGCTACAATAGTGGTTGCTTAGGGCAGGAAAAGCAATGGAAGTTGACTGCGAACGTGTGTGGGGTTTCTATTATGGGGAACAAAATGTTCTAAAATTAGATTGTGGTGATTGCATAATCGTGAGAATATACTAAAATTATTTAATTGCACCATATTAAGTGCAATATTAAGTGAGTGAATTGTATGGTATATGAATTGCATCTCAACGAAGCTGCTTTAAAAACAGTATAAAGAGACCCTCATTTTAAACAAATCACAATGAAGTTGAGGCCCATGATAATTAATTACAGCAATTTGTGGTTAACGGAAGCATGAAGCAGAATAAGTGAGGGAATCAGGTTGGAGAGTACCTCACCAGGATGGAGGTCGCTGGGCGGGAGATAGTGAGGAGTGGAAAAAACAGATAGGATTCTCAACAACGATGGTAACAGGGCTGTCTCTAAGGATAAATGAAAGCCAATCATGGAAGGAATGAGAGAACGGCAATCTTAGCAGAGGAGGACAAGCTAACAGAAAGAGATTTCTGTCCTGTGATCCTGAAGCAAGAAGAAACCAAATTAGTATCCACAGGTTACTCAACATTGAATCTTGATGAGTCTTTTGGAATGAAGGAGAAAGTAAAATAAGCCTACAGCAATCAGAAATATATATGTTCAAAAATAGTTGGCATTTTGGTATGTTTAATTTGATTTCAGAACATAAGGGCGCCTCTTACTAATCACAAATTTCCATATATTTATGTCTCTAAGCATATAAGATAGATAAACTTAGTGGGAAAATTATTCCTTTAAATATTATTTTAAATCTGTTATCATGTATAGGATTATATCAAATGTATCTGGATACACTATTTTTCTCAGAGTCCTCATGAGGCATGTAAGTGGCTATTTTCAAAGACATTCTCTAAGCACTTTTTGAAAAGATGAGTTATTGTTGTTTGTTTGGTGGGTTTGAATTGAACTTGAAAATTATGCCAACTGAAAACTGAGGTTTTGTTCTAAGCCAATAAGATAGTTCAGCTTAGAAGAGGACACTGAGATTTTGATCAGTGCTAGAGTTTTAATATAAATATCATGTATCTACATATGTTTGTGGGGTGTATAATTGTGGTATATGCTTATAATGGATTCATATTTTAGTGGAAATATAAGAATACAGATTTCAAAAAATCTTCTAAGTTAAACTTCCATTGTTTATTTAAAAATGCATATCAGAGACAGCATAGTGCAGAAATCAAGAACATAAATTTTGTAGTTAGGCAAATTTGATTTTGAAATTTTGTTCCACCTGTTTCTAGCTGTGAGCATTTAAGCAAGTCTCCTAGTCTTTCTCTGCATGTTTCTTTATTCATAAAATAGAGATATGAAAATAACTCCTCCTCATGTAGTTAAATAAGATAATGATGTAAAGTGCTTGCTAATCACAGTAAAATTTTGATTCAGGTGAACTAATAAAAAGCTTTTTAATATAATTTTCACTTATTTCATCTAATTTCCATTTAACAAAAAAAAGAGAAACATACATAGAATTATATGGTAAAACACAAAAAGCTACAGCAGAGATGAGATCTGACAGCTGAGTATATTCAACAAGAACACAAATATGAATCAAAAAGAAGATAGAATTAGTTTATGTATTAAAATAAACCAATGATTTTCTATCCAATCATCTAGCCCAAAATTAATGTGAATTAAAATATCTATTTCACAGTCAAAAACTGAATGGAGAGAATGTATCACTAGCTGACCTACACCAAGGGAGACATGACGGGTGTTTTCCAGACACATGGAAAAGAATCACAGAGGGAGGGAGAGAGTAAAGGATGAGGAATAATGAAATGCTAAACATGATAAAATATAAATACATAGTATATAAAAAATAGCATACAATTGGGGAGGATACAGAAGTTTTAAGTTGATTGTAAGGCATTGCAATGCTTAAGAAGAGGATACAAGTACCAAAAGTATTAGATCTTTAAATGAAATTCTCCTTATTGTATAACAGACAGCCACTAAACTGTGCAAATAATAAAAGTACAGTTTGTTGAATAAGTAGTTTGGTGAGTAACCCATATAAATAACAACCTAATCAGAAAATAGGAAATTATCAGAATACAGAAGCTTCTAAAACATATAACCTTCCTCTCTAGCAGTAACCCTTATTATTAGATTAATGCTATAATATAAACTCTTAATATTAATATATGTATATAATTTGATTTTGTGTTTTTCAACTTTATACAAATAGTAATATGTGATATTTTATGTCTGGCATTTTACTCAACAGCAGCTTTGTCAGAAATATTCATGTTGATGTATTTTGCAGTAGCTCACTAATTTCCATTACTACGTAGTGTTCCTTTATATGAACATGCCAGAAAGTATTCCACTCTCAATGGATATTTTAGGTTTCCCCCTCTTTTTTTCTTGTAGGTTTTATCATTGTGGAGTCAAAATGTTGACGTATTTCACACTGAATCAGTGAATTTTAGGAAAATACAAATGTACTTAAGATATGCCGGAAATCATTTCAATAGAAGTTAATGTAAAAATATAGATGGACTTCCATAGCTCCAATCACTTACCTGTTAATTTAACTCCAAAACACAAACAATTTGGCCAGGCACGGTGGCTCATGCCTGTTATCCCAGCACTTTGGAAGGCCGAAGCGGGCAGATCACGAGGTCAGCAGATCGGGACCATCCTGGCAAACACGGTAAAACCCCGTCTCTACTAAAAAAAAAAAGAAAAAATTAGCCGGGCGTGGTGGCGGGCGCCTGTAGTCCCAGCTACTCGGGAGGCTGAGGCAGGAGAATGCTGTGAACCCGGGAGGCAGAGTTTGCAGTGAGCTGAGATTGCGCCACTGCACTCCAGCCTGGGCCACAGAGCGAGACTCTGTCTCAAAAACAGAAACAAACAAACAAACAAAAACACATACAGTTCTATTAAAATGAACTGCAGAAATAACAAAGAAATCTGAGTAACCTTTGTGAAATCTTTCTCATCAGAAGGTACTGTTTTTTATGCCTGACCAGAAAATTCTGGAGGGCCTGCTAAACTACTAAACGCTGAGATTGTCTCATGAGGTGGGGAGCCAAGCCTTGAAACATCAGCCACGTCCAGCTCTGCTCACTCACTCTGTGCATTGTCTGGGAGGGGGATTCAGGTGGGTGGTGGGGGCTTATGGTTTACTGAAGTGGTGGCTCTTTCTTAACATGGTAAACAGAGAATCAAATTTCAACTCTTTTCACCATGAAGTAGCACAAGATAACACACTTGGTATCTGTCTCACGTAAAGTTTCCAAATAGCTACCAATGATGTAACTCTGAAAAATGACAACACAAGCTGTCTTATATAGGTGAACAAAGTAAGAAAAGCAATGTATAAAGAGTAAAATTATAAAGTGTGTAGACCATGTGGAGAGTGGTAGAGGACGTAAAGATGGCATAAATCATTGAAACAGTTTTATCTGTAGTTTTTTTTGTCTAAGCCTTGGCTCTCAGCATAATGGCATTTGGCCTATTAATTCTACACACACACATAAACTGCTCTCCACCAATCATTTGGTAAGCCTCTTAAGTATACATTTTATCTATCCCTTCTTATAAACCAAAGTTAATATTGTTATAAATACAGTAATAATTCAAATATTAAAATTTCTTGTATTTTGCTTAAAAAAAACAAATTTTTATCATTTTTTATATGTTGGGGAAATTGCAGACCATGTCATGTTTCTCTGTATTCCTAAAGTAAAATAGTCAAGCGAGTCCTGAATCATGTACATTTTATGAGAAAAGATGTTATTTCTATATTTTACCCACCATAATACATATAGATTCTAGCATATTGTTTGGCGTAATTAAACACTCAAAAAAATTTAATGTTTGAAAGAATGTAAGTGTTTATTCAACAGTCAATCAAATCATAGATGTAGTTAGTCAGGGGTGATTAGTACTGACTAGGTTATGATGCAGTAAGGAGTATCTCAAAATCTCATTGGCTCCTAACGAAAACATTTCTTTATTGTTTATGCTCCATGTCCCATGCGGGTTGGCTGGGTGAACCTGCAATCATCCCACATAGCAGAGCTTCCACCATCTTACTATGCATCTCAATGCAAGATGTCAAGGTTTGCCACAGAAGGAAAAAAGAGCATGAGTAATCACACATCAGCTCTGAAATGTTTCCACCTTAAAATGATCTCATATCACACAATTATGCCTAACTTCAAGAGGAATAGAAATAATAATCCACCTAACATCTTCCAGAAGGAAAAAAGAATCAAGAATATTGACAAGCTGCAACAACTTCTGTCTTGGCAAGAAACTACAATTACCATTGTGTGTTTAATATAAATTTTTAATTGGGAGCCTCTAATAAATGCTAGTATACTATGATAAATTTTAATGGCAATGCCCACGGGGAATAAGGAATGTATGGGTTATTATGCGATAGATGATAGATAGATAGACAGACACATATATCCCAACATACTAACACAATTTTATTGAAAAGAGTCAAAAATCATAGATTGCAATCTCAATTCCAGCTCTTATCTACTAAGTGTCCATGGAGATATAATCTTTTAAAATCTTAGTCTTCTCCTGGCATTGAGCAAGGGATTGTAGGGAGGAGCAAAGTATCTTGAGTGTGTGGAATATGTATTTGGATACTGAATGTGATACTTAATTCCTGAATAACTGTCAGTTACTTACAATAAACCCTTTGAGCCTCAGTTTCCTTAGTTGTAAAATGGAGATAATAATATGCAATTTAACTGTTGCCGTTAATACCAAATAAGATGCTATGTGTATTTACCAATGTGTTCTGAATTTATGTTATTAACAATTAATAGAATTGTGCCTAATTCATATGATTATGTGAGGCCAAAATGTATTGGTAGAAATGATAATACTGAGGCAGCCCTTGGCACAAAATGGGCACTCAATCTTCAGTGATCTGATATTCCAGATGCACCTTAACAATGCACTCCACAAGTAGTTGATTAATACCTGATTGATTCAGCAATACAAAACATGTAGAAAGGCAATGAATCCGTATCAGAGTAAAAGGTAAGAGTAAAACAAAGCAAGAGCAAAAACCAAGATTTTACCCATTTAATTTTTGGAAATGGTTAGAAAAAGCACTGATAGAACTGATGACATCCATGTTAGTATGTTCCATAATTTATTGACATAATTCATGTTTAAGAAACAATAGAAAGCAGACTGGGCGCAGTAGCTCACGCCTGTAATCCCAGCACTTTGGGAGGCCAAGGCAGGCAGATCACGAGGTCAGGAGATAGAGACCATCCTGGCTAACACGGTAAAGCCCCGTCTCTACTAAAAATACAAAAAAATTAGCCAGGCGTGGTGGCGGGCACCTGTAGTCCCAGCTACTCAGGAAGCTGAGGCAGGAGAATGGCATGAACCCAGGGGACGGAGCTTGCAGTGAGTGGAGATCATGCCACTGCACTCCAGCCTGGGCAACAGAGCGAGACTCTGTCTCAAAAAAAAAAAAAAAATAGAAAGCAAAGGAAATATAGAATGATATAAAAATCACCTTGAGTCCTTCCATATTGTGGTAAGCAATTTTACATTCTTTGATGCATGATCTTTTGAGATATTTATTCTTATATGTATAATAGCTTTCAAAGAAATGTGTGATCATATTATACATCCTATTATAAAACTTTTTTACACCTTTAAAAATTGTTGTGAAAAAAATTAAGCATCAGTAAATATTATTCTCTTTTATTATGCCAGAAGTTTTGAAGCACTTATAACATCCTCTGAAAAAGTTTAGAAATTCAGGCAAATTTTAATATCTAATTTATGGAAGTTTATCATACTCTCTTTTTTGCTTTCTTTCACAAATATGTTGGTCATTCTTTGGCTTTTCATTTACCATAGAATCTAGGGAACTCAAAAGAGCCATAAGTTTTGCCTATTGATTTTCATTGCATATAGATATAGGAAAGAGGTTATAGTAATGATTGAAGGGTAAAGCAATTCTCCTCATAATGTCCCTAATTTCAACCTAGGAACATTACTCTTCTAAGCACAAAAGTAAGAACTTGCATCTGGAAAATAAAAGTCAAATAACTGTTGCATCACGAAAGCATGTAATACTTATCTCACGCAAGACAGGATAGTTTTCCTCCAACTCCATTTAGCTAGTTAATTATACTTTTTTTTTTCCCAAAAAAATTAAGGTATAAGTAGTCACATATAAGAAAAGGTAATGTTTTCTATCTTGGTTTTTACTCTTTAACTTGCATACGTAGTCATTTTAAAGGGATTTTTTGTGTGTGTAGTTTTCTCTTCCTTGTTTCCCTGCCCCCTAGGACACACTCGGTTTGACTTAGCTTCTCAGCCCAGCCACTTAAGGATCAGGGAGTCCCTTAGAAGGAAATGCCACATCATTCACACTGCATGAGTGTCCCTAGTCTCCAGGACTTAGCTCCTCAAGTCCAAGCAACCTTGGCATCTCTCTAATGCCTTCAGAGAGACTTTTTACAATGTATTTTTCCCATATTTTCTAGTTATTTTCACTGGGAGGATTGATCCATTTTTTTTATTAAAAAGACAATTTATATTTATATGCAACAATTTATTAATTCTCACAGCAACTCGGCCAATCTGATAATACTATTTCTAATTTAGTATTACATAACTAAGGGTTTCTCTATTTAAATGGTTTACTTTTCCAGTCTCAAGTAATTGGATGAAATCGCTGGGATTCGATCCTACTCTGTGCCAGTTCCAATACATCCTCACATTTATATGATGTCCCAGACAGTGTGTTGGGTGCTTGATGATGCATAATTATTTGACTTAAAGTGGCATCATAATAAGTGGCATTGTAATAAATTCTAGCATCCACGCAGGATTTGTTTCTTAGATTTCTTAATAGGTAAAATAATAATAATTTATTGACAATAAATTATATTAGTGTGTTCTAATAATATTTTAGAAATCAGTAAACTTAATCCATGGAAAAAGTGCCTGATAGCAAACAGAAACAAAAGTGCACAGACAATGAAAATAACAATGTAATATAGTTTAATCCCAAATGATTTCTCTAAGATAAAGTCAAACGTAAATTTCTAGTTCTTCCATAATTCTGATCTCAGAAACATAATATTTAAACAAAACCAAACAGCATTAGTGTAATGACCAAGAAAGAACTAGCCATACATCACAAAAAGATATGCTAAAGTAAGTCTCTTTCCAAGTTATTGACAATTACTCAAAAGTCATATGTTTACAAGCTTAACTTAACCACTTGTGTGATTTTCCTAGGGAGTGCCATAGACGAGACTAGAAAATGTGGAAAACTGAGTATGGTCGACAGGGGAAAAATGGAAGAAGTTTACAGTGTAGTTTAAGTTTATGATTCGAAGCACGCCTGCTTGAAATCTGGTCTACTTGCACGTTTTTTTCTACCTTACTTGTCACATCACTAGGTAGTAAATGACAGCAATTGCAGAGAAGCATTTCCTTGCATGTTTATTGATGAATACCTTAATAGAGGTAACCATAGAAGAGCAAAAGACAAAGGCTAATTCTCCTAGTGCTTTGTGGATCTGGGATTATTTGCACAAGGTGGACACCCGTTAGCATGCACAATGGCTTCCCCAAAGAGGTAAATGAAAGTTGGAATCAAAAAGTGTCTTTCTTAACTTTCTGGAAGTTTCAGGATTATAATAGAAAAATATATACCAAATGAAAACAAAAATCAAGCATCTCAGAAATCTCAATAAAAGAAAGAAATATCAGATGAGACAGGAATAAAAAGTGAAACTGATGGAATTGTAATGAGATAAAGGAATGAAGCAGGCAACCTAAGATTTGAGTCTACAGTATTCCCCTTGTTCATACTATTAAAGAGAAAGTAATAGTTTTGCATTTTGAAAGTGAGACTAAGTAAAATGAAATTAAAATGACAAATGATTATTTTAAGAGTAATCTTTACAGGTATAAGTGGGATTCCAAATATCTCAGTCCTCCACACACTATTATGAATTACTTAAAGGAATTTGGAGATGAATGTAATGCACTGTAATGATTGTCAGAGTAGGCAAGGTAAGGGAATATGTTTCAGAAACATCCTTAGTTAATTGTCATAATAAGAGGTATCAAGAAAATCAGAGACAGAGTGACGATCTCATCAAGAAGGATGCTTTAAGAGACGTTTATTCATAACAAATGTCTATGTTTAGAATTAGAAAGACTATGAGGCTGAGTTGCTTCTATGAGCTGTAGGAGTCTATTAGAAACAGGCATGGTGAATATAATGATAGCAATAAGTACAAAACACCATTATAGGAAGAAACAAGCTTTGAGACTCATCAGCCAAACCTTCTAAAAGGAATCTTGCTTTTTCCTTTAACCTTTCTAGATATGTCCCAATACTGTTTTCTTCTCAATATGTCTGACATATTAATACTTGCTGATACTCACAAAGCCTAAAGGAATGCATGTGAATGTGTACTGTTCGGTCTTAGTAACCCATATTATACTATCACTGAAATACAGACTTGAAGGTATGATCTTATAATGATTTCTCTAAGCCCTCAGCTACCTCTTCATCTTGCCTAGACTGGCAATTGTGCCATTTCTTTGCAAGGGTGCAAACTCCTGGTAAGACTTGAGGGGAAAAAGAAATAAGCTTACTGAGGGAAACTTCACTCATCAAGGGTGCTACATGCCTGACAGTACCAGTCTTAATAACAAATCACTTTCTTTGCTGCAATTCATTCAGAGACCCAGCTGGCATGAACCCAGGATGATGTTGGATATGGGAAGTAGATTAATCACTACTGATCTATTAGGAACACCAAGAATCATGTGACACTGGGAGAAATGTCAAAATTATAGGTGGTGACAAATTTGAGGAAAATTTTGCTTTTAGAAGCCATGCAAAATGTTAGGGTTCTGTATAGATTGGTTTCGGTGTATAAAAAGACACTTTCATATGTACACGAGCTGCCTATTTAATAAGAAGGATAAAATGAAACATCAAGCAATTATTTAGTTTTGTGAACAACAAATCTAAAAGTTATTAAGTATTTTAAGAGACGATGAAAATAAAATGCTCCAGTAGTAAATCGGATGTTATTAAAAGGTATGAAAAAGACAAAAAAGTACAAATCAAACACCATAAACAACATTACAAAAATTAAAAAAAGTACCACTAATCAGAATAATATTATTAGATTAACTTTCTAAGGGTAAAAAAGAAATATGACATATATTATTTAGTTTAATGTTAGTAATAGGAAACTGTTTATCAACGATGTGAAACCATTCCTCAAAGAAAATATTGTCCTGATAAATAAGCTATTTAAAAGATTAATAACAGCTAATGGTCAATTTTACTCTCAGTTGTCTATTCAAAGTTAGTGCAGATAATTGACAATCACAGGCAGTTGCTTTGTGCTGCTGTGTTTGGGGTATGTCAAAATGGCGATTTTCTGTCATGAGTACCTCCCAATCACAAATTAGAATTAACTTAGCTCCACTGGACTTTCAGAGGCCCAGCTTTATAAATGTCATTCCCATTTAACAATAAAATGCTATTGTGCACATCAAATTTTGTGGTTTAAGGATCATACAATAGCAGTTCATAGTGGGCCGTTAAGTTGCATAATCTCTTGGTTACCTATATCAAGTTGTCAGGTGCTCAATCTTAGGAACTAATTTTGAAATGGCGAATAATTGTAAATAGAATAGAACTAGTACTGTGATTCTCCTAGTGGGGCTTTTCAGAGTCTTCTTATTTGCCAATGATATGCCTAGGCCTTAAGTGAGAGGCAGGGAAGCTTATACTGTATCTAGGAACTGTTGCAAAATTGGACTTGGTTCAGGTCCTCTAAAATATATCAGTCTAACAGATTTTGGTCAGTGGGCCGAACAGTCTACCAAAATGTGGCTTTTTCTTCATGGTAGATAGTGCAAGATACAGAAAATTATCTCAGAATATTTTTAAGATTCCCCGATTATTGGACTGCTAAGAACCTCTCCAATTTGTGAGGCTCTTGGATTTACATGAGCCTTGTATCTTTTCTCTGTCATATTCTCATATTAAAGCCTGCTGCACTGTACTCACCAGATCCAATTAGCGCAGTATCATCAATGAACAGAGAGTATGATGTTCTATGTACTATTAAGGTGACTGAGGGTCCTGAAATCTACATATTTCAGAGAGCAGGAGAGTAGATATTATCCTGAGTTAAGAAAAGGTGATGGCACTGCTGTCCACGTCTCAGGAGGCAAATTGACCTGGCTGTCATTGTTAAAGGCTGTTGGAAAGAAAGCACAGTACTATGTCGGTAGCTGCATGCCACATGCCAAATGTTAACACTGTTTGATCCAATAAAGATAACACACAAACTATTACAGTTGGAATTAGTGAGACCACCCAATTATATTTTTAATTATTCCTTTTCACTCTGCATTTCCCACCTGCCTTTTTCAACTGGCCATTCAGGCCAGTCATACAGAGACGTGCTGGGAAGACCCCTGTACCTCTTGATGGTGGCACAAAATTCTTCTGTGCTTTTATGGATGCAATAATGCTTTCAGTTGGTTACTGTGAGGGATGATGGGTAAAAGGGGACAGTTTCAGGGACTCTGCTTGTCCTTTCCTAATATAATAGCTCAGTTCACAAATATGGTAGCCAATGTGAAGGTCCTGCATGTCACTGAGTATATCTACTCTCACTATGCCTTCTAAAACATACAATACAATAACTACAAGATGGATTTGGGGTTCAGTTGGACCCCAGTGAAATGGACTTAAGCCAAGAATCCATTTATCCCTTGACCTCTGTAAGTTCTTACTATTAGCAATGGATCTTGGTGGAAGCTCAGCAGATTAGTATAAGAACACAGACAACATAAATCACAAATTCTATGTGTTGCCTTTTTACTAACAGACACTCAGGTAAATGTCTACAGGTACCTTTAGGAAGAGGTTTGGAGAGATATTCTCAGATACCACAGAAGCCTGTGATATAAGTTCTTCCTCCATTAAACTGGCTTCCTATCAGTTGAGGAGAGCCAGTTTTGTGAATTGACTTAAGCTAGTATCTTAGTTCAGGCTGCTATAACAGCACACCCAAGACTGGGTGGCTTAAACAATTGACATTCATTTCTCCTAATCCTGGAAGCCAGGAAATCCAAAGTCAATGTGTCAGCAGATTCTGTATCTGGCGAAGGCCTACTTCCTGGTTTGCAAGTGGCTTTCTTCTCCTGTATCCTCACAGAAGAAAGAGAGAGGATTTCATGTCTCTTTCTCTTTTTTTAATGGAACTGATTCTATCATGAGGGTTCCACTTTCATGAACTAATTACCTCTCAAAGGCCCACCTCCAAATACTATCTAATTCAGAATTAGGGTTTCAACATATGAATGTTGGGGTGACATGAACATCCAGTTCATGAATCTTCACTACTTCAACTCAACTCGATTTCAACAACCTTTACCTTATCCTATTATATATGTCAAACAGTACCTAAAAGGGTTACTCATCTACATCTTTCCGAGATATTAGTGATGAATCAGCAACAACCACAGATAACTCAAAGCATATTATGGTAATTGGGTGCACTTTATCTCATAGCTAAATGTTACTATTTGACCTCTACCACTGTGGAACCACTGTTAAGAACACGTATCTCAAAATAATAAGAGCTATCTATGACAAACCCACAGCCAATATCATACTGAATAGGCAAAAACTGGAGGCATTCCCTTTGAAAACTGGAACAAGACACGGATGCCCTCTCTCACCACTCCTATTCAACATAGTGTTGGAAGTTCTGGCCTGGGCAATCAGGCAGGAGAAGGAAATAAAGGGTATTCAATTAGGAAAAGAGGAAGTCAAATTGTCCCTGTTTGCAGATGACATGATTGTATATCTAGAAAACCCCATTGTCTCAGCCCAAAATCTCCTTAAGCTGATAGGCAACTTCAGCAAAGTCTCAGGATACAAAATCAATGTGCAAAAATCACAAGCATTCTTATACCAATAACAGACAAACAGAGAGCCAAATCATGAGTGAACTCCCATTCACAATTGCTTGAAACAGAATAAAATACCTAGGAATCCAACTTACGAGGGACATGAAGGACCTCTTCAAGGAGAAATAAAACCACTGCTCAATGAAATAAAAGAGGATACAAACAAATGGAAGAACATTCCATGCTCATGGATAGGAAGAATCAATATCATGAAAATGGCCATACTGCCCAAGGTAATTTATAGATTCAGTGCCATCCCCATCAAGCTACCAATGACTTTCTTCACAGAATTGGAAAAAACTACTTTAAAGTTCATATGGAACCAAAAAAGAGCCTGCATTGCCAAGTCAATCCTAAGCCAAAACAACAAAGCTGGAGGCATCACACTACCTGACTTCAAACTATACTACAAGGCTACAGTAACCAAAACAGCATGGTACTGGTACCAAAACAGAGATATAGACCAATGGAACAGAACAGAGCCCTCAGAAATAATGCTGCATATCTACAACTACCTGATCTTTGACAAACCTGAGAAAAACAAGCAATGGGGAAAGGATTCCCTATTTAATAAATGGTGCTGGGAAAACTGGCTAGCCGTATGTAGAAAGCTGAAACTGGATCCCTTCCTTACACCTTATACAAAAATTAATTCAAGATGGATTAAAGACTTAAATGTTAGACCTGAAACTGTAAAAACCCTAGAAGAAAACCCAGGCAATACCATTCAGGACATAGGCATGGGCAAGGACTTCATGTCTAAAACACCAAAAGCAATGGCAACAAAAGCCAAAATTGACAAATCGGATCTAGTTAAACTAAAGAGCTTCTGCACAGCAAAAGAAACTACCATCAGAGTGAATCGGCAACCTACAGAATGAGAGAAAATTTTTGCAATCTACTCATCTGGCAAAGGGCTAATATCCAGAATCTACAATGAACTCAAACAAATTTACAAGAAAAAAACAACCCCATCAAAAAGTGGGCAAAGGATATGAACACACATTTCTCAAAATAAGACATTTATGCAGCCAAAAGACACATGAAAAAATGCTCATTATCACTGGCCATCAGAGAAATGCAAATCAAAACCACAATGAGATACCATCTCACACCGGTTAGAATGGCGATCATTAAAAAGTCAGGAAACAGCAGGTGCTGGAGAGGATGTGGAGAAATAGGAACACTTTTACGCCGTTGGTGGGACTTTAAACTAGTTCAACAATTGTGGAATTCAGTGTGGCGATTCCTCAGGGATCTAGAACTAGAAATACCATTTGACCCAGCCATCCCATTACTGGGTATATACCCAAAGGATTATAAGTCATGCTGCTATAAAGACACATGCACACATATGTTTATTGCAGCACTATTCATAATAGCAAAGACTTGGAACCAACCCAAATGTCCAACAATGATAGACTGGATTAAGAAAATGTGGCACATATACACCATGGAATACTATGCAGCCATAAAAAAGATGAGTTCATGTCCTTTGTAGGGACATGGATGAAACTGGAAACCATCATTCTCAGCAAACTATCACAAGGACAAAAAACCAAACACCACATGTTCTCACTTATAGGTGGGAATTGAACAGTGAGAACACATGGACACAGGAAGGGGAACATCACACACCAGGGCCTGTTGTGGGGTGGGGGGAGCGGGGAGGGATAGCCTTAGGAGATATACCTAATGTTAAATGACGAGTTAATGGGTGCAGCACACCAACATGGCACATGTATACACATGTAAATAACCTGCACGTTGTGCACATGTACCCTAAAACTTAAAGTATAATTTAAAAAAAGAAGTTTTATGCATCAAAACAAAACACAACTAAACTAAACCAAAAACAGAAAAGCTATCCCAATAGAGAGAGAGAGAAAAATAAAAATAAAAACTTAAAGAATTGATCAAAAAGTAAATTGTTCTTAAAAAAAGTTTTCATTTTTGGATTTTGTAATGTTAGTTCTATTTGACAACTGTCCTTAAAGTTCCATATTTTGTGATGTTTTTCTATCATCATAAATCAATATTCCTTGTATTTTTTTGCATTGGTAATATTGTGCATTTTACTTAAATAAGGACTTCGAATTTGTAGCAGCCATAGGACTCACAAAACTTTGCTCAACCCCTGAGTCTACATGGATTGCAACATCAACCAATGCACCCATGACCTTTGCAGGAGAAATATTATTACATTTCTTTAGGTCCCGGTGAAGGAAAAGGTGTTGTCCAGCCTTACCAGAGATATAGCAGGGGAACAGGAGGGATGACAGCAGGTTCTTCTAAATTAATCTACTCCAATATTCCTTTGTGCTAGCGCTTTTGTTCCTTCCTTTAGTGCAGGGGCCAAAAATCCTTTCTTAGAGAGTACCAGACCACAAACATTTTAGGTTTTGTGAACTGTACAGTATCTGTCAAAACGATCTAACTGCCATTGTAGTACAAAAACATGCATAGATAAGGCATTACTGAGTTTGAGCATCTGTGTTCCAATAATACCTTATTTACAAAAACAAGCTGGCTGGCTGGGTTTGGCTCATGGTTTGGTTGATCTCTGATACAGAGTTTGCCAGAGCAGCTTTGCAATTCAACCCCACTGATTAAGATAAGTCAGACTGAATTCACTAACTTAGTTAAACTATCAGTGCTGCTTCCAGCTGCTTACAAAATCCTTGCTCCCTGTAGGGTATATCACCCTGTTTTTTTATGCTTTTTGGTCTAACACTCTCAGAATCCACTCCAATATGTTCCCTAGATTCCTGTCAATTGAATCTGCCACTTTTTTGGTGTATAGAATTCCTTTCTCCTACAGGAGTTTTTTACTCCTCCAACTGGGGTCTGTTGGAATCTGATTTTTATTGTGGGTCTGGGAGCCATGAAGGTGGTGAGCAGAAAAGACAAGTGCTCCAGGGGGAGTCACTGCAAGAGTTTCAAGAGAAGCCTGATTCTTTCACTCAGCAGAAAATCCTTACTTTACCAGATAAGGAACCTTTAGGATGACTTAAGGGTTAAAAGTTACTAGCCTTGCTTTTGTCTGCGGGGATATCTCCATCCCATATCTCAGTAACACCCACTCTTCCCTTAGATCTCCTTAGTAAAATAATTCTGGAGGGTCACATTCATTAGTGCTGCAGTTCTGTGACAACTGCAGTTGGGAACTGGGCTTGAGTTTCAGCCATATCTGCCCTGGAGCTATGGCAGATTAAGGCCATTTTTAAAGCTGTCTTGGCGGCCATCTGAGTTCCTCATGTGAGCCTTGAGTTGGGCTTACATTCCAGTCTTTTAGTTGGTTCACTTCCCTGGATATCCTTTTTAGAACCACCAGCAACAGCAGCCTGAGCTTTGCTTATTACACTTATCATTCTAGTTATGGCTACTGAGTCACAGTCATCTGCTCTCCAAATGCCTTGCCCTCTACCTGCCTTCATGATGCCACCATATGACACAGATCATCATATTCCATTTTCCCCGGCAAGGGAGATAATAAATGCATTCATTAAATATGTGAATGATTTAATACCAGAATTCCAATCTAAGGTTCTGCTTCCTCCAGCCAATTCTGGTGACAATTTCTATATCAGTCAAAGTCCTGGAAGAAATTGATGCACTCTCAGGAGGTGAATTGAAGAGATTTCATAGAATATAATGAGTAATTTATAATGGTGTTGGTTGTCCTGTGTTAGCCAACCATGAATAATAAGAACCCTAGCGTTGATAAGCATGGAGGCATTACTGCCCCAGGTCTGAAAGGGCAAAGAAAGGGAGCATTTATTGCAACACAGAAACCGGTAGCTGTAGAAGAAGACTGACCAGCAGAAGTTGTGCCTTTTAAAAGGAACGCAGCCAAAGCCAAAACGTGCATTGTTAAGAAAGAAGGCAGAGGAATAAATACCCTTGCTGCTCTCTCTCTTCCTACCATCTGATGACTGTTGGTGCTGTCTATTGGCTGACGCCAATCAGGAAACAGAATACAAAAGAGCTGAGTTTACATGACCCATAGAGGTAGCTTTCTGGGCCACAGAACAGGGAGAAAAAGATTAGAAAGGAGAGCCAAAGAGGCAAAACTAGAATATGCAGGACAGAGATCTTAGATTTTGATCAAGCTACTTATCTTCTACTAGTCTCAGTTTCTTTATATGCAAAATAATTTTTATTATCTACTAAATAAGCTACAATATGCAAAGTCTATGTGTCATGGCAAGTATTCACTAATTTATAGTTGCTTATCTTATTATTTTGAGATTAAACACAACAGAAGAATAGAATGGTCCATAAGTAATGTCATTTGGTGCTTAAAATACCTTGAATGAATGTGAAAAATATTTTACATATTATCTGAAAAACATGTATAAGAAAAACTTATTATTTGCATTGAAAGACAACTATATTTAAAGACAGATTATGGAATGGATGTTCAATAAACAGTAGTTTTTCTTTTCATTACTTGGAACTCTACAGAAAGAATATTCAAAAGAATCTCTTGTGGGGTAGAATTTCCCAAAACTAAAATTCTTGTTACACCTATACAATAAATTGTCAAAAGACGATCATCATTACTTGCAACCAATGGAACTTAAAGATTAATTATGTAAAAGGCTACATAATTTCCTAGTCCCAGAGAACTCCCCAAAATTACTTTTATTTATTAACCATAGTAGCTAATATTCATTCCAAAGGGAAACATATTTAAATGGCTACTTGCATATGAATTAATAGTGATTAGTGAATACCAAAGTAATTCTGCAATGACCACCAAAACAGAAGTACAAATGCTAAAGATAAGAAAACAAAGGATGTTAGAATTAACTAAAAGATTTCCTAACACAACTGCAATCATCAGGACATACTGGTCTTGTGTAATCAGCTTTCTTTTTTTCTTTCTTTTATTTTTGCTTTACATATACCATGGCCTATATATTAGCATAGTACCTGCTAATGCCAGCAAACACTTGCTGATGCTCTTTCTCTCTGATATCATCCAGGATGTTTTTTGATGTTTCATATGTTTTAGGCATGGAGTTTCTTAGAGGTAGAGAAAATATCCTTTATGGGCCAGGCGCAGTGGCTCATGCCTGTAATCCCAGCACTTTGGGAAGCCGAGGAGGGCGGATCACGAGGTCAGGAGACAGAGACCATCCTGGCTAACACGGTGAAACCCTGTCTCTACTAAAAATACAAAAACTTAGCCGGGCGTGGTGGCGGGCGCCTGTGGTCCCAGCTACTCGGGAGGCTGAGGCAGGAGAATGGCGTGAACCCGGGAGGCAGAGCTGGCAGTGAGCCGAGATCGCACCACTGCACTCCAGTCTGGGTGACACAGCAAGACTCTGTCTCAAAAAAAAAAAACAGAGAGAGAGGAGAAAATATCTTTTATAAGAAGAGGAAACTTTTACCAAATTATTAACTCTCCTATTTATAAGAGCTTCACAGAATCGATTCCTGGTTTTCAGAAGGCTGTTTTCAGCTCCAGAAAATTAACCCAGTGGGAAGGAAATTTCATCAATTGATTTTAGTTGCCTTAGATAATCCACAGGGGCAAGTAAGACCTGGACTACATCTCCACTGAAATGTGGGAGAATTTACAATTGGCATACAGCTGTTTCCTGCTACTGCCTTACTCTAGAGAGAGGATGACTTATCACTCAACTGAAGCTCCCAAAAGAAGAGCTGTAGGAGGCCTTGTTACCTCACACAGCTGGCTAAACTCATAACCTGCCCTGTCATGATTGCTATTCTGGGGCTTGATCGATAAAGACTCGGGTGTTCTCAATTCTGTTCTTTTCTTTGCAATCGCAACACTCAACAATTTCTTGCTTGATAACTATATGCAGACACTGCCCTCACTTCCCCAAGGAATTGCACTGTGCCTGCACATCCCTGTCACTTTCACAAAGAGGCAGATAATTTCCTCTCACTGGATAGGGTGCTATGTGGAAATGACGTGAAATCCGCTCAACCTGATTTCCAACATGTGCGTTCGTTTTCTCCCTATTCAGGTCATAGTGATTCATGAGAGAGAGAGGCAGAGCGGGAACTGAAGCAGTTTCAGCCTCACCAAAGTACCTTTCCCCTAGTTCCTCTTACTGTGCTCATTATCCTTTCTTTCCTGCTTACCATACATCGTTTACCAACCCTTTGAAAATTTAAACTACCAGGTTCATCTAGCTCTGGCACTGCTAGAACCGAGACTACAGAAGATGTCTGAGTCTTCCAAGCTATTTGGGTCAAACAAAACAAACAAAACCACACACAGCCACCGAGTTGGGTTATTTTAAGGACTTAGAGCTACAGAAGGCAATCTGTCAGCATCCGAGGCTGTTTCAAAACCACCTCCTCCCTCCGTGCTTGAGTCAAGAGCTGCAGTCTTTCTATCGCCCATAGCCATGCTGCAGCACTTCCTCAATCACCCTCTTCTCGCTGCACGCATTGACTTTCGGTTTCTTCACAGAGTCACTGACAGCTTGCAGCTTTGGCTTATCGATAGCCCCGTGGTTCTCTCCATCCATGACCTACCAGATGGCATTTTAGTTTAGTTCCCACCACTCACTGCCTTATTTAATTGGTATTTCTTGCCCCACATTTCCAAAGCAAGCCCGGTCTGGATTCTGTTTGGTTCAGCCATCTCATGGGTCTCCAGCTGCTTCCCTGTCCTGTAGGCGGCCTGCGTGAGGCGCAGTTCCTACTTCCAAGGTATTGTGGGGCAGTGGCTATTTTTGCAGGCTATTGTGAGGCAGCAGAGGTAAAGTATGAGTTGAAACATACAAACAAAATATGGCCCCTCAGCATTGTAGAACTTTTGCAGATAATGAATTTTAGAACCAAATAGAGCAGGACATTTGTTTTCACAGTGAGTCTTATGGCTCTACTTAGAATCTTGTCACTCTGTTTTGCAGTCACCTCTCCAAGTCATTGTCTTTTATTGTACCCTTGAGAAACAATACTGTTTCCATTCCAACCACTTTACTGAGTATTTTTACTCAGTGGTCAGGTCACAAATAATCTGTTAAGTTTTAAATTCAGTTGTCTTGTATTGCTGATTTCTCTGTCTTATTTAATGTATTATTCACTTCTTAAACTATTTCTCTTGTGGGTTTTTTGGCACTATATTATCTTCTTTCTTCTATGATTAATTTTGTATTTCTTTCTTTTAAATCTCCTCAGCAATCACCACTTAACTATGAGCATTTCTCAAATGTTTGCACTTTTGCTCCTCAAATTTTATATTGTTCTAATCTGAAGGCACCCATGAAGTCACTGCACTGCATGGTTACCTAAGTGCAGATTACTCCAACATTTTAAATTTCATATATTGATTTCATTCCAGCAGAACACTTCAGACTATCTGACTCAAATTTTCAAGAGGAGATTTCTTACCAGGGAATTGAAGTACATGCTCAAGCTGCTTACATGCCCATATGTTCTGTTTCCACTTAGGATAAAATATTTTCTAGTCCAGTACTACAAAATCCTTCCTTGTATTTGACCCTTCACACAGATCTCAATACATGTATCTATTGCTATTCAAGTCATGATATCCATTGCAATGCAGAATGGTAAGTAATTTATTCACAGTACCGATTGATATTACAAACTTTTAAGCAGGGTACGGCAAAAGCATTAGATACTTTATGTATTAAAGAAGCTGTTAACTGTTTTAACAGATAACTAACTCCCAATCCCAAAATTGTATAGTGTAAGCTCAAAAGCTTACACTATAGAAGTTTATATCTCTCCTTGGTAAGATCTGCTCAGGACTCCCTGATCAGTAAGTGACTCTCTTCCAATGTCTGGTATTCTCACACAGAGACTACTGTGTATGTATTTAGATGAAAACAAATGTCTGTGTTACTGGGAACTGGAATTTTGACATGAGAGAAATAAATACATAATTAAGAGAGAAAAAATTTTAAGAGAACACCTGTATTATCAATAAAAATCAGATGAATGGCATCTCTTATTAAAAAAAAAATAAAGATACCCTCATCCGGCCCACAGAAAATGACTAGAAACACTGACCCACTCAAAAGGAATGAGCACTACTGGTACCTAGGATCAGGACTCTTAGGGAAAAAAAAAGGCATTATTCTGAAAACTTATAGAAGAAAAGGAAGGAGTCAAACATTCATCTTGCATTCTCTTTTTAACCCCTTCTCCAGGAGTCAGTTTTCATCCATGACTGGTGAGCTCATAAAAATAAACTGATATTGAGTAGGATGCAGTGGCTCATGCTTGTAAATCCAGCATTTTGGAAGGCTGAGGTGGGAAGATCGCCTGAGCTAAGGAATTTACCAACCTGGGCAACATAGTAAAACCTCATCTCTACAAAACGTTAAAGAAGAAGAAGAAGAAGAAAAAAAAAAAAAAAAGCCAGGCACACACCTGTAGTCTTAGCTACTCAGGAGGCTGAGGCAGAAATATTGCTTGAGCCCAGGAGGTTGAGTTTGCAGTGAGCTACATTTGTGCCACTGTACTTCAGCCTGGATGACAGGGTGAGATTGAGAAAGAAAGAAAAGAAAGAAAAGAAGGAAAAGAAAAGAAAGAAAGGAGGAAGGAAGGAGAGAAAGAGAGAGAGAAAGAAAGAAAGGAGGGAGGGAGGGAGGGAAGGAAAGAAGGAAGGAAGGAAGGAAGAGAAACTGATGTTATGTTCTTTAAATATGAGTACACAACATTATTACATGTGAAGAATTTTTTTACCAAAACCAAAATAAACTAGAAGACAAGCCATTTTTCATCAACCAATTTACAAAAAATATAGGGAACAGCTGAAACTGTTAAGTGACATGGCAGGGCTTCAATCAGTAAAATGCAGACTCTGAAAACTCTACAGGACAAACAATCTGATTCTTCAAAATACAAAATTCATGGAAAACAAAAAGACTAGGATGGGGGACCTAAAATATAGTTATGGAACACTAAACAATTACAATATATGGACTTTGCATATTTATTTGAATAAAAGTACTAAGGCTAAGAAATTTCAGCACTATTATTTATGATATGAAAAAAATTATTGCTAATGTTTAGGTATAATGATATTGTGGTTATGTTTCATGTGAGTTTTGTATTTTAGGGACTGGCTTTCCTATGTTTGGAGATGAAATATTACGTTGTCTGGGATTGTTAAAAACAATTCTGAGTCAAAGAGAAATTGGCAGGGATTTAGAGGAAACAAAAACTTCCCATGATTTGATGATTGCAGAAGCTGAATAATTGGAATATATTTGTTCATTATACTACTCTATGTAGTATTTCATGGAGTTGAAAGATGTTATGAGACATGTTTTTTAAAGAAGTTTTGGGGTGGGAAATGGGCAGAAATGGAATGGTATGTGTGGTTGAGATAGGGGAAACCGAATAAGCCAAAAGGAAGGAAATATTTTAAAACCCAGAGTGCTATATACATGAAAAGATAGTGTTTTCAGGCAGTAGTTTCCATTTCATACTTAGAAACAATGAGCTATTAGACTGAAAAGAATGTTGGGCCATATTGAAGAGCTTTTACAGATGTGCTGATAACCTTGGAGACAGGAGACAAGTGAGAAATGTATCCAACGTGGAGGCAAGAAACAAATATCTGTGTCATGGAGTAGGTCAGGGAATTGGGATGAGGGCACACTACATGAGAAATGTGGCAGAAACCCATCTTATGCAATGAATGAAGAAACTCAATGTGGAGGTAAAGGAGGAAGGGAGAGAATGAAGACATTTTCAAAATTTTGGAAACTGGTGATAGGAGGAGTTTTGAAATACGACTACTAATAAAAGAGCCTAGGAAAGAAGGCTATTGGGATGTGTGGGAGATGCGAGGAAAGGGAAAATTATTCTCAACTTCACCGCTCCCAGCTCATAACAAATTCCTTTCAAGTGTTTCTTCTAATTATCGCCTATGCCCATCATTTCCTTTTTTTATTGACACTACCAATTTACTGGTAAAAACTGAAAGCTCAGACTGTTCCTTGTCCAAATTTTCTAAATCCTTCCTTTGAGCAAACCAATGTCTGCCTTATTCAAAATGCTATGATAGTTCCCCACTGACCTACAAACAAAGTCAAGAATTTTTAGTGTTACACTTTTATTCTCTAACTACTGCCTTCATCTCTAGGGCAATTTCCTACTAAACTCAACATGATATTAAATTTACATCAGGCTAGTCTTTTACCTGAAGTCTGACTTCATGATTCTTTCAATATTCTATTTTTATTTATGAAAAATATTCTCTGTGCCTCAAGGCACAGCTGTGTTTCCACTCTCTCTGTATGGGTTGTTCTGAAAACTAAGCCACAATCAATTTTTTTTCCTATTTGAACAACTTCAGCATTACACAGAGATGCTGTGTCCATCTATCCTAGTGTTACACAAGGCAGATTTGTCCAGTGTGCAGTCCACGTGACAACATGGGTCTGCATCTGCCCTTTCTTGGTCTGTGGCCTTGGTTTGATATCTTGACTTCTCCGAGTCTCAGGTCTACATTTCCAGTGACTTCTCATCTTATTTCTTGTTAAAACTAAATTCCTCGCCCAGGTCTGCAAGGGTCTAGGTGATTTCACTTCCGTCGGAATCTCTAATTTCTTCCTCTTCTAGCTCCTCTCTTGCTCAGTTGGCTCCAGCATGAGGCCTCCTTGTGGTTCTTTGATGACAGTGAGCATTATCCACCCAAAGGCAACCTTGTGTCTGCTTGTCTGGCTCTTCAGCAGATGGTCACATGGCCCAACTCCTCCTTCCTTCATTCTCTGCTCAGTTGTCTCCTTGTCAAGGAGGCCTTCCCTAACCTTCCTCATTGATATATCTCCACCACCCCAACCTACATACTCCCTCTTTCCCTAAGCTTAGTTTTTTTCTTTTCTTTCTTTTTTTTTTCAACATTAGCATCACTTTCCATGTTGTATGTGATGTGATTATTGACTTCCCTGCCTGGAAGATGAGCTCTAGGAGGGAAGTTATTTTGCCTTTATTCACTGATCTATCAACAAAATTAGAACAAATAAATCATGTTGGGGATTGGCTCATATTAGGCTCTTTATTCTTTATAATATTTTTAAAAATTAATACCTTACTATTTGTTGTGTAGAAATAAAGTGAGATAACTGATTCATGGTGCTCAATTAGTGGAAATTTTTAATAACATTTATTATCTAGTTTAGATGATTTTATTTGAAAAATATTATAAACCTATTGAGCATGGATTATGTGTCAATTACCTTCTTCCTTTAATTATTTGAAGCAAGAGGTGAGCTTTTCTTGTCTGCTTTTTTGGAAGTATGGAAGAGAAAGAAGTAGTATCTATTTCCAAGTTTTGAAATGGTCAGATCAAGGAGAGGAACCACATGTAACTTTTATTATTTCCAGGACTTCAGTCATTTTTTCTACCTTAAGTATGGGATCACTCCTTTAAAAACTCTAACTTTTCTCTCTTATTTCAGTTTTTAGACAAATTTAGAATCAGAAATTTGTTTGTGGGTTTCCAGGAAAAAATGGTGCCATGGCAAGAGTGTGAAAATGAAGGGAAGGCATTTACATGAAAGAACAAAGGGGTAATTTGGACTACGAGCCTTGCCATGAGTCAAGTTCTGGCGCCTGCACATAGAAGAGAACAAGAACAAATGTTCAAAACAAAAGCAAATGAAGTCAGGCCTGTAGACATTGAATACATCCTAGAAAATACGGTATGCATTTTGTCTTCAGTAAATAGTTTAGTTGTTCTATAACTGCAATTGTTCTCACTACTGTTTTGAAGCACAAAGCTTATAGGCATAGTACTAGAAAAATCATTTGGGGAAATGTTTTCCCATAATTTAATCTAATATTTTCTGTAAGTATAATTTCAAAGCTAAACCATTCATTAGCCAGTCCACCCACTTCTAGTTCTGTGAGTAAATGTATTTAACTTACTTTAGGTGAGGGGAGGAGAGTAAAGGGCTTTAAGGGGAGGAGAGAAAAGGGCTTTAAGGGGAGGAGAGAAAAGGGCTTTAAGGAAAGCTGATGACTCTAGATAGTGATAGGCTAACTAGGCGGCAGCAGCACCATAATAATGAACACAGCTTGATCTAGGAGGTATACAAATAGGAGACATTTTGTAAATATAAACAATTATATTTGTTCATATTTTCCAAAGTCTATAAAATAATTCATAATGCTTCACATTCTGCTATTTACTCAGCTACAGATTACGCTCAAGATTGTTTTCCACATCGTAATAATTTTGATAATCCTTTTTTGTCATTTCAATTTTTTTATTCTTACCTCTTGTAGATGTAATATAAGTTAAAAATGGTTGATTTGAAACAGAAAATGTAAACATCACTAGCTTTCAAGATTGAAAAAGCAAATGATTAATTAAACATTGATGCTATCACAAAGTAAATTTTATCTATACTTGCTTTAAATACGTACATACTGGAAATTAAAATAAATTACAACTATAAATGCTTTTTATTAAATTTTTTTTAAAAAAACAAATGACCTCTACAAATCCTTACTGTCCTCTAGTGATCTCAAATACCACCTGGAAAGGAATCCATATTTCTACTACAATAATTGTGTAGTTTGTCTTGAAAATGTTATTCAAGGACAGCTTCTACTCAGAAAATTATAATCAAAAATATACAAAAGCACTTCGGTTATAAAATAGATAAAAATATTAGCATGAATGTCAACAGGAGAAGACTGTATGAATATTGGTTTGAGTAATAAGTCTTGAGTCTCCATTCACAGCCAAACACTTCAGAGCTTTGACAAATGTATGCTTTTGGTAAATGTCTATTTATCATGACATACATTGAACTAAACATTATACATTAGGATCTAACATTCTTCCACTCAAAAGCAAAACAAACAGAATTAGTTTCCAATGATTGCTTTGTCACTTATTAGCTGTGAGACTACAAGCAATTCACTTTAACTCTATTAGCCTGTTTTCCTATTTCAAACATTGTCATGATCAGTAATGTCCGTCTTGGGACAGGCATGCAATGTCCATCACCATGACCAATGGCATGTCAAGAATGGTCAACAATCCATACTCTATGGTCACTGGAATTTACTCTGAGAGAAGGGATTCTTCTAGTCACTAGTTGAGTTATCCCAAATTTCTTCTGTTTGCAAGATGCACAAATCAATTCTTTATTCCCAAAAGCCTTTTTGCACAAAGCTGCTCCAGGCTTGTTAACAGAAAGCCATTTCTGGGCCCATCAGTAATCAGTTGACATTAGAGTAAAGAAAAATGTCATAATTACAGATATGGCATAAGAATGACCACCAAGTATGAAATAGCAGTAGGAGCAAATGATTAATGTGATAACATATGTTCCACAATGCAATTCTATTTATTTAGAATTATCACTTGAACTTTTTGTTAAATAAAATCAGTACAATTTTTAAGAAGAAGTACCACTTAGGCTGGCAGGTTTGCACACTTTTTTTGGGCAGATTTGTTTACCTCTCACCATATTACATTTTTAATGAAAAGAACATGCTATATGCAAATAAAAAGCATATTGCTTTCCTTGTGTGATGATTTCAAATTCTCAATTATTCAGAGAGGTAAAAATTTTAAAAGTGTAAAAACAAACAGGTGTATTGTTATTATTTAGGAAATGATATTTTACAGAGGGCTTTAGTCACACTGCTTTGTCCTTGGAAACTAACTTATATCATAGGCTTAAAACATAAAATTAATTTGGTATCATTGCTACAAGATTATTAATTCTGCTATGCATTAATAGTTTACTCACATAAAAAAATCTGATTTTATTTGCTATGATGTCATTGAATAAATTTCCTTAATCCCGACAAAAGATGTTTTTTTCTAACTTTGGGTTCTTACACCTACAGATATAGAAATGATTTCTCATATATTATTATTTGCCTTTTTAGGCTATTAAACAGTATAACCTTGTTTAGCTTGCTTCATCAAATATGCATGCTTTTAGCAATCTGATTCCTCATAATACCACTCACATTGTGCACTGGCAGCATTTCTGTTCCCTCTAATGTTTCTGTAACAGTCATACCACCAAGGAGGAGGCTGGGAGGAAGCATAGACTGCTGAAAATAGCAGCGTACCAGATTCTGTGAAGTGCTAGACCAATAATTTATATGTGGAAACACTACCAACAGTCTGGAATGCGACACCATGTTATGCAAGCAAGGGAAATATTGAAATTTATCTTCCTTTGAACAACAATGAAAAAGGCAGCAAACTGTGGCAAAGCAAGCTATGAGGTCACTGCAATGTCATTGTGAATGCAGCTAACACTTGTGTCCTACTTTCCGGCACAGTTAGATTTTGATACGCTTTTCTTTTACATATGCATATGTGTGTGTAGACATGTGTATATACCATCATAAATGTAAACGTTTTCCTCAGGCAAATTAATAATTCTTGAATTGGCAGGAAGGAAATATCTCCATTGTTCTGAATATATTTGCCCTGTGTTTGATGAATCTATGTTGACAAAAATAATTATGTGCCTCCCACTCTTTTTGGAATTAAAATGTGTAGGTCAGGAAAAACAAGTACACATTTCAGGGGTTTTGTTGAATGATTTTCTCCTGTCTTTGTACTTGAGTCACTGAACTTTTTCAATGTGTCAGAGCTGCCAGCAGCTACCTCTCCCCTAAATATTGATTTTGACAGCTTTTCTGCATCATCACTGGCATATTCTATGCAATGTTTAGTTACACAATGAGGACCTGTGTAATCAAAAAATAAACTTAAATACATTTCCCTAGGTTCATAGGAATTACAGGCTGTGCTGTGCAGTGGGTTACTGTGGTCAACAGAAACCAGTCAAGATTATTTACAAAGTAATTTATTTATTTATATATGCAAAATGCTCATTCAACAGATCATAGGTTGGAAAAAAATTAAGGAAAAGATGACTAATTTTTTGAAATATTTTCTTTAGGCCAGTGCTCTGCATTTACCACTCACATTATGGAAATTAGGCCATTTTATTCTTAGTCTTCTAACTTTGTAATCATAAAATATTGTAAAAAAAAACTCAGAAAATTTGAATTCTAGTTTTTTTTTCATCTGTAACACATGAAACCATAAAATAGTGAAACTTTTCAGGATCTTACAAAATTAGCGTACAAAATGAGTGTTGGGGAATTGATTTTCAATGTATTCTTGTTAAATGGTATAATGAAGTTGCTAAGAACATTGTTACAAATACTTCAAAAACACTGAAATTGTTTTGTACAAAGAAAGGGTAGAGGGGCTTGTTACCTTGACTGCTCAGTCTGTCTCCTTAGCCTGTGGTACTAAGAAGTGGAGAGCTAGATGACTGGACTAGATGGATTTCAAGGGTGTTTGCAACTCTCTAATTTTGATTCTCCAATTTTTGTAAATATCCTAAGGCCTGTGTTAAAGTGCAGAGATGATTAAAAGTCATGCTCTGACACAGTGATTTTGTAAATATAGACATAGTTTATAAACTTTGATTTTTCTTAAAACAAAGATGGAGTTAGAAAAAAATCTAAAATATATTGAAATATATAGGATGATTTCTCTTCAAAAGGAACACAAGATGTGCCAAAATTTTTAAGTAACTTACCAAAATAATATTTTAGGGGAATGAATTATGTAATTATATGGATAATTTTATTGCCAACCTAGCGAAATGTAACCTTGATCTACTTTTGGTTATGTAAAGATTTTTAATTGTCACTTTTTACACTCTTAAATTTCCAGATATATTTAAAAAGAAGGCAAAATTAATTAAGATAGAATAAATCACAAAGAACTCATTAACCAAAATACAAAAAAAGTAGAGAAAATCCAGTTTTAATGAAACCCTAGTAATACAATGATAGTTATAATTGACAAAGATCTTTTTGAAACATATTCCTGATTCCATTTCTTTATAAGAATACATGAAGTATAATTCAAAAATTTATTTGATTTTCAATTCTTATGGGTGATATTTTAATAATTGTAATTTATTATAAGAAAAGGGAAATTTTAAAATGGTTTAAGTGATTGGCATACATTTTGAAATCAGCAAATTTCAGCCCCAAAGGATTTAGGCAGTGTTTTTCGCCACCAAGCAAATTAAGCTATCTACTATGCATCATTTATTTCATATTAAACATCTCTCTGTTACAAAGACATAATAATATCTCTAGCTATTATTGTATCAGCAAAATGTTTGTATTGATTGTATGTCAAATATTATATCAGGGAAAAGCATATCAGAGAATGTTGCCTCCATTTCCAACCTTCAATCTTTACTCCATCCTTCTTTACTTCTCAAAGTGTTACAATTTTACAACTCATAATGGGAGTTCTATATCCTATGTATTTAGATAATATTCAGACAGCTACCATATTTTTTTATTATACTTTAAGTTCTAGGGTACATGTGCACAATGTGCAGGTTTGTTACATATGTATACATGTGCCATGTTGGTGTGCTGCACCCATTAACTCGTCATTTACATTAGGTATATCTCCTAATGCTATCCCTCCCCCCTCCCCCCACCCCACAACAGGCCCTGGTGTGTGATGTTCCCCTTCCGATGTCCAAGTGTTCTCATTGTTCAATTGCCACCTATGAGTGAGAACATGCAGTGTTTGGTTTTTTGTCCTTGCGATAGTTTGCTGAGAATGATGGTTTCCAGCTTCATCCATGTCCCTACAAAGGACATGAACTCATCCTTTTTATGGATGCATAGTATTCCTTGGTGTATATGTGCCACATTTTCTTAATCCAATCTATCACTGATGGACATATTTTGATGTTTGTTCTTGGGATAGATAAATACAGTCTCATATTCACAGGTTTAGAAAGTTAGATACAAATTGAGCATTCCTAATCTGAAAATCTGAAATGCTCCAAAATCCGAAATTGTTTGAGTGCCCACATGACACCACAAGTGGAAAATTCCACACCTGACCTCATGTGACAAGTGCAAGTCAAAACACAGACAGGTGTGCGACATTGAGAGTGTGGATTCACCAGCATCACAGTGAACACAGACCACCTAATGGTATCTGATTATGAAACAATCAAAGATTTATCACAATGAAAACTGAAGAGAACTATGAATACTTAATAGCTTGGTTGCAGAAATCTAATAAAAAACACAGCATCAAATTTTTAAAGGTTTGTAGTGATAAATCATCTACCCATCATGAAGCAGTGGAGCATCTACCCATCATTTTCAAGTTTGCCATGGTCATCACTGATGAAACAACCCCATCAAAAAGTGGGCGAAGGATATGAACAGACACTTCTCAAAAGAAGACATTTATGCAGCCAAAAGACACATGAAAAAATGCTCATCATCACTGGCCATCAGAGAAACGCAAATCAAAACCACAATGAGATACCATCTCACACCAGTTAGAATGGCGATCATTAAAAAGTCAGGAAACAACAGGTGTTGGAGAGGATGTGGAGAAATAGGAAGACTTTTACACTGTTGGTGGGACTGTAAACTAGTTCAACCATTGTGGAAGTCAGTGTGGTAATTCCTCAGGGATCTAGAACTAGAAATACCATTTGACGCAGCAATCCCATTACTGGGTATATACCCAAAGGATTATAAATCATGCTGCTATAAAGACATGTGCACACGTATGTTTATTGCGGCACTATTCACAATAGCAAAGACTTGGAACCAACCCAAATGTCCAACATTGATACACAGGATTGAGAAAATGTGGCACATATACACCATGGAATACTATGCAGCCATAAAACATGATGAGTTCTTGTCCTTTGTAGGGACACAGATGAAGCTGGAAACCATCATTCTCAGCAAACTATCGCAAGGACAAAAAACCAAACACCGCATGTTCTCACTCATAGGTGGAAATTGAACAATGAGAACACATGGACACAGGAAGGGGAACATCACACACCAGGGCCTGTTGTGGGCTGGGGGGAGGGGGAGGGATAGCATTAGGAGATACACCTAATGTTAAATGACGAGTTAATGGGTGCAGCACACCAACATGGCACATGTATACCTATGTAACTCAACTGCACATTGTGCACATATACCCTAAAACTTAAAGTATAATAAAAAAAAAAAGGAAGAAAATCTGATGCCAAAACAAGTCTATAATGCGAATGAAACTTCACTGTTTTGGTGTTCCCTGCCAAAATTGACTACAGCCAATGAGACAGCTCATACAGGAATTAAGAATGCCAAGAACAGAACACCTGCACTGTGCTAATGCAGCAGGCGTACATAAGTGTAAACTCGCCATGATAGGCAAAGCTTGCATCCTCACTGCTTTCCATGAGTACATTTCTTACTAGGTCGTTACTATGCTAATGAAAAAGGATAGGTCATCAGGGGCAGCTTTTCTGACTGGTTTCATCACCATTTTGTACCAGCAGCTCATGTTCACTGCAGGGAAGCTGGACTGGATGAGGACTGCAAGATTTTGTTATTCCTTGACAACTGTTCAGCAGATCCTGCAGCTGAAATTCTCTTTAAACATTCATGTTTATTTCATGTGTTTTCCCCAAATGTGACTTTATTAATTCAGCTGTGTGACAAAGGTATCCTTAGATCAATGAAAATTAATATAAAAAATACTTTCTTGAATACCATGCTAGCTAGCATCAGTGAATAGTGGTATAAATATGAAAGTTTCTAAAAAGGAACTTAGCATGAAGGATGCTGTTTTGGCTTTTGCCAAGGCTTGGAACACAGGAACTAAATACATAGCTATGCATGTCTAGCATACCCTCTGGGTCTGCAACTATGCTCAGTGATGAGGATTAATAAGGTGGTGACTTTGAGGGATTCTGTGTATCAAGTGAGAATAAAATGTTGTCTGACCTCTTTACATATGCAAAAAATATACCTTCAGAGTCCCTCAGTAAACTGGATGAAGTGAACATTGAAGAATGTTATAGACGTTATTGATATTAAGGCTCAGTTGTTCACTCATTGACTGATGGAGAAATAGCCAAAATGGTTCAGAATCAAGGTGATCATGATAATAGTGGCAATGAAGATGACATTGTTAACCCTGCAGAGAAAGTGCCTACAGAAGACATAATGAAAATGTTTAATCAGCTTATTGAAGGACTGGAGCAGCATGGATTCATAGAGCAAGAAATCATGTCAGTTTATAAAATCAAAGAGAGGCTTGTAAGAAAAAATATTGTTAATGAGGGAGATGACTGGAGGAAACACTTTAGAAGCCATCCAGCCGAATATGTCCTCTTCCCCAGAGGACCCACTTCCTAATCCCTCGACTGCTTCTGATGTTTCTTCTCAAATAAAATAATAATAATACAGCGTACAGTAACTTTTAAATTAAAATACAGACTCGTAGGTGGAGACTGGAAGCCTTCCTTTGTTTGTTATTGCTATTTTGTAACAGCTTGTTTATTGTGATGCTGCTGCTATACTGCTTAGTTACCTTCAGCATATTATTTTTTATTGCATGAATGGTATGTCAATTTTTAACTGTTAAGTACTTACATGTGAATAGGTATAAGAAAATGATTGCTTATGTGTAGCATATAAATTCAGAGACAGGAATAATGTTGGTGTCAAACAAAATATTAAAAATATTATCTAAAATTACCTTCAGACTATGTCTATAAGGTAGATACGAAACATACATTGATTTTCTGTTTAGACTTGGGTTCCATCCCCAAGATATCTCATCATGTATTTGCAAATATTTCAAAATTTGAAAGTGGTGTGTTCCCATGGTCTGTTCCAAATCCTTGATTTGACCCTGGGTAAATAGATTCAGGTCCACAATGAAGTAGCCCTGGTTTTGAAATTGCGGCTCTTCTTAAATCTTGACATTTCTCAGAGATGGACCAATCTCATAAACAGTCTTCATGTCTTTTCTCTAGTATCATTTGAATGCTCCGAATTCTAGTTCTTTGCTCAAAAACTAATGGATGCTGAAGCTGTTCACCCAAATACTGATGGTTGTAATGTGATTAATTAAGAATACATTTAGAAAAATATACACTATGGTTTAATTCAATCATTAGGTTGTATGTGTTAAGAGCTGGTTATCAGCCGGTTATCTGCAGTGCAGTGTACTATGTACTTGAAATAGGCATGTTTTATAGAAAAGAAACAGTTATGTTATACTTTACTTCACATAATTTTATGTTATATATGGTTGTCAAACATAAACATCTTGAAAACGTTAAAGCCTGATAACTTGAATAGCATTCTAGAAAGTAAGGTTTTGGCATCATTTGGCAACTGACCTTCATAAGAATGAATTCCATGAGTAAATAAATACTACATATTTCTTTTTGCTTTGCAATCTCACTGGTAGAAAAGGAATGAGTCAATCACTCTTACTTAGAGACTCAGGAGGCATGATGAAAAATGTATTTCAGCTCATTGCATAATGAGCAAAAGGCTACATCAAATAGTAATGGTACAATGCAAATAGGTAGCTTTGGACCTTCCAGTGCTCTGGAACATACATTAGTATATTTTCCCTAAAATTATTTTACGGTATATGCAGGAAGTTTTCCTCTACCCATTTTGAAACAAGAATATCAAATAATGAATTACACTTAACTTAAGAGACATTGTTGGGAGATAAGATTTTTGCCTCTGGAGTCAAGGCAACAAAGCCTAGTAGTTGTTGATAATGATGAGAGAATAAATAAAAGATAAATTTAGGTGAAGAGTAGGGGACTTGTCTCAATAATCTACAGAAATTTTGAATTTCATTTTGTGAAAAATGGAAATCATTGAAGATTTTGAATGAGGAAGTTTGTAATGAAAGCTGCATGAAACAACCACTGTTAAGAGGTTTTTATTATCCCCATTTTACAGGCAAGAACATTAAGGTTTAAGACTATATCATATAACCAAGGACACACAGAGAAGTGCTAGCAGATCCAGAATTCAAAACTAGGCCTGTCTGACACATCGATTTCCTTTTGCCCAAAGTAGAAGATGAAGAAAACTTAGAAGGAAAGAGATGGAGGTGGGAGGTGGCTGGAATAGGCAGTTTAAAGATGGAAATGAATACTTTCAGTCATTATTGACATATGGGCTAAGAAGGAGAGACGGAGAAGTTAAAAGATAAATTTCATATTTTGAAATCAGGAAAATGAATCATTAATATGAATTACCACATTGCAGAAACAAAGCCTGGCATGAAAAGTCAATCCTGTACAATGTTATTTTAAATTATTTAAAAAGAATGGTAGAAAGCATCTATTGACTGAAGGTGTTTACTATATTAAAAATGACTGACTTCTAAATATGATGTCTCTTGTTTAATTACTAAGTCCTTCATATAAATCATTGTATTTGACTCTCACAACTTCATGAAATGTACTAGTGATGTAGAAGTTACGGCTTAGAGAGGATAGGTAATTTGGTCAATGTTATGCAGTGAGTACATGACAAAGTTGGGGTCATAAATTTTTGATTTCTCATTCCACATCCAAGATACCAGGAAGTTCTTAGTGTGTGATAAATAGTCGTATGCATTTTCAACTTTCTTCAATCAAATGGAATACACATACATTCCAAACTAAATAGAACTAGTTAGCAACCTATTGAAATGGAGCAAGGGAGATTTAGATAAGTTTAAGGCAAGATGTCTATTTCAACAAAGATATAAATATCCTTACTAAGGCAGAGGTGAAGTAGTCTTACCTTTCAAACTGTGATTAAGGCAGACAGCCCTCTGCCCTAACAAGATGATGTATGGTCCTTTTGAAGGCTGTGAAGGTGGTCTAATGACCTTGGCAATTCCATCCTATATCCTAAGTATGTAACATAATAATGAAAATGTAATTACAGTCTTCACACCTATTCTCATTTTTTTTCTTTAATTCTATGATACTGAGTAAGTAGGCAGTCTCATTCCGAGTGAACAAATGTCCCTTTTCCATAGGCATTCACTTCATGTGGAATTTCAAGTTTTCCTTAACCCTACATTCCTTACTGCCATCTCATCCTTTTGGCTTTTTTTTTTTCTTTTTATTAATTAGAGAACCCATAAAACCCTTCAAGGATTTTTCTTGTAGAACACCTATAATAATATGTGTCCATCACACACAGAACACAAGCATGTGTGTGCACATCCTGACAGTATTGAAATAGGTCTGTCTTGAAGGCAATGAGTACGGCTCCTATGACAGAATGTTTCCTTAGAATCTCAAACTTGGTTTTCCGGAATAATAGCTTAAAACTCAGTCATTTAAGAGAACGTGATAACATGGCAAACTTTTATTTAACAATTACTATGCATAATAATTAACAGTTATTATATATCAAACACTATTTTTTCAAATAAAATAGAGAAAGCAGTGATATTTTGACAATCCAGTTAATTGATTAATCTTGGTAGAAACATTTTTTACAATTCATTTTACCCTTCTCAGACTCTAGTGGTATGACTTAAGAGAAATACCAAAATTCCAAAGTGTCTAGCAGTTCTTCCACTTGCTAACAGTTGGGACAGATAATCATTTAGGGCAGCAAGTTTATGAGGCTTCGATACAGCACTATTTGTTACGCATTGAGCTGAAGGGAGGCATCTCAGAAGAGGACACAGTCTTAAAGAAAGAAGAGTTGCTGTAACTTCTCTGTTACACCAACTTTTAAGAACTCATTTGTTACATCAAAGATGGCTGGTAAGAATTGTCTTTTAGAGGAAAATAAATGGTTATGTACTGATTAATGAGCTATAGAACAGGGAAGCATATTGAGATCCAATAGATCTGGAGTCCCAGGAAACAATCTCAGAATTCTGAGAAATAAAACTGGGAAAAATTCCAGACACACGTTTCTTTCAAATTTCAGCAGATTGCTTTGTGGAGCAGAGAAAACTCTCATTTGTTTAAGAATGAATTTGTTTTTAATTTCAAAGTATACATTACCTCAATATACAGCAGATACATGGGTTAGACATTCATTGTCTCTATAATGTCTCTATCACATAATTGTAAAACTTGGGAATATAATTCTCATGTTATTTAGTAGAAGGTTTAGAAATTCACATAAGAAATGCCCTCATGAATTAAATTAAGTCCAGAGAGAATGAAAAGAAGGGATAGTAGATTATTATTGCAAAATATTTTGTCAGGTAACAGTGGCTAATGAATGACATGGTGCCATCCAAGGAATATAAATTTGAAAGTCAAACATTTTTCCGGTGTATCTGCTTATTCTTTTCTAATCACCTAGTGGCCTCTCAGAAATAAACAAAAGAATTTTGTGAAAGGGACTCTAACACATCATTTTGTTTGATTTTAAAGATGTCTACCGTATTAGTCTGTTTTCATGCTACTAATAAAGACATACCTGAGACTGGGTAATTTATAAAGGAAAGAGGTTTGATGGACTTACAGTTCCACATGGCTGGAGAGGCCTCATAATCATGGTGGAAGGCAAAAGAGAAGCAAAGCCACGTCTTACATGGCGGCAGGCAAGAGGGCTTGTGCAGGGGAACTCCCATTAGTAAAACCATCAGCTCTCATGAGACTTATTCACTACCATGAGAACAGTATGGGGAAACTGCCCCCATGATTCAATTATCTTCACCTGATCCTTCCCTTGATACATGGGGATTATTACAATTCAAGGTGAGATTTGGGTAGGGACACAGCCAAAACATATCACATACTGTAACAGAACTTTATGTGACATATATAAATGGTTATGAGACTTATTTTAACATTCTTATTTAATGAGAAAAGCATTATTTCTTTTTTTAAAAAAGAAAATAGGTAATAAACTCCAATCAACCAGTTAAAAATTATAAATATCCACACAATACTTTAACGGGGTTTGACTTTATATAGTGTTTTGTTTTGAATTGTACTTACGTCCTTAATATGTAAGTAGTAATTTATTACCCATGATTTTAAATAGTATCCCTCATAATTTTAACTGGATTTGCAGTAACCTTTTTTGTGTGTTATAATTTAATCAAAGTTTTATAACAATATGTTAGTTTTTTTAATACTTAAATATTTTAAACAATATGTTACATGTCAATTTCTCTTGCAGTAAACTCTTAGTATGAAATTTGGCCTCAAATGTATGCATATTCAAAGCTCTAGATACATTTTGCCAACTTGCCCACCATAAAGAACCAATTTAAACTTCAGTGAAATGTATGACCATATATCTTTACCACAGCCTTGCAAACAATGCATAACGCATCTTAGTTCCCCATTTTATAGGTAAAATGACATTTTTCTTATTGCTTGAACTTACATTTTTTGCTTATTTTTCTACAATTTATCATATGGACTTTGGCCATTTGCTTCCTATTCTCAGCATCAGTTACATCCTTTGTCCACTTTTCTACTGGTGTAGTCAACTAGTTAATATTAGGACATGTTTATAAAATCAATATTATATTAAAGTTATATACTACAAATTATGTGCTGGTAGTTTTACTTTTTACTATACAGAAAATTCATGAGTGTTAAATTAACAGCTCTTTTCCTTATATTCTCTTTCTTTGCCTATTTTATGCCAATAGCGTAAATTCACTTATGTTTCATTTCAGTAATCCTATGGCTCCATTCTTTATATCTGAATGTTTAATTCATCTGGATTTTATTAGGGTATGTGTTGTGAGGTAGGGGTTTAACTTTGTTTTCTTTTTCCACATGGTTAGCCAACTGGACCAGTACCACATGTTAAATAATGTATTCGATTCTCTCACAATGTAAAATGTCATCTATCTCATACTACCTTCAAGTGCATGTACGATATACACTTGGCCTGCATATGGGCTCCCTTTACCATGCCATTTATTGGTCTGTGTAGTCCTGCAAACCCATTTGACACCTTAACCACAGGCAATTTGGAAGACATAAGACCCAAGAGTTTCCTAAGGGTGGAGGATGGGCAGAGTAGGAGGGGGTTGAAAATTGATGGCAGGAAGTACCACACAGGGTTTAGTCTGCAGAGGAATAAAAGTGCAAATTTTTGAAAAGTCTAAAGTTCTCCTTTCTCTTGACACAAAATGTATCAGAAAGAATCCACAGGAAGAAAGCGTTATCAGGAGGAGAAAAAAAATGATGACAAGAACAAGAAATAAAGTTTATGTTTTTGTTGTTGTTGTTGTTTTTTCCCTTTCTTTCCTACAGTCACCCCGGCTGAGGAACATGTAGTGTCATTCTGAGCTTCAAAGTGAGGTCAGCACACAGCTAAGGAGATGGAAGAGATGGTCAAGTTGTCTAAAGAAGCAGGAACAAGAGCATCAAGAAACTGTCTCATAAATGTGGAACAGGGTGATCTTCAATGTCAGTAGCAAATTGCACTCGATAGGAAAACTCGTTCTTTCTTTAGTTGTTGGGTGGCATGGGAAAGACTTTCCTAATTCCCATTACGGCCACTGAAAATGTTGCCAAATTTTTGCGTGGACATATCATAAGCATACACACATTTTTAATTCAATGTCTAATAGAAATTTTTGCCAGGAATGCCAGATGAGATATGAAATGTTGGAAAGTTGGAGAATTATGAGGAGAGTACCTTATTTCTATGTATCAAATATTCTCATTTGCAACTTAAATTAAATCACAATGTACATACAAAATCTAACCCAGGTTCTTTATGGCTATATTATCAAACACAAATGTTTCAAGTGGATTTAAATATGACATAAATATGAGGCATACAATATATTTTACATACCAAGAGCCTAGCAAGATATAGTTATCCCAAATGTCAATGTCTTTCCAGCTTTTGATATGCATTCCATAAATAGGTACCCTATGAGAATGGTTTACTTGATGGCTTGGAACCCTGGAATAATGGTGCCTAAACAAGCATAGAAACTCCAAGGGTAAAGAAGAAAGTGTAAATAAAATGCATTTTTAAGCATTAGAATTAGGATTGGTGTGTCTCTGTATCAGCTGCTTAGGTAAATTAAATACAGTTTTTTTTTTTCTTGAGATGGAGTCTTAGTCTTTCGCCCAGTCTGGAGTGCAGTGGCACTATTTCAGCTTACTGCAACCTCCACCTCCTGGGTTTAAGCGATTCTCTTGCCTCAGCCTCCTGAGTAGCTGGGACTAAAGGCACACGACACCACGCCTGGCTAACTTTTTGTATTTTTAGTAGAGACAGGGTTTCACCATACTAGCCAGGATAGTCTCGATCTCCTGACCTCATGATCGGCCTGCCTCGGCCTCCCAAAATGCTGGGATTACAGGCTTAAGCCACCACGCCCGGCCTAAATACAAATATTTTAAAACCAGAAGGCCACATTATCAGTGAACACCTGTCAGCAAGAAACAAAGGTAAATTCATAAAGAATTCATAAAAAATGTGTTCAGGCCTCATACAGGTTCCCAAAACAACCTTCACAAGCATAGGATGGTTGTTTTTTTGTGGTTTTTTTTTTTTTTTTTTGATATTATTTGGTTTTCACATGGGAAACAAAATGTCTGGCTTAGAGCCAAGGCCTCTTCACAGTCACCCAGAGAACAAGCAGGAAGATGCCCAGTCACAGGGAGCAGGTGGCATTCTCAGCAAGCCTGCAAACCTACACCAGGTTTATACAGGAAGAGGGGCACAAGTGGTCCCAGAGCACCTCGCAAGACAGAGTGTGAGGATGAGCTAATTACCCTGAGTAAATTACCTCTCCTCTCCAAGGATTTACAGGCATATTGCTATCTTAGTACTTCTAGCTACATGCCTTAGGAATCATTAAGAACATATTTCAATTTTCTTTGACTTAATCATAAGCCATAATTTCTCATTGTTTTTAATTGTTTAAATAGGATTGATTGTGCCTTTAGAAATCTTTTTCTTTCTGTGATCAAAAACAGAGCTTTGCTTTTTCTTATATAGTCTCTTAGACATAGCTCTTAAGCAGGGAATTCATGTTCCTGTAACAGGTAAAATTGTTTCGAGAGTCATTTCAATGAAAGAGATGGTTATGTTTGTAAAGTAATACTTATGCATGTATTTTTAACTCGAATTCTTCCTCGTGCTAAAGAATATGATATACATATCTAAACAAGAATGTAGCAAAATTGTCCATTCTTATTCAAATTGTTATAAAATATTTTTCCATTTATATAATTTCACATTTTATTTAATACATATTGGGTAGTCTAGTATATTGAAAACATAGTATAAAACATTTAATTGATTTCCTAAGACAGAATTATTTGTGGGAAAAAATGATTGGCAAGTGTCTCAATCATCCTAAAATATTAGGAATGTTGTCCTCACATTTTACTGGATTCTAGTGGCTGATTTGATTGGAAGAAATCCTTAGGAATACGGACTTTGCTCTTAAGAGTTATTTCATTTTATTATTTTTATTTTGTTTTACTTAAAGAGCAGTATAATAGTAGCTCTTAAGATTTAGATTTGACAAAATAAATTCTATACAAGGATGTTCACACATGTTGTTTCTCTGCTTTTTTTACCCCATTAGTTTAATGGTGTAGTCATCTAATTACATTAGAATGAGAGAGCACGTGCAGGTAACACATTTTGCTATTTCATGGGTAACTGCCTACTAAGAAGGGGGATCTGTATGTTCTAGTATCTCGTGTTCAGAGTGTGGTCCGTGGAGCATCAACATCTGCACTAATGGAAAACTCATTAAGGATACAATTTGTGAGCTCTGCCCAACACAAATTGATTCAAAACCTGCATTTTCACAAGATTTCCTGGTGAAGAATTCAGACTTCTGAGGTAATCTGAGAAAAAGCATAAATGAGAACCGGTACTGGGGAGGTGAATGTACAAGAAAACTGAAAGCTGCTGGGATGACTCCGTGGTGTGTCTGAGGGCTTAACTCTTTTACTGGCGTAGTGCTAAATATGATCTTTTCCCTCTAATACTCAAATCTTTGGTAAAAACTTCTGCTTTCATACAGGTTTTGTGTTCTTTGGAATTTAATAGTGGATGAATCAGAGGCTCTGTGAAGAAGTTAAAAATGGAAAGAGAGAGAGAGAAAGAGAGCAAGCTAGCTCAGGATTCAAGAACTGAGATGGGCAAGGACCGAGATGTCCTAGGAGACAGAGCTAGGACAGAGAATGTAAGAGAGGTGACAACATAAAGAGGTGAGCTTGGACCCCTAAGAACTGTGGAAACCCAGAGAAGCCTGTGGAAGGAGGAGGGCCTGGGACTCCAGTGTCGGTTAGATCCTAATGGTCTGATACAATTCAGCAGAGAACCGGATTAGACAAACGTAATTAATCGAATACATATCTCTAAAATTTTAAATACCTAAAAACAGTTTTCTGAATATGCATATTTTTGGAAAGTAAGAATTGAAGGAAATCAATTTTCAGAAAGTTTATATTAGGCATCATGGATTTTAATGCTAGATTTTGTGGCATTTTATTGATGAAAGTGGTAATATTAAAAAGAGTAGATGATGCCTGCTTCTAACCAAGATAAAATGGCATGGAGCAGATTTATCCTCCCAGAGAAAACCAGAAGTGGACAAAATATATAAAACCATTGTTTTCAAGAAACTGGGCATCAAACAAATAATTCCAGACGTCTTTGATAGAAAAGAGACAAATTAGTTAAATCCTAGAACAGGCCTACCTTAATCCTAGAGAGAGTTTGCTAGTGATGGAGCAGAAATTGGGAATCCACATGGGAGCCAGTGGTCTCCCTGGGTTGAGAAGAGAGACTGAGACGAAAATGTGGAGATACCAGGGTGCCTGGAGGTCATAGGAAAGAGAACTGATGAACAGGAAGCTACAAAGAGATGAAGTTCATACGACCTCAAGAAAGACCCCCTTGAGAATTCAGTTGGGCACTGGTCATGGAATGAATGGGAGAAAACTACCCAAGGCTGGCAAAATGGCAACCCAGAAAGGATTAGAAGAAACAGTCTCTGGAACACACACGAGTGACAACAGTGCCTGTTCCCAGCAGTCTGAGAGGAAAAACTTAGCAATTTAAATAGAATACTTAGAAAGGTTTGTTTCAGTAGAGGCAAAACATAAGTTCTAGTCTAAATACTGCTTAGGTTTTTCCTAACAGTGGTTAAAACAAAAACCTGAAAGGATCAACCTGATTCCAAGGAACATAAGCATGTTCCCGAAAAAAAAAATCACTAATATTTATAGGAATACATATATAGTCAAATCAAAAATAACTTCTGTTAAATAAAAAATATTCAGGTACACAAAGAAGCCGGAAAATATTACCCATAATAAGGATTAAAGTCAATTCATACAAACAGACCCCAGAAATGACACAGATGATACGGTAAGTAGTAAAGAATACCAGAGAGTTGCCATCACATTTCACTTGCTCAAGAAAGTAAAAAAGAGATGCAACTTGTTAAAAAGACAAGGAAATAAAAAAAAATTCTAAATTAAACTTCTACAGAGGAGAACTATGGAAATAAAAAATACACTGGATTCAATTAACAACAGATTAAATATTGTCAATGAAAAATATAGTGAACTTGAAAAAATAGAAAATAATGAAAATTAAACATAGAAAGAGACTGAAAACGTATGAAGAGAAAATAAAGGAGCTAGTTCTGTAATATACATGCAATTGGAGTCCCCAAAGATGGGTGTAGACAGAAAAGAAAATTGAAGAAATCATGGTCATTTTTCAAATTTGTTAACAGCAAAACCCTACAGGTCAAGAAGCTCAGTGGACACCAAGGGTGGGGAAAACGTCACCAAAGCACAACATATAAAACTTCTCAAATTCTATGATAAGGAGAAACATTTTAAAAGCAGCTAAGACCAGGGGAGAAAAAGAGGGAAGGAAGAAAAAGGTAAAGACATGCAAAAGAAAAAGACCGACCTTGAAGCTAGCCAGAATCACAGCACTGTTAAATCGCATACAGGAAGTTTGCAGAAACACCATGTGCTTATACTGTGCTGTTCACCATATTTCTAGTCTCAGTCTCTGTTCCGCAATGCTCATAGCATGACTGGAGTGGGGAAGAAGGCTGTGAGCACCCATCAGCTATCTATCCTTATAAGTTGTTGAAAATATTCAAAAATTTGTAATAGCCTTGTAATTATTGGTAGCACTTCTAAGAGCTTAATATTTTCTACATATTTTATAACTTTAGCTATGAAAATAATTATTTGCTTTACAGCATATTAAAAGTTCAATTTTATAGATGAGGAAATGGAAGATGAGAGAGGTTAAGTAATAAATGAGAATTACAGAGTATTAAGTAGCAGATCGAGGATATAAGCCAGGATGTCTAAAATCAGAGCATACAGTAATTTTCAGTATAAAATATTACCCTTAGTCAATTCTTAGCATTCAAAGAAGAATTCAACAAATCATCAAACAATATTAGTCCTTCACTACAGATATCTTTTAATCCTGGATATAAATACCCAGTTTTCCACTGAGCTTTATTATTATATTTTCTTAAGTAGTCAAATTCAAACTCATCAGTTGATAGAAAGTAAAATTTACATCTATAACCCAGTTGAATTGTAAAGGATCTATCAAGTGAACTATACTTAGCAGAGATACATTTTCTGCTTCTAGCCAAGATGGAAAGAAAAGCAGACAAAATATATGAATCAAATTGAGCTATAACTTCAATTCATTCTAAATAAAACATCCAGCAGGTCTTCACAGATACTTGCAAGCTTAATATAAAACTTATATAGGGATAGAAAGAGTCTAGTGTAGCCAAAGCAATTTTGAATAAAAGGCTAAAGTTGGAGAAACAAAACTACCTGAATTTAAGACTTAATATAAAGTGATATTAATCTAGACATTATGCTCATTGAGTAATGACATAGACAGATGGATCAATGGAACAGAACAGAACGTTTAGATATAGACCTACACATATATGGACAACCAATTTTCAAGAAAGGTGCTAAAGCAATCAAATGGAGAAAAGATTGTCTTTCAAATAAATGGTGCTTGAAAAAATAATTGGATATCTGTTAGGCAAATGAAAAACAAAACAGAACTATCACGTATACTTCACACCTTATGTACAAGTTAACTCAAAATGGGTTGTAGCCCTAAATGTAAAACCTGAAACTATAAACCTTCTAGAATAAAACATATGAGAAGGGGCTTTCTGACCTGGGTCGGGGGGTGGTGGTGGTCAGGCAACCATTTCTTAGAAGCAATGCCCAGTTTGATCTCTAAAAGAACACAGTGATAATTTGGACTTTATCAAAATTGAAAACTTTGATTCTAATGGGACAGTAAAGTGGATGCAGAGTATAGGCACAATCTAATCTGATGTATATTTTATTTCCATGTTGTACTTTTCCTCGGTTGAAATTCAATTTACATGGTTTTTGCATCGTCCCTGTTGCTTTTTAACATGTTACACCTCTCCTTTAGTTTCTTCTCTCTCAAATACAGCCACGACCTTCTCCTTTCCTCACTCAAAACCCTATCATGGCTTTCAGTGGCCACAGGATTGGGCCATGACACCTTAACTTGGCCTTCAGAACTCTTCATGGTCCAACATGGCCTGTCTCTCCAACCCCACCCCTTAATACTCCCTGGGTTGCTGAAAGCATGGGCTCTGTGTGTTGCTGTGTGACCCTGAGCAAGTTACGTAACTTATCTGAACCTCAATTCCTCATCCATAAGTGTGAAATAAACCTCTGCCACAAAGGGAACAGGGTTTCACTTGTGTGACTCCAGTGAGCTCATGCCTGTACCCACTAGGCTGGGTACACAGTCATTGCTCATCAAATGCAAGGGGACATGTTTGTAAGTAATATATTTGTAATTGATGTAATTGATAAGGGGCTTGCATGTATAATACGGAAGGAATTCTCAAAAACATTAAGAAAACAAACAACCCAATAATAAATGAGCAAAAGATTTGAAAACACTTTTTACTAAAGAAGATATACGGATGGTAAACAACCAATGAAAGGATGCTAACCATTATTAATCACTATAAATGCAAATTACTACCACTGTGTGATACCTCTGTCTTTTAGAATGACTAAAATTTTAAAAACCTGCCCATACCAAGTGTTGGCAGAGATGTGGAGTATTTTACATTTGTTTAATATAGTTGCTGCCTCAGAATCCAATTTTAGGCCTGACATAAGGTGTTTGAAATACAGTCATACCCCATCACCTCCAGCCTGGTTAAAAGCTCCCCTCCCTGTGGCTGTTTGTAATATAGCCCAGTTGTTCTTCATCTCACAGACCCAAAACCTAACACACCCTGCAGGTGCTGACCACAATAAAACTTAATAGTCAACATCAGAGTCATAGAAACAAGTTCCCTGCTGCATGCATGTTTTCTTTAAACTAGGTAATACACAACCATCACAGGAAACCTAAAGAATAAAGACCATGGACCTTAATAGCATAGTTCCCCAGGTTCTCTCTCTCTCTCACTCCCCCCCACCAACTGGGTAAACTTCCTGGGTCTACTTCTTGCAGACTTCTTGGCAGCCTCCCATCAGCACGCCTGAGCTCTCTGGACCTGTGAATGGTAAGTGTTCTCTGTTTCATGCATTTTGGTTTCACTTCATTGTATCTCTCCTGACACACACACCTGAACTTTATGTTACCCCCAGTCCAGGCTCTCTTAGATAATAGCTGTTCTGGTTAAAGGCCACTCTCAGTGAGAGAACTCAGCACCAAATTAGGAAAAAACAATTATAACGTGGCATATAAAGATCTCTCATATGCTGCTAGAGGGAAGAAAAAATATACAAACAGACTGAGAGTTTCTGAAAAGTTTAAACTTTCATGTAATCTAATCATTTTATTCCTTCATATTTGCTTGAGAGAAATAAACAAAATAAATGTATATATCCTTACAAACACTTATACTTCCTATATATAAAATTCTTCATAGCAATTTCATTTGAAATAGTCAAAAACTGGAAACAACCCAAATGTTCATTATCAGATGAAGGAATTTAAAAAATAGTTATACCTCTTAGTAATGAAAAGAATAAACTATACTGGCTACAGCATGGATGGATCTTAAAATAATTATTCCAAGTAAAAGAAGCCAGAACTCTTTTCCCACAGCAAAAAAAAAGAGTTCACCTTGTATGATTTCATTTATATCAATTTCTAGAATTTTTAAACCTGTCTTGTAACAGAAGCAGATCCATGCTCCCTAGAGGTAGAGGAGGAAGTACCTCAGGAAAGACAGGAGAAATTGCAAAAAGGCTGCAGGATTCTTTGGGAGGTGATGGATGTGTTCATCATCCTAAGTATGGTGGTATTTTTATAAATTTATAACTAGAAATACACAAACTTCAAATTGTATATTTTAAATTTGTACCATTTGTTGTTTACCAATTATGTCTCAATCTGTTAAAACAAGTGGAAAACTGAGAATTCTATTTCTTTCTGCAATACTCACAGTGACTTCTCTTCATTCTGCCTTCTACTCATAGGACATTCCCAGTGCCGCCAGTTGGACCTTGCTTCCTCATCCTCTGTGTGTTCACTATATGTTGTGCACACCAGAACATGTTGAATTGCCTGTAAGCATTTGACCGCATCTCTCTCTGATTATTAAGGTAAAACTCTGCAAATTCGCAGACCAAATTTTAAAGCTGTCATATGTGAGTGACTGTCAATGAATAGTGAATGAGTGAGATAACAGTGGCCCTTGCTTAAGGATGTTGTTAGGAGAATGAATAAACAAACAAACAAACAAACAAAGCAAAAATAAAGACTAACCAGTCGGCTGGGTGCAGTGGCTCACGTCTTCAATCCTAGCACTTTGGGAGGGCGAGGCAGGCAGATTGCTTGAGATCAGGAGTTTGAGACCAGCCTGGCCAAAATGGTGACACCTGGTCTCCATTAAAACCACAAAAAACTTAGCCCGGCATGGTAGCGCACACCTGTAATCCCAGCTACAGGAGGTTGAATCAGGAGAATCGCTTGAACACTTGAACCCAGGAGGCAAAGGTTGCCATGAGCCAAGATCGTGCCACTGCACTCCAGCCTGGGTGACAAAGGGAGACTATATTAAAAAAAAAAAAAAAAAAAAAAAGCTCCAAAAAACTAACTAGTATTTGCTTCATAATTGTTGCAGAATCTGAGACTAAGTGATGATTGACATTGCAAACTGATGAGTAAAGAACAGGGGCAAGTACTCTTGCAAATACTTAAATGCCATGTGCAAATACCAGCAGGCTAGAAGAACTCTTTAGACCAGCATGAAGAAACTTATCTAATGTAACAGGAGGTAATTAGACAAAATAGAACTATTTCAGAAAGATGAGCTTCTAAGGTCAAGTGCAGAACACTTTGGCTTAGATATTTTAGCCAATGTGAATAACATTTTTTGAAAAAGTTTTTCCCGAATCAAACATTTCTTTGCTGAGCAAACAACCAGAATTATCTACAAAGTCTTTGTAGTCATGAGAATGAGGATTTTATGAAACCTCATATACATTTGTATATCTATACAAGTGATTAGGATTAGAATTCAGTCTATGCAAAGAGTAAACACACATACAATTTGAGTCTCTATTTAAGTTTACTAATCAATTTATATCAACCTAATAACTTAAGTTTTTATAATTTCTTTATATCTTTGCTTTTATATTTAACTACAGTATGTCACTTTAGAATTCATCGAAGACCACATTTTTTTTTTATGCAATAGGATGCCATCAACATACTCAAAACAATGTCAACATCCTACACTTCAGGTCATTCAAAATGACTCTTAGAAAAATTTGAAAACGTATTTGTTAAAGTATGTACTACAAAAGAAACACACTGACATATTATTTAAATTATAAGTCAGTGTAATATTGCCAAGATAGTTGGTTGAGAGTATACTTTTTACCATGTTTTCCTTGAATAAAAAAGAAAACTGATAAAACTAAAAAGAATAGTTTCTGTGATCTTACTTCTAGATTTCCATGTGGGAAATATAAAATACCTATTCTTAACACACCCAGGTTTTGTGTTGAGCAATTTTACCTTTGAATTCTGTATTAGGGCCTCACTTTCTGGAGTGAAGGGACTTAATCTCATTATGATGTCAATCTCATTATGATGTCAATCTCCTTACTTAGGTGAAAGCTGGTTTTCATCTTCACTGCACTGAATCTGAATTAAGTAGTTGAGTTCCACGATTACTCCTTGTTTCCCTCTCTGGGAATTCCTAGCCTCAAACAGATGATTGCAAACATTCTCCCTTTTTTTGTATTCTTTTGCTAGGGGTGCTATAACCAAGTACCACTAACTGGATGGCTTATACAACCAAAATTTATTTTCTTAAAAGTATGGAGGCTGGAGAAATAAGATAATGGACTACATTCTTGCCATCCTGAAGTTTATATTTAGTGGGGGGACAGAGAAATTTTAAAAGCAATCAAATATATATCATTTCAAATGGTGTTAAAGGCTATGAAGGAAAATATGACATGTAAGTGTGCGTAAGTTGTGGGGGTGGAGAAGATTGGCTCAGGGAGGAGACATTAAGAAAGGGACAAGTGAGCAGCATCATGACACAGAAAGAGCAGCAAGTGTCCATGCTCTGAGGTGGGAAGATGTTGGAAGAAACAGTGAGGGGAATACAACGTAACAGAGGAAAGCAATAGGTGAGGCAAGTAGGGAAAGGGCTTGCAGAGGAAGTGTTGTAGAAACTCTCTCTGGGCAAGATGGATGGACATCTTGAAGCAATGTCTGAGACAAGGATTAGAGGCTAAGTAGTTTATTTGGGAGAATATTCTAGCAAATACCAGGACTAAAGTGGTAAAGTGAGACAGGGAGAGGAAGAGAACAAATACAGAGTTCATTCATAAGCAGGTTGCCCAGAGCAACTAGAATTATACCCTGTCAGGACCCTTTGGGGATGATACATCACATACCTCAGAGTGTCTTGACCTGAGGGCTGCGAATACTGGAATACTTATCCACCACTTTCTTCTGTCCATGGTTGATGGATGCTCCCAGGGCATTGAATATTTCTGTACTTCTACCTTAACTACTCATCCAGTATTGTTCCTAGAGCCAGAGGAAATCCCTAGGAAAGGAGCTACAGGTGTTTAGAATAGCAGTTACCTGTAGGGCCTGAAATAAGGAGTGTTGAGAGAGGGAGTGAAAAGAGAAGGGGGCACTGGCAACATTTTGTCTTAGCCATTGGGGGGTTTGGAGCACAGAAGTGGCAAGAATGGATGTGCATTTTTACAGACCACTGTGTCTATGAGGATGGTAACTGATTGTGTATGGGCAGGATGTGGTGACAAGAGCAGAAACAAGGAGTTAAAGTTGGTAAAACTAACAAGGAATTAGTTCTGTCATCTGGGTGAGCAAAGCATGGCCTTAAACTAACACAATAGCTGTAATAGTGGTGAGAAGTAGAAATATTATAAACACTTTATGAAGGTAGAGCTAAAAAGATTTGTCAATAGATTAGTCGTTCAGTGTAGGACAAAGATCTATTAAAGTTGTCTCTAAGGGTTTTAATCCAAGGAAATGGAAGAATGCAGTTGTCATTTACTGAAATGAGAAAGAGTGCAGGATAAGCTTTTATGAGGAAATAAGTGTGAAAACTATAATCTCGAGCCTTAAAATGCTCCTGCAATGCAAATATTACTATTCCCACTATGGAGATGAAGACAAGGTGCCCAGAAGCACCAAGAATTAGCTGGAAGATCTTAAACATATTAGTGTTATCTAGCAAGGGCAACCGTATTTGTTTACAAGGTGATAAAGGGTAATATCTGTCATGCATCTAGTACCTAGTAGGTACTCAATTAATAATGGTAATCTTATGCAAAACTCTCTTGAATGTTTTACATATAAATCTGTATTTAGAACTTATGTTTATTCCTAATCATGGTGTTTAATATTCAGCAAATTTCTCTAAACAAAATAGCTTCCAACAAAAAAAGTAGACTTTGACAAAATGAATGGAATTGTCATCTACCAAGAAGAATAAGGGATAAATTAATTAGAATTTTACATGCAAAGCAAATAAAACTTCAAATAAAAGTATAGTCTTTGTAATAAAAGCAAATTAATTTTAGTAAAACCACACAGGAAATATATAATTTGGTCACATTACAATAAAGGAACTATAATTAAAAAATTCTTGCTACTTTCCAAGAAAATGAGATTACTCAGTGCTTTCATTAATGGACTCAATGTCTTAATAGTTACAAATATATTCAACTCTAAGTTATTCAGTGACAGATTAGTCAACATTCAGGTCACTCATTGACAGAATTCTGCTAATTACTCTTCTAAGTCTTTAAGCACTATATCTAAGTTTACCACTTTTGACTGTAAGTGGCTGAAGGCAGAGGAAAATTATGCTGTAGAATCTGGCTGATTATAATTGTTTTATGAAGATATATGTAGAGAAGAGGTTGACACTTAAGACTTTCATAAGATATTTAAAAGTTACTTTGTAAATTATGGAAAACATAGCAAGCTATATTTTAAAATTATTATTTGAAATAGAAGATAGTGTTTTTGAAGATCAGGTATCTATGATGAAAACTAATTATAAAGTATGCAATTTCTCCCTGAACTTTCTTAAAATAAGTATTTTGAATTCTTTTTCAGGCATCTCAGAGATCTCCATTTCTTTGAGGCCATTTCCTGAATAGTTATTTTGTTCCTCTGGGGGTGAAAAAATAATTTTTGCCTCTTTTGACTTTCTAGTAGCCTTGCATTGAGGTTTATAAGGAGCAGCCACCACTTTCTGCCTTTTCAAATTGGATTTGGTGAGGAAAGATATCTGCCTGAGACTGGCTGCTAAGGCACTGGCTGGGTGTGGCTTAGCATCTCTGGTTCCCAGAAGGGCACAGTGGCTTGGTCTCTCTGGAGCCACATCAGCTAAAGTAAATGTTGGCAAAGACTCTGGGGGTCCACAACAGCCAAAGCTGTGAGTAGCTGTGACAACTAGTGCTGTTGGAGTCCTTGGTGGTGAAGGCTGGCAGTTTTATCTGGTTTCCCCTTTCTCCTGTTGGGTAGAAGTTCTAGCACTGGCATGCATGCAGCTACAGCAATTCTGCGATCTGGTGTGTAGGCAAGGTTTCCATGGCAGTGGTGCCAGTATTCAATGAGATAAAAGAGAACACAAATAAATAGGTCACACAGGCTAATATCCCTGATGAACATAGTTGCAAAAATCGTCAGCAGAATACCAGAAAATCAAATGCAACAGCACCTTAAAAGAATCAGACATCAGTATCAGGTGGGATATACTCCTGGGGTACAAGGATGATTCAACAGGTACAAACTAATAAATGTGATATATCACATTAACAAAATGAAGAACCAAAAACTATGTATTCATCTTAATACATGCAGAAAAAGCATTTGACAAAATTCAACATTTTTTTAATAAAAGCACTTCACAAATTAGATATACAAATAATGTATTTCAACATAATAAATGCTGTATATGACAAGTCCACAGCTATCATTATACTCAATAGTGAGAGCATTTTCTGTAATATTAGCAACAAACTCAAAAGGTCCACTCTTGACACTTCTGTTCAACAAGGTAATAAAAGCCCTAGCCAGAGCAATTAGGCAAGAAAAAGAAATAAAAGACTTTCAAATTTTAAAATATGTAAAACCGTCTTTGTTTGCAGATAACATAAGCTTATGTATAGAAAATCCTAAAGACAAAAAAATTGTTAGAAGTAATAAATGAATTCAGTAGAGTTGCACAATACAAAATCGATATATAAAACTAAGTTGTGTTTTTATACATAAACCAAAAACTATCCAAAAACGAAATTAAGAAAACAGTCCAATTTACAATAGCATCAAAAAGAATACAATATTTTAAAATAGATTTAACCAATAAAGTGAACATCATATGTATAAAACATTGATGAAAGAAATTGAAGAAGATACAAATAAATAGAAACATATTTTGTGTTCATGGATTGAAAGAATTAATATGTTAAAATTACAGCTCTAGCCAAAGCAATTTACAGATTTAATGTAATCCCTATCAAAATATCAGACATTCTTCACAGAAATAGATCAAATAACCCTGAAATTTACTTTGAACCAAAAAAACCTCAAATAACCAAATAAATCTTGAAAAAGAAGAACAAAGCTGGAGTTCACACTTCTAAGTTTTAAGTTATATTACAAAGCTATGGTAATCAAAACAAAATTGTACTGGAATAAAAACAGTTGCATAGACCAATGGAACCAAATTGAGAAAACTGGATAGCTACATGCAAAATGAAATTGAATCCTAAATTTAAATCACTCACAAAAATTAATTCAAATGTATTAAAGATTTAAATATAAGACCTGAAACTGTAAAATTTTTAGAATAAAACATAATAAAAAAAGCTCTATGATATTGGTCTTGGTAAAGAATTTTGGCTGACACCAAAAGCACAAACAAGAAATGCAAAAGTAAATAAATGGGATCACATGAAACTAAAGAGCTTCTGAACAGCAAAGGAAATGATCAGCAAAATCAAAAGGCAATCTTTGAATGGAAAAAATATTTGCAAATCATATATCTGATACCTGATAAGGGGCTAATATCCAAAATGTATATATAAGAAACTCATACAGCTCAACTGGAAAAAAGCCAAATAATCTGATTAGAAAATGGGCCAAAAAATATAATTGACATATTTCCTAAGAACAATAAATGACCAACAAGTACACGAAAAGGTGCTCGACAACCTCACCTATTATCAAGAAAGGCAAATCAAAACCACATCGAGGTAACACCTCACAACTGATAGGATGGCTCTTATCAAAAAGAGAAATGATAACAAGTATTGGCAAGAATGTTGGGGAAAAGAAATCATTGTGCACTGTTGGCAGGAAGGTAAATTGGCACAGCCATTATGGAAAGCAATGTAGAGTTTCCTCAAAAGATTAAAAATAGAGCTACCATATCATCCAGTAATTCTACTTCTAGGTACGTATCTACAAAAAACAAAATCAGTAGCTCAAAGAAATGTTTCTACTCTCACATTCATTGTAGCATTATTCACAATAGTGAACATAATAAAACAACCTAAGTGTCCATTGACAGGTAAACAGATAGATACATGGTGAGATATATATATACATACATACACACACACACATATATATACATATATATGCATATATATATGTATATAGTTCAGATATAGTTCAGTTCAGCTACAATAAAGAAGGACATCTTGAGATTTTGGAACAACATGGATGAACTTTGAAGGCATTATGCTAAGTGAAATAAGTCAGACAGAAAGCAAATACTGTATAAATCCTACATGTGGAATCTAAAAAAGTCAAACTCATAGAAACAGAGAGTAGAATGATGGTTTCCAGGTATTGGAGGATGGGAGGAACGATGAGAGGTTAATCGAAGGTTACAAACTTCCAGTTATAAGATAAGTAAGTTCTGGGGATCTCTTGTACAGCATAGTGACTACAGTTAAAAATACAGTATTGTGTATTTGCAGTTTGCTAAGAATGCCAATCTTAAATGTTCTCACCACAAAACAAACAAACAAAAAAAACAAAAAAAGATAACTAAGTGGGATAATACAGATGTAAACTAACTTGAATGTGGTAATCATTTCACAGTATTATGTATATGTCAAAATTATTATACACATTAAACTTGCCTAATTTTATTCATCAATTAGATCTCAACATAGCTGGAAAAGAGGGAAGCAGCAAAAAGAAAGGAAAAAGTATGCCATATCTCTAATATAAATATAAGTATATTCTGTAAATCATGAAGAGTGATTATTTTCAGAAATCACAGACTTTCTTAAAACTTCAATATTCAGTGAGAAGAAAACATTAAAATATTTTTAGGCTATTGGAATTGAAAAATGAATAGATACTTAAATAGTGTATATATTTAGCAGGCATAACTTATGTCCTTTGAGCAAAAATTGTAAAAGCCACTATATATGTTACCAACGGTCTCCAATATTTAGGTTGCTAAACATAGAGCACGAGCTTTATATAAACTTTAGTTTCCCATACTTTATATTATGTCTATTTTATCTTCTCTCCTTGCCTTACCCAGAAACATTTCTTAATAGAATAATTTCAGAAGCTACATAAGGGCAAAAAAACTTTGATGTTTTTTCTCCTCCACACGGGAACAAGAGAACTCAAAGTATTGGTCACATGGTCACATATGTTATGGTAATTACTCCTGCAAAAAATTATTGCAATCTCTTTTTCCAAAGAGTGGATGGCATTATTTGTCATCAAAATTGGGGGAAAAGTAACTTGAAAGCATAGGTTCTATGAAGATATTTTATTCCATTATACCTATATAAATTTAAATGAGTAATACATTTTGTATTTTCCAGTAACCAAGCATAAAGTAATGAACAACAAGATGTCAAAGGGTTATACCTTACTACAGTAGTTTTCTTGATTATTTATACGAGAAGATGATTGGATATTAATGTGATTATTAAAAACAAAATATTGTTTGACTTATTTTGAATACAGCATCAGATATTTATTGGCAAAAAAACATTCTGTATTGTTCTTAAGCATTTCTATTTAGTAAACTTAGTTTGCAGAGACTTTCACCATGTCACAGTATGTGTATGTGACAAAACGGGAAATGCTAGAAAAATGTATTACTATTGGTTTGTGAATGAGTGTGTAAGAGAGAGGGTGCAGGATGCTGAAAGATACACAGCAAATTCAATAAATAAGCTGTTTATTTTAAATACTCCCCTTATTACCATAAAGTAAATTAAGAAACATTGAAATAACCTAGCTGTTCTTACATCCTGCTTTTCTTAATGTATTGTCTCAATATCACTTTCAAATAAAGATGTTTGAAATAGTGTCTGCAATCTACATTTTTGATCTGCCTAAATAGCTGCTGGCTTCAGCAGAACATTAATGCAAATCTAATGTACCTGCTGGTATGATTAGCTGAATCAAATGATGGCATTTAAGTAACACCTAAATAATCTTAATTAGGATCTTCAACTCATCTTACCACTTAGAACTCTACAGATGGATAGTCTTAATTATCAGCCTTTTGATTAGGATAACAGCCCTAATCAAGATGATGTGGGCCTGATAGACAGAGTATCAGTAAATTAATGACTGCTGTTAAGTGGGAACATAAGCAAAAAATATAGAGCCGCTTTCTGTGAGAGACAGGGTGATGTCTATGCAAGGAAATTTAAATTGTTAGCAAAAAGATCAGAGCAAATAATTGTAAATTGGGATTAATGTTATTATATCAGATGTATTTGAGCCCTTATTTTCAACATGATTGTACTGCATGATTACATTAATGTAGCATTTTCATAAAAATGACAGTGCAGGTTATTTTTACAAATGTTTCTAAGTTCAGTATTGGTAACCTGGTAAACTTCATAGATTTGAAATATGTTAACCAAAACTATTGGAAATAGATTTCTTATGATAGAAATTATGAGATAATTAAATGAGATGCAGAAAAATTTTAAATATTTTTGCTTACTTGTTTCTCTAGAAATAGTATCTTTTCTGAATTTTAACTTTCCAAATTACCAACTGCCTGATTAATTAGGCATAAAGCACTATGAAAGAGTGTTTTCTTGTAGTCGGACAAGGACTCCTTGATTTTGAAGTTCTCCTAGTATTTAACACATGAGAAAACAAAACAAGCATTGTATTTACATACTTCGTGTGGGACTGTGAAGTGATGTAGCATTGATTTAAAGAGGGCCTTCACTTATTTTCATTACATATGTGACCATACTAGATTTTCAGCATGAAGGCTGTTGTAGCATTCTGGCTTTTGCCAAAAAAACTTTCCTTAAGGCTCAGTCCCAGTCCTCTGTTTCTGGTGTCTCATCTAAATTTCTCCTCCATCACTGCTACCTCCTCACTCATATTTACAGATCATTCCTGGCATGTTCCTCCTCTCTCTCTCTCTCTCTCTCTCCTCCCTCTCCTCTCCTCTCTATCTCTCCTCTCTCTTCTCTCTCTCCTCTCTCTCTCCCTCTTTCTCTCTCTCTCTCCCCCTCCCTCCCTCTCTCTCTTTTCTGCCCTCCCTTCTGTCTAGCATGATTTCTATTTAGACTAGTGAATCTTCACAGACACCCCTGCCTTTCACTGAATAAACATTTAAGTTTAGATTCAGAATTCACATTTTGGAACTGGAAATGTTGATAAAGGTGACATCATAAGTTAGACACACTGTTATTTCCTAGTGTCAGTAAGTGAGGAGGGCTTGAGCCTATCCTTGGCTGAGAGGAAGAGAAAAGCAGCACATTGATTACTGTTCAGCATTATATGCATTAAAGATACATATAATGCATTGGCTGGGGGATGAGGAATTCACCAGGTGTTTGCAAACTGTGTCAAATAATGCAGGTTTCAAAGAACAGTGTTTATTATTTTGTGTTTAAATACTTTATCCTTATAATGATAATACTTTATCCTTATAAATGATAATAGTAGTAGTAGCATATAATAATTATGTGTGTCCGACCATCTGTTGGGCACTAATACATACAATGAGAGACTTCTCCATGCAGAAACACAAACACTTCATCTGCTAATTTATTCGCTGATTTATCTAGATTCTTGAGAAAGGAAAGCTGTAGAAACACTGCCTCAGAATCCAATGTCACTGCAGAGTCTGGAGTCACCCACTTCTCTGACCTCAGAGTCTTCCATGTCATTAACAAGCTTCCTTTCATATACCTACCTACTAAATGTTTTTCGAAATTCTGCCCTGTGTGTTTTTCCTATGACAAAACTCTGCTTTCATAATCTCATCTCCTCAAAATAGTTGATAGTTATTTCTTTGTACCTGAGTATCTTCAACCCTGACACCTTTCTGTTTCCTCCACCTATACACCCAAATGCCTTGCAGATATTCCTATCTGGGTATAGTCTTATGACTATAAATCTAAATGTATTAAATTTCTTCTCATCATTATGTTCCCATCATTCAGGTCCAGATCCATGCAATCTTGTTTGCTGTCTTCCCCTCACTGTTTATCTGCAGAAAATTACCAAGGCCTCCTAACTCTGTCTCATACTTGTTTCCTGTTTCTCTTTCGTTATCCCCCACTGCTGACTGTTCATGCCCTGCCACATCATGTCTTCTTCATCTTATCTCTATCAAGCTTCCCCATGGTATTTTCTTCCCTGACCTGTCCTTCATTTAATAAAGTTCAGCTATCGCAAATGGAATCAACCACCCCATATGGGAAAGGAATGGAATTTTTGCAACTGGAGCAGACAAAGAGCAAAGTTATCTTTGACTAAATCTAGTTCAGTACTGTCTGGAGACACTTGCCCAACATTGTCTGGCTATTGAGGAAGCTCATCTCCCACTTCCCCATTCCTCCTTATCTAGAGATAGGTCAAATTCGCTCTACCCATTTCTACTTCTGGAATGCACACTCAGACTTGGCACCCACCTACAATGCTCAACTCTGCTTATTACCAGCTCTTTCAATTCCATTCCAGTCTCTGGAGAGTCTCCAAGTTTTTAGGTGCCTTTCTGACCATCTGGTTTCACTTTTGAATTTTGTTAGGTATAGCTAAGCTTTTCCCAGGATATTCTTATTTCTATATATTGTCTCTTTTTCAACTAAAGGCAAGAATATTTCCTGACCACCTGCTGCCTCAAGTCTGATTGTATCTTAATCGTTATGTCATTGGAGAAGTTATATCTAGTTGTGACATATCTGATGATATTTAGTCCTGATTAACTGCTATATTCCTTCACTATTTTCATTTATTTTTTATTCATGAGTTGTCTAATAAGAAAAGAAGACAGTAAACCAGTTGATGTTTTTAAACACATACATCTCATAAATAAAGGAAATGTACTATTGTAGACTTAAGAGAAGATTGTTATAATGTACAATAACTGTCAGCAAAGGATAGAGTTCCAGTTTTAGTGGATCTAGCAGGATGCCAGTATCTTGCCCTGCTCTTCAATTTCCTGGGAATTACTCACCGTCACCTATAGTCCATCTTACATCCAGCCAATAAAGGAAAATTTAGGGCTACTGTTTTTATATTTGTTGGTTGGGAATATCATGTAGATCTAGAGTTATTATCTTATCCCCTCAAATATATTCATTACATAAATTATTTGTAAAATTTCTATATTATTTGAAGGTACTAGGCCACCTGCGGATCAGCCACTTCAAGGAAGTGATATGAATTTTTCCTTTAGGCATAAAGGCTGGGAATGGTAAGCCTTATACCATAAACTATTTGCACAGAAAGAGCAAAATTGCCAGCTGCCTTTGCTGTAGTCATCAAGAAAGTTGCAGCAGCAGGCACATACCTATGTTCTGGAAAGGGTAAGAGTCTAGCACTATTCTAGAGTTATTGTCAGAAAGATACTAATTGTTTTTGAAAAAAATAGTGAAACAATGTTATTATGTTCATGTCATATTGTTCAATTAAAAATTAGTTTTGTTTTTACAGATGAATTAATTACATTTTGATAACTGGGATGTTCTGTAGGGTTCCACATAGTGACAAGAGCCTTGTTGATTGGTTCCTGTTGACTACCACTTAAGTAAGAACACAGTTTTCCTGCAATATTTTAAAATATATAATTTGAATGTTGTTGTTCACTCTTCTTAAATTTGTATTTTCCTTGTTATTACTTATGTCTACCAAAATAGTTATAACCTTCAAAACTAGTTATTAAAACATAAAATACTAAGAAAATAGTAACAATACTATATCACACTATAAAGCAAAAGTAAATAATGAGCCAACTCCAGTGCAAATGCGGAGTGTGAACCCAATGGTGGGTTAAGTTGAGTCATTAAGTGTGACAATTTTATGCAAATATCTGGAAGAGTAAAGCATGGACAAAAGCATGGATGGTACATACATGAAAACTGGGCTCTATTGGTTTAGTGATCCTCAGTGCAATGTCTCCCACAAAACTTTGTCAAATAGAAATAGGAATTCATTAAAATGTTTATTTTCATCAAAACAAGCAAACCAGCTAAAATTTCTGAGAACAAGTTAAAAACATTTTCTCATGCAAAATTAATCGTAATTAAGTTAGATAAGACAACAAAGCTACAAAAGCACCATTTGCTGTCACAGTCTTAATAGTTTAAAAAGGCACAATTTACCATATTTCTGGTAAGTTAATGATGAATATATTCCATTTGAAATCAGAAAAGGAAAGCTCTTAGTAAAATCCTTTCATCAAATCTCAGTTAGACATAAACACAAATTTAAATTAATAATAAAATAATGGCAACCAATGCAAAAAAAAAGTACCATATTATTTCTTGTTGGCTTATATTTTATTTTAGATTCAAATAAAACAATATATATTCAGAATGTTAATCAAGTCCAGATGCATATATTTTGAGGAAGAAAGAGCTCATCAACTCTTTGCTCTAAAATTCTTTAGTCTGAAAATCTAGTTTTGTTTATTTTTGTTATCACTCATAATGTGACTCAAGATTTACCCAATTTTCTGGAGCCATTGATAAAAATATCCTATATAAATGATACTGTCTCTGTCACTGATTGGCACCTATATTTTCTTTACATTAAAAATATACATTAGTGGCTTTACTATTTTTGAATCATTTATTTCAATATTGATAGTCAATATGTATGATCCACTAAGTGGATGCCTAGATATTCGGAAATACTGACAAATTCTTCCTCTCTGACTTTTACTAATGAGTCTTTTTCACATCCATTTGACTTAGAATCAGGTATATTTCTCTGTTTATAAAGAAAAAGATGGTGAATGTCAACAACATTCAAACTGTCATCTATCGATGACTTAACGTTTCCTTACGGCTTCCTAGGAGTCTATACAGGCCTTAAAAAGAAGTGCATAATTGACATCGGTTTTAATTATTAATCTGATCATATCAACATTCCTGTTAAAAACCTTTTATAATTTCACATTCACTAACTGGTTGAACTTGAGCTCAATCTAACATTCATAGCTTTGTTCAAGACTTCGTCCCCACACTTTCTTCTAAGATTTATCTGCCATTGATCTCGCTGAGCACGAACTCCAAACTAGGCTTTCTTTAGTTTTTAAGAACATAACTAACACTTTTCCTCCTTCTCAGTCTTTCATATCATTTCTTTAATCTAGAATTTTTTTCTTTCTGTTTTCCTTTTTTTTCTGGCTGAATTTAAGATCCACCTTAAATGTTCTCTTCATATGAATAATTTTCTGATGTCATCAAAAATATTATCTTCATTGACCCAGTAGCATTTGCAATCATATGTCTGAGTGGCATTACTTAATGGCAAGGATACATTCTGAGAAATGCCTCTTTAGGTGTTGTCATTTTGCAAATATCATAGATTGTATTTACACAAACCTAGAGCGTTTAGCCTACTACACATACAGGATATATCATATAGCCCATTGCTCTGAGGCTACAAGTCTGTACAGCAGGTTATTCCACTGAATACTATAGGCAATTGTAACACAATGGTAAGTATTTGTCTATCTAAACATAACTAAACATAGAAAAGGTACAGTTAAAGTACAGTGTAAAATGTTTTTAAATTGTACACCTGTATATAGAAGCTCTACTATAATCTTGTGGGACCACCATCATATATGTGCCTCTTAATTGATGAAAATTCCTACAAAGCAACTTTGTTTAAAAGTGAATATTCAATATAAAAGTGGGTGAATTTCCCCAAGAAAAAAAGTAAAATTAAAGTCACATAAAAATATTCAACCCTTCCAATAATCAAAGAACAAAGGAAAACAAATTTATATATATGTATATATGTATATATATTTGCATCTTAGATTACTAAATATTTAAATATCCCAAAAAATTTCATGTTGGTAAGCATTTGAGAAAATGAGCCTGAAGCTTTCTGAAGTAATGACAAAAATAACAACTGGTTCAAAGATTTAAAGAACACTTTTGCCACACTAATCAAAATATAAACAGAGTAAATGAATGGCCAGCAACTTCTACATTCAAGAATTTATCCCACTAAGATAAAGTCACAAAAAGTGTGAAAAAATAGTTAAAAAATGACCATTATCACAATGTTAAAAATATTGGGGAATTGTATAGAGCCTAAGTATTCATTGACACAGGATTCATTGAAGTATGGGATATCTAAATAGTGGTAATTAGAAATGATTTTAGATTTTTAAAGGTGAAGGACATTTTCTGAAAGAATAAGGACAAACTAAGTAGAGCTCAAAATAGATGTCTCAAAAATTAATACTACAAATATGTACAAGACTAGATGGGGATAAAAATAAGTAAACTTACCGAATATTTACTGTGTCCGCTGCTTTCTTCTAACTTTTTTTTTTTTAATTTCCATGGTCATTCTAAGTGGGTACATTGCCAGAGACTCGTAATTACTAGTATCAAAACAAGATTTCAAAAAGTTCTATCTGATTCCAAAGAACATGTTATTAGTACTGGGCCCTGGAGGGTTTTTTGTTTGTTTGTTTCTGCGTTTTTGTTTTGTTTTGTTTTTTGTTTTGTTTTGTTTTCTGGGAGACTTTTTCTCTCCGTGACCTATGTGTTTTATGTATGAGGCTGATGGCACTATAGGAAAGACAATTTTATGCTATTTTCTACAAGATAAACTGCCTTTAAATGTCCCATTTCCTTTTGATTTTGGAGTCCAATCCATATGTAAGATAAAAATCTCTACTAAATTATAACTAACAATCATCTGAATTAATACTGTAAGAAACACACAATGTATTCATTAAAATATAAATTCAGGACACTGCAAATGGAGATATATTTACCAGTATACACTATTCAAATACTTTTCTATTATTTTAATCTCTATTTTCTACCTTTTCTGAAAATAGACATTTAGCATACTATAAAATATCTCTTCTTTCATGTGAATACTTTAGCTAGAGCTCTGTCAGTTTTCCTAAAGCGGCTGATCAAGAGCAACTCACACAGGTACTATTCATCCTCCATGCTTTCATTTTTTGGGACACGCTGCATTGATAATTACATTTATAAGAGGCCTGAAGAGAATAAGTGAGTTTTAGAATTAACAGTGAACTAAATAATGACAGTGAACTAATTTTGTTTTCTACTGGTATCATTAATGTTCATATGCTGTAAGAACACATATATTCACAGGAACAAGCAAACATTTAAAATCCTTCACTATTTAAGTGAAAAATACACACAGAATTATTCTGGCTTCTGAAGTATTGAAAATGTCAGAATGGCTTTCACAGAAAATATTTCAAAAATAAGTTTATAATAAGAACATATAAAATCTGTTAGCACAGGGAAATGTGTCATCCTGTACAGAAACTATTATTTTGATTTTTTAGCTATTTTTTGGTAAATATATTTATGATTCTTTGTTCTATTTGTGTCTAATAATGCCTAAGTATAGTTGACACCAAAAATAAAGTCCAGGTCATGAACTTTAGAATATAATGGGTCATTATTCCAGTAACAACTTTTTTTTTTAAATAAAAAACAAAAAGCAAAATTGCCAAATTCCAAGAAGTCCCCATCTTTTTACAACAAAAAGGATGTGAAAATAAGATGTGGAAAAGCTGTGACCCAAATGCACTCAGAAATCACCTATTGGTTGGGAATTTAATATACAGCATTGTGATTTCAGTTAATGTTTCTGTATTGCTCAGTTATAATTTGCTGAGAGATGGGTCTTAAGTATCCTTATCTCACACACACAAACACACACACACATGCAAATGTTAACTAATTGTAGTGATGGATATGTTAACTAATTTGATTCTGGTAATCATTCCACATTTGATATATGTATATCAAAATATCATGTTGCACACCTTGAATGTATACTAATCTTATTTGTCTAGTATACTTCTATAAAGCTGGAAAAAATAAGTAACTTATTGTATACATATTTATTGCATCCCTGTTATTAATATACAATATAGTAAGTAACTTATTGTATACACATTTATTGCATCCCAATCTGCTGTTATATGTCAGTCACTGTGCTCACCTCTAGGGAAAGTGAAGAAAGAAAAAGGAGAAGAAGAAGAATCTTCCAGATGTGTTTCAGCCACTGCAGAGGAGAATCTTCCAGATGCGTTTCAGCCACTGCATTACAGGTTTGCATCTGTGATTTCATTAAATTGCCACAACTTTTCCAAGAAGCAATACTAGGATTACATATTTTTACTAAATTTTAATAGATGTAGCGATAATAGGATTATATTTTTTAATAAATGTAAAGTCTTAGAACTCTACATTGGGTGTGGTGTTGGTGTCGGGTCAGAGTCTACAACTTACTTTACAAAAATAACAAGTACATCAATGTGGCTGACTGAGCTTGTTCTAGGGGAGTATAGTGGAGAAGAAAAGTTACTCTTTCCAATCCCACTATTACAATTTGGATAGAAAAGTAAATCAGTATAGTTCCTTATCCTTCCCATCATAGCAGGGATGGTTAAAAGGCAGGGATAGAGTCTTAGTGGGTTGGGTGGGGAGTGAGATTTATCTGAAGGAGTCTTAAAAATATATGGCTCTTCTGTGTTCACGTTTCCATTGCTCATTGGCTGTGGTTCTCGAAGTGGGATTTCGGACCCTTAGAGGGTGCTCACAAAGCTTTCAAAGGGTCCATAATAGTAAACAGTGTTCCTAAAAAACACAGGGCATGGTTAAGACGTCGTCATCCTTTTTCACTGTGGATATTTACGGGATGGTACCACAGTAGAAGCCGAGGCCATAGCTCTGAGTGTGCTAACATCTATCGTGTCTTCACCACTTCACACTCCTGGGAAAAAATAAAACTTCAGATTCCCATGAGAATGAATGTCCTGAGGAAGTCACACAACTTAGTCATGTAATTAAATCTTGAGCCTTATTGGCATGTCTCCTTTTCTGAAAGAATGTCAGCCCCTACAGCATGTGATGGTTTTCTTGAGGAGAAGCACCCATGCATTGTTGGAGCTGTGAGCTGAACTAGCTTCTTCCTTTTTAGGGAACACCACTTCTACTTGAAAGAACAACTGACAGAAATGAAGTTTCACCACATTTGGGCATTTGGCAGACTTCCTCAAAAATGAATGAAGTGAGCCAGTCACTTCGGGAAAACAACGGACAGTAGCTATTGCCAGTAGCAAACTCAAGCTTTCAAGGATTAAGTAGAAATTTGGAAAACTTATCTATCAAGCAAAGTTTCACAGTTTCCGAATACTTGAATGTGATATGTCTTATATTAGATAATAAATTATGCCAATGTTTGGAAGATTTATATGTCAGAAAATCAATATTCTCCAAATGACCAATGCATGATGCTATAAAATCATTGGTGAGTAAAATATTTATTCGAAGTGCAAGATAGATTAGTGCCTTTTCATTAAAAAAGAGTACAAAAGTGTATTCATATCGTTTCAGATTACACATCACAAGAAACTTTAAAAATCCATTTGTAAAGCTTTCGGGTCGTATGAAGAACAAAGGATATCCATAGTTATCTGCAAAGGCTTTTTCAACCATTATCCATATCTCTGTGAGGCTTGCCATTTTTTTCATATACCTTAAACAAAACAATGAATTGTGATATATTGAATGAAAAAGCTGACATGAAAATAAAGCTTTATTTTATTAGGTGAGTCATTAAAGAGATAGGCAAAAATATTAAGCAACGCCATTTCTTCTCACCTGCTTTTAGGTTGTGGAAAATATAGTTATTTTAATGAAACTAATATGTTGTCACGTAATGCACATTGTGTTGTCATTTTAATAAACAAACAACTTAAAATTTTTTGGATGATTTAATTTCTAATATGGTAAATATTGATCAATATAACTACAAAATCAAAAGGTCTTTGGAATACCCAATAATTTTTTTAGAACATAAAGATCAACTAGTCTGAAAACTGCAGCTCTGAAGCCGCCCTATAAAGCATGAGACAAGAATGTGCCTTTCTTTATTTGTATAATGGAAATATAAGTACGTTTTGTTTTAAAACATCATTTAAAAGGCATTAAGGAGAAATAAATAAAAATTAAGATAAATGTACTCCCTTCCTCCCATTGTACAGTCAAAGCCTAACTTCCAGGAAACTCACAAGAAGCCAGATTTCCTTCGAGCACCTCCTGAATAAAGAGGCAAAGGCCTTCTTAACTCTTACAATTTACAAGTGGCTATGAGTGCTTTTATAGTTCCCATAATAATTTCTCCACGTAGACTTCCTAAATAATAATTTCTCCTGTTTTATATTCTCTGTGCTTATGTTTATATCAAACAAGTTACCACTTAATCAAATGCCGATTTGCATTGCTCACTATGTAACTTTAATTTTCTTTGCCTCTTATTTTTGGATCTTAATTCTAAAACTAGATGATCATAAATTCATTTAGGAATAAGCTTGTGATCTAGCCTTCTTTTGAACCCCTTTGTGCTCCTCACAATATTTGTTTCGATGAAACAGTGAGCAACATTTGATCTATGATTGTTAATAGAAAAACACCAATGTCTCAAGTTATTGTAAACATAGGCATAATTGACCTTTGGTTCTATAAATATGTTTGGTGTTCCCCAAAATACGTCTCCCTTTTATGTAATATAACTATCATTCCATGTGTTTATAAACTGCCTAGACATCCTAAAGTTATTATTGCTAAATACCTATTTTATCTGAAAATGGATATTTTACTTAAAATGCTGGATTACTTTCAACTAAATAAATTTAATAATTTATTCAGATTATAAATAAATATTTTAGGAAATCAGCCTTTTGTTGTCTATTATAGAACCAGCACATAATTTACTGTTGCTTATATTCTTCAAGTATTTCTATGAAACATCTTAGAAATAAAAACTTGTGATTAAAAATAATTTTATTGTTAGCATGAAATAAACATGCTAATTTTCATGTCAGTATTTTAAATAATGTGTATTTTTCTGAAAAATTACTTTTGGTTACAGATAATTAAATGTAAATAAACCTGGATTACATACCTATTCTGATATATATCTCTCTTAATAATGATGGGGGTGTGTGTGTGTGTGTGTGTGTGTGACATTAAACGATGTGTAAAAATAGGACAGAGATGTAAGGGAAACCTGGATGGCATTTTGATTGTGAAATTTGTTTTTCAAATTTCTTCTAGTTTGCCTTAGTACTAATTGGTCATAATAGTTATCACAGTAATAATATATATTGTCTGTCTGCTATATTATATATAATTCAGTTTTAAATAGTCCAGTATGTTCAGTTCTATACATTTATATGCAGTAAATCACGGTAGTCTATACCTTAAGTATGTATGTTAGTATTTAAAGTGGCCTCATTGGAATACTACAGTTGGAAGGTTATATCCCAGAAATTTGTTATTGTGTGTGCTTCGACTATCTTTATTTTGATCAATATGAGACGGCTTGACAGTTAGTAAAATGGATTTTAAAATGAATCATGGTGTTTAAGATACATGGGTTGACTAGAAATATCTTTTAGGGAACCCAAATCTTTCATCAACTATATAAAAGCTATGACTCTACTGAGCACAAACTCTTACACCACTTAGAGTGGAAACTTGGCTTTGGGATTATTAAAGTCTTTACTATTATTATTATTATTATACTTTAAGTTTTAGGGTACATGTGCACGACGTGCAGGTTTGTTACATATGTATACATGTGCCATGTTGGTGTGCTGCACCCATTAACTCGTCATTTAGCATTAGGTATATCTCCTAATGCTATCCCTCCCCCCTCCCCCCACCCCACAACAGGCCCTGGTGTGTGATGTTCCCCTTCCTGTGTCCATGTGTTCTCATTGTTCAATTCCCACCTATGAGTGAGAACATGCAGTATTTGGTTTTTAGTCCTTGCGATAGTTTGCTGAGAATGATGGTTTCCAGCTTCATCTGTGTCCCTACAAAGGACATGAACTCATCATTTTTTATGGCTGCATAGTATTCCATGGTGTGTATGTGCCACATTTTCTTAATCCAGTCTATCATTGTTGGACATTTGGGTTGGTTCCAAGTGTTTACTATTGTGAACAGTGCTGCAATAAACATACATGTGCATGTGTCTTTATAGCAGCATGATTTATAATCCTTTGGGCATATACCCAGTAATGGGATTATATTAAGCAACTCAACAGAGAATCAAACTTACGTTAAAATGCTAGATAAATCCTGTTGCTAGAATACCATTGTCTCTTTTGAACGTCTCATACAAGGTACTTTGCTAAAATTTAATAGGCTTCCAACTGTCTTATAATGAAGGTGGGATAACAGTTTTCTTGCCTATGAGCTGCTAACAGTTGTATGGGTAGTAGATTTTTTCTGAAATTAGCCTCCGATATAACTTATTATCAGCTATAGATTTTATATGGTAAAAGACCCATAACCTCTCTGATAGGAGGCTATAGATATTTGCCAAAAAGAGTAATTACCGATGGACAAGTCAATTTAGGTCAGTTTGTAATAATATTCTATTTCTTCCAACATAGACTATAAGGCAGTTTATTTGAGCATATAAAAGAAAATGAAAAAGGTAAATAATGAAGCAAAGTCAGTATCTAAAAAATCACTGAGCAACAAAGGACAAAGAAAAAAGTCAAGAAAAGTAATAACATAAAATGCAGTATGTTAATTTGAAATGTCATATAGTTACAGTAATTCATACTGTATAGTGTTTTCCATAGGCTAATCACATGCATTTATTTAACTTCATTTCATTAGTAGACAATATTTTTATTTTAAAACCCCAGGAATTTTTTGGCATTTTCCATGAACACGTTGTTGCACTGGATGAGTAATCAAATCACAATTATATAACTATGCATTTATAAGTAGTCTTTATGCACATTATAATTTCCTCATATATTACTGTGAGGATGAGTTAATTCAGAAGTAAAATAGATAGGCTAAATCACCTATGGCTTTTTAAGTATTATTTGTAGAAATAACATCTAATTAACTCAATATTTAACCCCAAAAATGTTTTCCTTAGAAAGGTGGTGAATTGTTATTTAGGTAATTATACATTTATCGTCTGTGAAATCAGTAATTAAATGGTAACTAAAATGTACTTACATGTTTACACACCATAAAATTACGGTATTTTTAACATACAGTAATTAATTTATATTTAACATACACTTGTGTATGCTTGATTAAATGTCAATTAGGTACATATTTGTGAAAAATTAACCAGTACTAATTTATGAAAATATTAAGGTAAAGCTAACCATTTTTTCCTTTAAAAATTTTCTTTATGTTGGACTAAATGTCACTCTCAATTCATTTTTTGGTTACATTTCTCTGCATGATTTTTTTCTATTAAAAACCTTTGACTGTAACTCATTACATAATTCACAACGAATGTGCTTAACTTCAACCGGTGAAATAAAATGAAAAGAAAAACAAACATAAGGTTTCTAGTTAATATAGATTATTTTATGAGATGAAATAGTAAAGACATTATGCTTTTTTCTATTTCTTGTATCTGTCACTATATTTTTCCCCTCATTATTTTCTCTATATTTTCTGACATCTTAATAATCAAGTTTGGCTCTATGGAAATTTTTCTTAAATGTATTTTGCACAAAGTTTAAGTAAAATGTAGTTTCATAAAAGTTCATAATTATAATATCACTATTTTAATCATGTGTATTGTTCTTAAAAATTACTACTGGTTACAGATAGTTAAATATGAATAAGCCTGAATTATGTAAACTGTTCTTAATGAAATATAACTCTCTTAATAATAATGTGTGTGAGTGTATATGGCATTAAAAGACCCATAAAAATAGGACAGAGACATAAGGTAACCCTTGATGGCATTTTGATTGTGAAAGTACTTCTCATTTGCCTTAGTACTAATTGGTCTCTATCGAAGATTTTCCCATTACAAATTATATGCTTCTCCATGGCAGGTTATAGCTATCAATTAATTATGACAATGACATTTTCATAGGAAGAACCCATTAGCCCACATGTTTAGAAAAGTTACACATTTCAAAATGGAGATCAGAATTCTAAGGGTTTTGAAAGACAGGTGTAAACACACATGCACACTCATATACTCATGTATATGCAACACACAGATACACACACGCTTTTGGATAACATAGCATCTTACAGATAATACTTCCATGTCCCCACAAAGTTTAGCAAGTACTATTGTATTTGAACCTTTGTATGGGCTTCAACCATCATTTTTCCATTTGCTGTAAATAAGTAAAATTGCTTGTGGACATGAGAAAATTGCTTGATGGGTTATTATTTGTTGTTAGGAAACTGTTCTATAGTGATAGCTATATAGATGGTCTAAGTGTCTTGTGATAACTGGATACTTAAGCTAACATGTAGTTTTATTAAATAATATTGCATTATTATCTATTGTAAAGTTCTATTTTTTAGCACATTGTTGTCATATCAATATGCTACTACATTCACAAAAAATTAGCATATGTGGTGAAACAAGTTATTGACATATAGACAAGCAGCTATTAAGGCATTTTTGGTTTAATTATCAACTGTTTATTTTAGTTATAATGATAGAGAAATTGCTTGGAATCATGTGTACATTTGTAGCTAGGAAATAAATGTAAACAAAGTGCATTGAGATCCAATCTGCTATGAGGGGCCATTGCAACAGTTTCACTGACTGTCCATAGTTTTTACCCGAATGAGGAGCCCCAGTGTTCAAATTGAAAAGATGTCTAAGGACTAATCAGGATGTTCTCTAAGAGGGCATACCATATGATGGACCAACACAAAGCATGACAATGACTGACTGATTAGTGCCACTGACTTAAAGGGTACCAGTACAGAGGACCATATCCAACCTGGGTAAAACCATTGTGTATCATCACAATTGGCTCTCAGTGACTCATTCTCTGAGAACATAAAAGCATTCCAACATGGAGCAACATCAGACACAGGAGTTTCTCACTATTATTCACTCAATTATCCAATTCTTCCAAAAACATCTCACTAAGGAAGATGCTCACCAACCCTTGTTTATTACATTTCCCCAATTGCTTAATAGGAAGCATCATAGAGAGGCACATATAAAAATAATTATCTTTTTGTTTTCAGAAGCCATTGACCAGAAGTGCTGGTGAATTATCCCAAATTTACTCCTATCTTTGATTCATTTCTAGGCTTATACTCTTGTACCAAATACTTCCCATCCTCCAGTATATGCAAATGCATGCATTTGAAAGAACGTGTCTCTAAAGTCAGATTCAAACAGTAGTTATGGAAACAAGTCAACTATATTCTAACATTTATAATGAAGACTCTGTCTCTTAATGCTCTGTAGTAACAAAGCGTGTCAAATATTCCCAGACTAAAATAATATATTTAATTGTCAGAAAATTGAAAGCTGTAGAATGTGAGTTGGTGGTATGGTATGGCTCTGTGTCCCCACACAATCTCATTTTGAATTGTAATCACCATGTGTCAAGGGAGAAGCCTGATGGGAGGTGATTGGATTATGGAGGACTTTTCCCCCATGCTGTTCTCATGACAGGGAGTGAGTCTCAGGAGATCTGATAGTTTTATAAGCATCTGGCCTTTCTCTTGCTTGCACTCCATCTCTCCTGCTTTTCTTCTGTTATGATTCTAAGTTTCCCGAGGCCTCTCCAGCACTGCAGAACTGTGAGTCAATCAAAGCTCTCTTTCATAAATTACCCAGTCTCGTGTATTTCTGTATAGCCATGTGAAATTAGATTAATGCAGTTGAGATGTATAATATTTAAGATATGCACTTGGTATTATATAATGGAAAATATCTTATGTTTTAGTGAAAAGGGAATATGGAAGATACTCAGTAACATTTTCCTGAAAATCTTAATGAAGTTTTAGTTTTTGCTTAGGAAATATATCATGCTGATATTTGCATACTTTATATACCTATATATATATATACACATATATATTTCCAGCCATCTACATATTTAACATATAATGATACTTTTTAATTTATCAGATGCTCTCAAATATACAAATGAGTTGCTCAACTGTGTCAGCTTTTGAGTTATTTAAAAAGTACTCACAGTCTTAAGTACCTTCTTATTTATAATTGTATCTTTGCTCTAAGCACTTCTTATGTAGGATAAACTTTTTAGTAGATGTTTCTGCCCTTTGTTTAATAGCTTATATTAATATTTTTAGTTTATGATAGTAGTTAGCTGCTCTTCATTTAACTTTCTTATATTTTAGTTGATAAAGCTGCTATCCCCATAAAAATCACATATTCAAAATTGTAACACAACAGGAAATTTAGGAAATCACTAAGATTAAAAAAAGTTAGAGATAAATTAATTTAACTACAGCAGAAATATATTGGCAAGTCATCACCAACCTGTGTAAATATATCACTGGGCAGGAAGAAGGCAGAACAAATAATTGTTTCCCAAAATATCAATGCAAAGGAGCTGTTGAAAGACGTGCTGCAACTTTGGTACCATAATCAGGGGGAGCATGGAAAGGATCTCCCAAGTCAGACTCACCTCTATTCCTCTTCTCCGTCTTTAACCAAGCATAGATTTGCCATTGAATACAGCCTTTAGTTTGAAGAAATATAAATAACAAACATGAAAAGGATTAACTGCAAGGACTCATGAGAGCCTGGAATATCAATTAAAGAGATAGGAATAGAGACAGGAAAAGTTCTGGATGTACTAATTCTAAAGATTATAGCTTTTCATGTTTTCGTAGATCAATGAAAGCAAAGGAGAGTGGCACTGTATTGCAAATTCTCATAGTCACATGGAATTCTTAATGGTCAAAGGAAAAAGAAATAGTATAAAAATTATTAACCCATCTCTATTAATCATGATACAGTAAAAAACAAACCCACATTCTCATAGACATAATACAATAAAAGTTTATTTCCCATGTACACAGAACTGCTGTGGGTCTCAGACCATATGGCAAAGCAGCTGTTCTCCGCAAGCCAGATACCTCTAATTTTGTTTGACCAAACCAATTTATCACAACTCTGCTTACCATATCATTGCAACAAGGGTACAGAGAGAAACCGGTAAACCCTCCATGGGTTTTCCACTGCCAAAGACAAGATTTCTTTCCTAGTAACAGGGGTAAATATAGATATACATTTGCTTACAAGGAGAAGCAGACATTAGTAAATACTGCTAATGTCTACCAAACAACTTGGTAAGTATCTGCTTGATGTGTGGTAAATTTGGTCCAGAATTTTTAAACAACTTACTTTCTGAATGAGATTTTCTTAACCTTTCAAAAAACACACAAACAAAAAAACCCCAACAATTAATATAAACACTTATTTGGACATCACGGGTACCTCCCACCATGATAAAGTATTTTTAAATTTTATTCAGTACATAAAAGAATGAAAATAAATTTCAAAAATGGCAAAGTAAGACATTTTGAGTGAACCAGCTATAAAAAAAGAGAGCAAAGAGGTTCGGTGAAGAAATGGAAAGATAACCAAAGGAGATGGAATGTGAACGTATAGCGCTTATATAAGAAGACTAAGAAAGAAATAACACTATCAGGAGTATGATAACCATATTAAAAGCACCTTAAGTATAATAAAATGGAATTTAGAAAAAAGGGATAAAATGAGGAATGAAATAAAATAAGTGGAAACAAAGGATTAGAAGAAATAGTGAAATATTTATTATTGAAGAAACTAACAAATAAAATGCAGCTTAGCTGCCAGTGTTTCTGGAAAAAGAAATGAAGTGATGTAGTAGAAAACATATTTAACTGTAAAAAATCCAGGGGCCTCCCTCAGAGTGGCCCCCAATGACAGCCGCAGTTGAGATCTCAACACACTGCCAGCCAGCACTAATCAGCCGTGTCGGGGAGCTGCCTTGGAAATGAAAATGCCGGTCCCTGCCAAGCCACCCCAGTCGATGCCTTGTGGAACAGAGATGAGCCATTCCTGCCAAGCCCTACACAAAGTACAGATTTGGGGACACAAAAAATAATTATTATTTTAAGTCACTAAATGTTGGGGTGGTCTGTTATACCACAGTAGATAACCATATCTTTGGCATTATTTATTAAAACAAATAGGAAACCTTTCAGTAAAATGTGCTTTAAAACTGGATTACTCATACCAGATATCCATTCACTGGCACCTGCTGCTTGAAGACATGAAGAAAGAGACCATCTTCAGTGGGCCAAGGCGGGAGATCATTCTGCAGCTTTATAGGTATGAAGACTAGAGAAATGCGACTTGGATATATGTATTGTTGAAATGACTGATCCGTTTATATAGCTAACCAATTAAATAATTGTATTTCTTTTTAGGAATGCTATTCTGGATAATGACTGGAACATTTCAAACACAGTAGGTCCAAATGAAGATGCCGTGGAAGTAAGAGATAAGCAGTAGAATATATGTTGAGAATATCATCTTGTGAGTGCTTTAAGCAGAGAATATGTTACACTAAAATGTTCTTATTACTATTGCTATACATTTGTCTCTGTAAATTTGATTTATCAATGAAAAGGCCTATTTATCAGACAGTAATACAATGTAAATGTAACAATTAAATTACATAATGGAAGTATTTCCCAGGAGAAATATTTTGGCTTCGTTTACGGAAAAAAAAACCCAACTTATATAAGTTAAAAATATAAGCTAATGGGAAAGCTGCATTTGAAAGAACATTGTGAATTATTTCATAATTGTACATGCATTTGACAGTTACACTAGGCAAAGTAATAATATGGTTCTCTTAAAAGTCAGAACTCTGTCAAAATCTGTTTCTGGGGAAATTATTAGATTTAATAGGTAATTCATCTGCTTATATTTTCACATTGCTTAGTGATTTCTAACATATCTTGCAAGCAATCATACTCAAGGCTTTCTTGGTATTTTAATGAATACAAATTATCGCATTGAATCTCAAAAATTAAATCAAGCAGAATCCCATATTTCACTTGACATACAGACAGAAATATTGAGAAATCTGATGTTTGATCTCCTGTCATTTCTCTTAAGGGTACCCCTTCCAAAACTCTTTGTTGTTGTTTTCAGCTATATGTAAAAACTTTCACAGAAAAAATAGTTTTTGAACTGTTGAAAAACATCCAGTTTGTAGTTGTTAATACTTCTTTCCTGTATGTGGAAAAACAAACAAACAAACAAAATGGGTCTGAATCCAATTCATATGTAAATTGTGAATTACTACATCAGGCAAGTACATTAACTTTTAAATTTTTGATTCAGTACATTGTTGACTCCGACGTATTGCTGCGCCCACAAAATAATGAAACTACAATTTAATTTCTCTTGCCTTGATATTTGGCATGTGTATATTAATTATCCTCATTTTTCAGATTATGTAACAGATTTATTTATAAGTTTATTTGTGGAAAGAAGCCAAATAAATGTTTAAAAAGCATTTTCATCATAATTTCTAATAATTCAGAAGCCATTAAACATAATACCAATGCAATCCAATTTCCTCAGCATTATTCTAATATTTGTGTTTATAACAAATTAGAGTCACACTTGCATAAAATTTTAGAGTTGGAAGGAACCTCGGAGAGCAGTTCATTAAATTCCTAGTTTCACTGAGAAAGAGATTCAGAGAAGTTACAGAGACTTGACCAAAATTACTGAGAGAGTTAATTGTAAAGTTCCCACTTGAACCTATTTTTCCCAATTTCTGTTCCGGTACCATTTCCATTGACACAGAGCATATATCCCAAATTTCATGAATATACCTGAGAACATCTCAACATAAAAGTGGCAAGTAGCAAAATTGTTAAAAGTTGAAATTCCAAAACTATATATAATTTTATGGAAGAAAACGTTAGAAATATTACTTCCCCTTGTCAAAAAATTTGCTAATGTATGATTTTTGTTTTTTGTAAATCCTTTACCAGTGTTTATATGCATCACCTATAATTTTTTCTTTATTATTAATATAAAATATTTAATACATACCAAACCCAATATGTTATGTATTTTTATAAAGAAAAATAACGTATAAAAACTAAATCTGTTACATCACCAAAGAAACTGAATGTAGTAATAATTGGCACTAACTTTTCTACCTCGTCCTCACCCCATCTCCTGCCTCTCACTCATAAGTCACTACTATCTTGGGTCTTGTATTTAGCTTTCTCTTGTCTTGGTAAATTATTTTATCACATACATATGCATTGCTAGGAAACATATTTGTAAGTTTTATTTAGTTTTAAGCTTTACAAAAGTAGCCTTATTCTGCATGCAGTCCTCTGGGAATCACTTTCTCTCAACTTCAGGTTTCTAACCTTTATCTGGGATGATCCATGTAGATTTAGTCCATTCATTTTTACTGTTGCAAACGGTTCTCTTTTTGGTAGTATAAAGCAAATAATTCATCCCTTCTCTGAGGAAATAATGTTTTCTGAAATATCTTGAACATGACTCCTGAAGCACATCTGCAGACATTTCTCCAAGTTATAACTGATTCAGGACAACCGAGCCTCCAAACTGGGGTTTCGCCCAGGGAGGTTCCTGGCTTCACCTGGGAAAGAATTCAAGGTCAAGTGCGTGTTGTTAGACAGCAATCTCTCACTGAGTCGTGATGCTCCTTTCGGAGCAGGTCTAACTCACAGGCAGTGCTCCCAGAATCCCCAAAGGATGGGCTCTTGGCCACTGTACTTATTTCCACTTATACCCTCCTTCAATTACCTGCAAAATTAAGGGTCAGGCTAATACAAATTGAGGCTCAAGTTATTTAGAACTTTGTAGGGAAAGGGCGGCAATTTCCAGCTGGTTGCCATGGAGAGGGGCAGCAAACTCCTAGATATTGCCATAGCACTTGTAAATTGTCATGACGCTGGTGGGAGTGTCTTATGCTAATGAGCAATGAGGGCCGCTAGGGATTGCTTTGGTTACCATCTGCTGGTTCCTGCAAGTTTCTTCACTTCATAACTATGCATGGAATTTCTGGGTTGTATGCTGTACAAATGCCAAATTGTTTTCCAAGTTGGTTCTACCATTATCTTCCCGCAGAAATGTATACGAGTTCCTGTTGATCCATATCTTATCCAATAGTTCATATTGTTATGCTCTTTTATTCCCTTATTTCACAAGTGTAAAATGATTTCTCATTGTGGTTGTAACCTCCGTTTTTGGAATTTGTTGACGTTGAACATACATGTGTCCTCTTCTGTGAAGTTACTATTCAAAATTTCTTTTGAATAAGTGTCTCTGACTTGATAATTTATATTTTGTGTTTCAGTACTTGTCTGTTGTGTATGTTGTGAATATCTTCTAGATTTTGATTCATCTTCACTTTTTAAACTCTCCTTTATTGAACAGAACTTCTAAATTTAAAGGTAGTTGAGTGTTTCAATCTGTTATTTTAATTAGCACATTGGGTCTGTTAAGAAAATACTTTCCTATTAAAAGGTCAGAAAAATATTGTTTTATTTTCTAAAAGAGGTGTGTGTGTGTCTGTGTGTTGTGAAGCAGAAGTCTGATATCAGGTTTTATGGATCAAAAATATATATTATGTTTTTGTTTGTTTATGCATCAAAAATATATATTTGTTTATGCATCAAAATATATATATTATGCATCAAAAACATTTTGTTTATGCATCAAAAAAATATATTAATAGTTTATTAAACAGGTCCCACCAGGCCTGCTTTGTCATATATTGAAACTCCATAAGTATGTTCTGAGGCTTCTATCCTCTCCCTTAATTTTCATTGTTTTATTTTAAATTTTGATTATTTATGGATTATATCTAAGCCTCCACTTCTTTAGTTTCTTGGCTGGTCTTTCTTTTATATACATTTGAGATTTAGCTTGACCAGATCCATGAAAAAAAAAACTGTTGGTATTTGGACTTTCATAGAATATATCTCAACTTTGGGAGAATTGACATCTTTGGAACGCTATTTCTTTCCAACCAAGAGCATGGTATTTACTCTGTATGTTTACGGTCTTTTTAATGTAGAGTTTCAGCATTTTTTCCACGTATGTTTTGTACGCATTTTGTAAGATGTATTTTTAGTTGGTTTGTTGTTTATATTGATAGTGTACATAATAGGTTTTTGCTGTTTGTTTCTGACTGCTTTATTGAGATGTGATTGATGAAATGTGTTTTTAAACGCAATTTTAAAATTTTGGCTTTGGTATACATACTAAAAATATGCCAATTTTTTTCCAGTGAGCTTATACCTGTATAACATGCTACTCTCATATTATTGTGAGTAGTCTGCCTGTAATATTTCTTTTTAATTTCAAGGTAGATAATATAATTATAGTTACTTCTTCCGAATTCTTATGTTTTTATTCCTTTTTTTCTTTCCCTGCATTGTTTCCATGATCTAGTACATAGTTGAAGAGAATCTAAGAAAGCAAGCATCTTTGTGTTGCTCCTGATTTTAAAGATAATAGCTTCCAATTAATCCTTATTACAAGATATGTATGTTTATTTTTATTTGTCCCAAGTACATAGTACCATTTATATCTATAGATTTATGTTTTAATGAGATTTGGAATATTTTCAGCCATCATATCTTCAAATATTATCTCTCACTTATTTTCTCTACTGTCTCTAATTGTTGTGTATGTGATCTTCTCATTCTATCTTTAATACATTTTTATGATTATTTCATATTTTTGTCGTACCTCTTAATATTTCACTTTATCTTATATTATTTACTAGATTGTATTTTCCATTTCTCTGTTTCTTTTCAACTCCGTTTAATATATTGGTAAACTTTATGTCGACTTTCAAATTTAAATAATTAAATATACCTATATAATTAATGTTATATGATATATATTTAGACATACAGCCTAGAAGTTTTGTTTTCAAATTTCTGCATTTATCCCTGATAATGTGTTACTGCTGATCAGTCTTTGAAATTGTGTCTTTTTTAAATAAAATATTTATATATAATTATTCCATACTTTGTATTGAAAAATTCTAATATTTTTTGTCTTTGGGCACATTAAAACTTGTATGTATGCATATTCACTTATTTGTCATTGCTGATTTTCAATCTCAGTGGTCCAAACTCTCATATATTTGTGTTTATTGATTGAAAACTCATTGTTTGCTCTTAAATAGGAGTTGTGTGATGCTAAGTTGTGACACTCTGTTACAGAAAAGATTTGTTTCAATCAGTAGCCATGGGATGCCACTATCTCTGACTTGTCCAGCTCTACGTCTTTTAAGTATTTCAGTTCAGAGTTCACATCCTAGAGTGACATTCCTATGCCTCTAGTGATCCAAGTCTCCCTGTTTCCTTCACAGGGCTACTGGATGGTGACTTGATTGCACAATTTATTTGTGCACAATCTTCCTTTAATTCTTCATTGTGCTTTATCAATATATTAAGATACTGAGTCTGTAGTTCACACTTTTATTTTTATTTATTTATTTATTTATTATTTTATTTCAGTAGGTTTTTGGGGAGCAGGTGGTGTTTGGTTACATGAATAAGTTGTTTAGTGGTGATTTTTGAGATTTTGATGCACCCATCACCCGAGCAGTGTACACTGTACCCAATGTGTAGTCTTTTATCCCTCACCCCCCTCACCCTTTCCAAAAGACTTTCCCCAAAGTCCATTGTATCATTCTTACGCCTTTGCATCTTCATAGGTTAACTTAACTTCCACTTATGGGTGAGAACATAGGATGTTTGGTTTCCCATTCCCGAGTTACTTCACTAAGAATAATGGCCTCCAATTCCATCCAGGTTGCTGCAAATGTCTTTATTTTGTTCCTCTTTATGGCTGAGTAGTAATCTATGATATATATACATATATATGATATATATACCACAATTTGTTTATCCACCCATTGATTGATTGGCATTTGGACTGGTTCTATATTTCTGCAATTGTAAATTGTAAATTGTGCTGCTGTAGTTCACACTTTTACATAGAGAACTTGCTTCACTAGTTAGAATTGATTATAAAATGCTATTTTAAAACTACATTAAAGCAGATTATCAATCTACATATAGGGAAGGAGATTTTATTGCTAAGATATTTACAAAGGTAATGAAAATATAGTACTTTTGTCATATGTGTTCCTATATCCTTTAAAACTCCAAGCAGAGGCCTATAGATACATGGACAGAAAAATAGAAGGTCAAAATAGTGGGTGAGCAATTAAATATGCTCATGGTTAACAACTATAGCATATAATTGGAAATATTTAAAGCTATATTGCTGGTGTTATTTACATCCATGGCCAATGCAATGTCATGTTTGCATTTCTGTGTTTTCCGTAAGTTCAAATAAAATACTGTTTTCCACAATTTGCTGTCAATATAGAAAATAAATATAAGTGTTTGCATATTGCTTTTCTTTCTGTTGCTGACACAATGCTTCCTGCCCCCCAAAAGTTTAGATGTAATTATATCACTTAGGCAGACAAATATCCTTTGTTTAGCTTTTTGAGTATTTATAGAGAATTTGGGTTGATAAGATGTCTTGGGTGTATCCAGTCTGCACATCTGGCCCTTGACAGAATGAGGTTATGTACTAATGGAAGCATATCCTGGAGTTAACAATAATCATATAGAATCCAATGGATAACATATAACATTGTCTTGATAACGAGTTTCCTATTGATATATCGGTTAACAAATTTACGTTGTTTATTGAACAGATAATATGCATTTTTTACTAATATATTATAAATCTTCCCCTAATAGATTTATAAGAAATAATTCAGTGAAAATATATTTGTTTTAAGGGAAAACCTTTTGTTTTTGAAGTGAATTTTTCTGTAATTAGATTACAACATGACTACAATTTAGTTTCCATATATTTAATAAAGAATATTATATATTTATATTTATATACTGAAAATATACTCTTAAAAATCGAGTCATTTCTGAAGAAAACAAGTCCTGATACCTTATTAAAATATATCATTTTATCTATTATGTGCTGTAAGGAACTGAACCAAAAATCCGTATGAACTTTGCATTGTCCTCCATACTAATTTTAAGCTAATATTGCAGAACTAATGACAGCCTTGAGAAATGTTATTATCAATTCCAGCTGTCTCTTGCATCAAGAAACCCTGAATTACAGCAACATCTTTGGAAATGAAGCTCTTAATAAAATCCTTTACAGACAAGCTCCTGTTTTAATATTTTGCAGACTCCTTTTTATTGTGGCTATCTTCTTTCATCACAGGAAAAAACTTATGACAACCCCGGTTATTTTACGTTTTTATTTTTTAAATCATTTAGTCTAGCTGAATGATGTTACTGAACAGCTTACCCACAATCTGATGATTTGGAATATTTCCAAACTGATGTTGGTATATTTGATAATGTTACTCAATCAGTCTTTCTTGTGGTCTGAAAACTGTATGATTTCTCTTCTGGATTCTCTACTTTCTTAAACATAAAACCACAGCTCTTCTGGGTTATATGTATCTAATCAAATTAGAATTAAAAAAAAAAAGTCTTATTCCACAAAGTAACAAGTTCTTCCCAGATTCTTCAGATGAAAAATACTCCATTGCCATGCATCTACTGTAACACTTACTACCTAATATGATTTACAGTAAAATTATTTACACACATACTCTTCTCCTTATATCTACATGACATTATTGAAGGTATTCCACATATACAGTCAGATGTGAAGAAACACCAATTTAGATAGACTTTGAACATTTGTTATTATTTTTTTTAGTTAGTCTTTCAAAAATCTTCTTTAGATACATACTATGTTTCAACCTGCATCTTCCTTTTGAAGATAAGGAAAAGAAGATATTGTTTGCAAATTTTTGATATCCACAGTGTCATGCATAGAATGGATCATGGACTGACAAATAATCAAGCACACACTAATTTCAATGACTTCAGTGCAGGTGCATACTTATCTAAAAAATGAACTGAGTGGACAGAGAAGAAAGCCTTCAACTCTACATTCTGGTGAAAGAAGCTATGCTAAATAAATGTCATTTAACTAAATTTAAAATGATGGGGAACTGCTCACCTCAATGAGGAGATGTGTGTAAGTCAGAATTATAAATACAGTCTCTGATGGGCAAAGGAAGGGAGAGAAGAAGGATCTTGTTTTGGCTGACTATATGCAAGTAATTTGTAATGCCTGCAGTTCAACTTAACTGCAAGTAATAAAAAGACAACTATTATACGATGAAACTAGAAAACTTGGCAAAAACCAAATTGGAAAGGATTTCTGGATAACATTCTAGGATTGATGGTATTAGAGAGCCATTGAAGAATTCTGTGCAATTGCGACATGAGAAAACCGTTTAATTTTAGAACAGTCATTTTGATGCAACATTTTATATTCATTAGATGTGAGTAAGAATGTATGTAGAAGATCCCAGGCTGAAGGTTAGAGATGATTAACAACAATGCTAATATTTACTGAACATTTATAATATTGCAAGCATTATTCTAATTTCTTTAAATACATTAGCCCATTTAATCATTCATGAGTTAGTTATTACTAACTGCATTTTATGTATAAGAAAACCAAGTTACAGAATATTAAATAGCTTGCTCATAGTTGCAAAATTTCACATGGTAGAGTGGAAATTAACGTCTATCAGTATACTGGGAAGTGCTTAATTTTGCTCTACCAACTTATTGCAGATAAGCATTAAACTCTTCTTGTTTGTGTTAACTGATCCCTTCACGCTCTTTTTCTAACTAGGCAATCACTCTGTACTTCCATACATGCCTTATTGATTTCTGTTTTTGTGATTTCACATAGGCAATTGGCATATGGGCAATTCTTCCTTCATCCTGTAGAATCTTTCAGAACCCTGCTTGAAATTCTCACTTAAATTCTACTTCTAAATTTTCCCTAGTATTTCAGTCACATGGAATATATTACTTTTATGTGATTGAGTTGCCCCCATTTATATTTTTTTAATTTAATCTTTCATAAGATTTCTTACTGGTAAGAAAATCACATCAGTTTGTAAATTTTGTATTTCCCTAAGGCCCACACAGGTCAGAGTCCTGAATACAGCTGTGTTTAATAAATCCTATTTACTGATCTATTAGCAGCTCATGATTCAAAAAATATTTCCTAAGTCCTTCTTTACTGGAAACCTCAATGGTTGCTGGAAATAATGAGAAGATATTGGAAAGAATCACAGAGCTATATTGTACTTGTCTGTCTTCCTCATGGAGCATGACCAGAATACAAATCCTGAAGAATGCAGGAGACCTCTGTAACTGGAGCTTGTGATAAGGGGAGGAAGGGCTTGCAGAAGAAAAGGAATTCCCTCTAGTGGCTTGATGGAGCACCAGCAGTTTCCACCATATTCAGTAAATGCAGAGAAGAAAATCCAGAACTTGACAAAATGACTGAATAAGGACAAAACTAACTGTTCATGAGGCAAAAAATGGTAAGAAGGGAGCTGATGCCTCTTATCTTTTGGAGAAAGTCAGTGGACTTCCTAGGTTCTTTCTTTCTTTTGTATACTCTGCCTTTCCTCTACCATTTTTTCTCTCATTTCCTTAAGGTCTACTTTCTATCTCTTAGTATTTATTAACTTTGCACTCCCTTGTCTGCAAACAATAGCAACAACAAAGAACTACCTGCCTTCAGCAGGATAATTAAATTGCCTTCTTTCCTTTGGTCTCTAGGCTTCAGCTTTCTGTCCCTCTGTAAGATCTTCACATCTAAATATCTCCTAATTGAGGGTTGGCCATTTGCCTCCCTCTCTACCTGTCACGGCTTCCATTTTTCCTTTATTCTTCACTCACCTTCTATCATATTGAATTTCAGTCACTATTTATATTTTTATATTAAGTATTTTTTCCTCCATGCTATATAAAAAGCATAACAATACAACAAACAAACTTGGAGTTCTGACACTAACTTCAAGACTCAATACTTATAATAAAGGGACAATAATCAAGAGAGTGTAGTATTGGTGAAAGAATGTACAAATAGATCAATGGAACAGAATAGAGAGGCCAGAAACAGACACACAAAAATATAGTCAATACATCTCTGACAAAATAAAGACAATACCATGCAGTAAAGATAGATGTCAACAAATGGATCTGCAGCAGCTGTACGTCCACATGCAAAAAGCAACAACAACAACAAAGAAAAAACAAATAAAAAGAATCTAAGTCAAGACTTTACATGCTTCACAAGAATTAACTCAAAATCGGCCATAAAATGCAAAAGATGAAACTCCCATTCCTCAAGGATCTAGAACTAGAAATACCATTTGGCCCAGCAATCCCATTATAAAACCCCAAAGGATTATAAATCATTCTACTATAAAGACACATGCACATGTATGTTTATTGTGGCACTGTTCACAATAGCAAAGACTTGAAACCAACCCAAATGCCCATCAGTGATAGACTGGATTTAGAAAATATGGCACATATACACCATGGAATACTATGCAGTCATAAAAAAGGATGAGTTCATGTCTTTTGCAGAGACATGGATGACTCTGGAAACCATCGTTCTCAGCGAAGTAACACAAGGACAGAAAACCAAACACCGAATGTTCTCACTCAAAAGTAGGAGTTGAACAATGAGAACCCATGGACACAGGGAGGGGAACATCACACACCAGGGCCTGTCCAGGGGTGGGAGGGTAGGAGAGGGATAGCATTAGGAGAAACACCTAATATAGGTAACGGGTTGATGGGTGCAGCAAACCACCATGGCACGTGTATATCTATGTAACAAACCTGCTTGTTCTGCACAGGTACCCCAGAACTTAAAGTATAATTTTAAAAAATAAATGAAAAAAAATCACATGTACGACATATATACACACAACCAATATGTACCCATAATAATACATTTTAAAAATTAAATTAAAAATAAAACATAAGTGGGAATAAAAAAAATACTCCTAGAGGATAACATACTATTAAAACTAGATAACCTTTGGTGATGATTATTTAGACACAACATAAAGTAATTGGTGAAAGAAATAATTGATAAGTTGGACTTCATTAAAATTAAAATCTGCTCTGCAAAAGACAATTCCAGATGAATGAGACAATAAGCCACAGACCAGGATAAATTATTTGCAAAGGACACATATGATAAAGGACTATAATCCAAAATATACAAAGAACTCTTAAACCTCAACAATAAGAGAACAAACAACCCAATTAAAAAATGAGCCTAAGTCCTTAACAGACACCTTACAAAGAAGATATACAGATGGCAAATAAGCATATGAAAAGTTGCTCCACATCATACGTCATCAAGGAAATGCAAACTAAAATGAGATAGAACCGCACACCTACTAAAATAGCCAAAATCCAGAATACTATCAACATCTAATGCCAAGGACGATGGAGAGCAGTGCATTCACTGCTGGTGGGAATACAAACTGATGCAGTGTGGCACTTTCTTACAAAACTAAACATCCTCCTTCCATACCATCCAGCAGTGATGCTTTTTGCCATCTACTTACAGCAGCTGAAAATTTATGCCCATGTAAAAGCCTGCACATGGATGTTTATAGCAGCTTTATGCATCATTGTCAAAAGCTGAAAGAAATCAAGATGTCCCTCAGCAGATGAATGGATGAGTAAATGGTGGTAAGTCAGGACAACGGAATAGTATTTAGTACTAAAAAGAAATGAACTATCGAATGTTGAAAAGACACGGAGGAGCCTTAAATACATATTATTAAGTGAAAAAAAGACAATTCTTAAAAGGCTATATATGATTCCAACCATAAGACGTTCTAGAAAAGGCAAAACAACAGAGGTTCGCAAAAAGATCTGTGGCTGTCAGGAGCTGGGTGAAGGAAGGATGAATAGGTGGAACACACGGGATTTTCAGGGCAGTGAAAACTGCATGAGAGGAATGGTGGATATAGATAGGTGCCATTATACATTTGTCAAAACCTACAGAATATACGTCGAGTGAATCCTAATGTACTCTTAATTTTGAGTGATTATGATATGTCAATTAGGTTCATCAATTGTAACAAATGAACCACTCCAGTAGGGATTTCAATAACGGGGAAAACTACTCATGTGTTTAGGCAGAGGGCATATGGGAAATCTCTGTATCTTCTGCTCAGTTGTGTTGTGAACCTAAAGCTGTTTTAAAAAATAAATCCTAGAAAAAATATAATTACAACTAACCCAAAGAACACTTACTATGCACCAGGCTTTCTATTCTATTACACACACACACACACGCAATTATTCAATATATGAGCATTTAATATTAAAATGATATATAAATTGATTTACTATTTACTCAACTAATCTTCAGCACAAACTATATAGTAGTCTTTTTTATAATCATCATTTTAAAATAGAAGAAACCAAGAATACAAAGTTAAGTAACTTGCCCATGACACAAATCTACTAAAGGGAGAGCTGGGTTTCGAACCTGGCACCTGCGTCAGGAAGTCAGGCTGCCATCCTGAGTCTGTTAGTCTGGGTTGGATGCCTGTAGTGAATAATCTTACAGGAGCATATACATGCTCTTTGCAGTTTTCTTTAAATGTGTATTTCTTCCAATAATAACGTGCTCAGCGCTTGTTTTCTCTGCTGGGCTGGAGGCTCCCTGAGGGCAGGGAAAGCATCTGCTTACTTTCCCCTGTGTCCTACCCCTGGCGCAGAGTGGGTGTCAATCAGTGCTTGTTCTCAGACTCCTAGGAGAGCAAGCCAATTAGAGAAACTCACAGCAAGAAAAATGCCAACTGCTGGAAGTGTTGACAGCAAATGATTTTCTGCTTTGTTGAAAGCAGAATAGAAAACTGTCACATGTGACTCAATATAAAGTGGTATTTTCTTGAAGTTATACCTCAGAAAGGGTATCACCTTGTATTTAAGACCACACAAAGTATCTCACATTACAGGGCACTTTTGAAATGATTTAATTTCCAACCACAAAGTACTGTTTGGGGGAAGATATGTAACCTGAAACAACTTCAATTAATGATAGCTTGAATGCTTATAAAAGCCACCTGAAGTAATAGTAGAAAAAGAGACAAAGAAATTGAATACACGTTTATGAATTATTTAGAGGGAATGACCTCACAAGTTCAATTGTTGGATGTCATTACAAACAAGTATTTTATTATATGTTAAAAGTAATACAGTAAATAGTTTACCCACATCATGAAGCAGATGAACTTATATTCATAAAGCAAATTAAACTAATAAAGTTCTTAAGGTGACATGAAGGGATACTTGTGGTTTGAGATTCAGTTTCCAGTAATGGCATCTTATACGGATCCCCAAATGTGCTACATGACACACAGCTTGGATGGAAGTAGCTAATATTTAAAATGTGAGCATAGAGTTTGAATTAAATTTTTAAATTAAGAAGTTATGAAAATATAATAGCTCTGTATTGATAGTTTATGATACCTATGTAAAATTTGGTTGTATATACAAATGTAATCAAATAATTCGATATATTATTAATTATATAAATATTAGATGCATTTATAATGATAGAAGTTTACTACATATAATTATAATATATAATCTAATATGATTTGTTCTATAATTTACATATGAATAACAATGTATAAATTATAGATATAAATACTAGGTGTGATTGAACACATATGCATAAGTGAGTATATGATTAAATCCATTCAATGTTTATATATTCATATCGACCTAATTTTTAAAATCTTTTTATTGGAAAATTAGGGACATGTTTTTGTATTCACGTTCACCTTATACGTGTAATTCCTGCTATCCCTCCTCCCTCACTTGACATCCATCCTTCTCAGCAGAGTCATATACACTAACCTTAGTGACCCAGGGAGGTTGGCACCTTCGCCCAAGTACATTCTGTATACAGGTCCAGAGTTGTCCTCCCTGGTTGTGGGTGTCATGGTAACACGTAAGAAACCAACAAGCCTTGGAACAGTCGTCCGTGAGGCAGAAAGGACCAATGTGCTCTTTCCACTTTCTTCTCTCCGTCAATTTTTTTCCCTTTTCTTCATTCCGCCTGAACTTTGAAATAAATACCACCATGGATTGTAAAGGTATGCAGATTATATTTATCAAATACATTTATTTATATCTAAACAAACAACAATTATTTTAGGGGCAGTAACAATTTGTGTAAATTATATTAGTGTCAAATTAACTTGTTACAAATTTTGTGGAATCATATCACTAATACCTGTCCATGAACCCTCAGTTAGTTCAGTTTTCAGGCCCCGTGATGATAAATTCATAAATGGGAAAAAAAAAAAACATCCAAAACATCAAAGAGAACACAGCCTCTGACCGTCCCAGGAATTTGTATCTACAAAGATGAATATACAACTAATTTTAAACCTACCATTATTTTAGTTAGGGGACATATTACTATTTTTTAACTGTATCTAGTGACATACTTCTTGTGGTGTACTCTGTTATGCTTGTAACAAACAAAACCCTCTAAAACATCTGTTTTGTAGATGTATTCCAGAGGTTCTATGTATAATTGCCAAAACCACAAATATGTCAAATTCCTATGGGAACGTTTCCTGTATAACACTTTTTCCTTTCTTCTTAATCTTCATGTTTACCTTTGAAAATAAAGATGTTTTAAAGTGTTTATTAAATTCATATGTATTTTAAATAAAAATCTCAATTTCAGAGATTTTATATCCAAGCAATTGTTTTAAATAAAATATTGTTTTTTAGTCATTCATATCATACTCAAGAATAGTATCCTTACTTAATTCTGAGATAGCTGTTTTCAGATTCTAAGGATCATTTAAGGGTAGAACTGAAGAGAGAATGTCCGTGTGTTCTACATTCCTCCCCTGCTGGGCACCATGCAAAATTCATCTCTAGCAAAAAATGTTACCCTTCAGTGTGTTGTAAATTGTGTCTGTCTCTCTTGAAACCTTTGTAAGAGAGCAGCATGTAATATGTGGCTGTATGTTTTAGATCCAAATGTCAGCCTCAGTTTTCTGAGTGTGGGCGTCAAAGAGAGTGGACACAGATAATCTGTTATACATTCACAGAGACTTCTAATTCTTGCCAGGTGAGAAATTCACTGTGCTCACTACAAAATTTAGGGAGATACAAGCCCCTTTCTGTGTTTTAATAACTATTTAAAATTCCTTGTGATATTAACATGTTTTCCTACTCACCGTTTTCCAGTTCTCACTTAACTTCTGGGAATTTGATTTACCTGCACTTACAGGAGATGCCAGTCTCTGAAAAGACAGCACAGCCAACAAGACGAGAGCTGGATTCAGAGCCAGGTTGCCCGGGTTTGACTCTGTTCTCTCCTATTTTCAGATATGGTCTTGGATAAGTTTAATGTGTCTCTGTCTCAGCTTCTGCAGTTGTAAGATGAATATTATAGTTTTTACCCCAAGAGAGTTATTTAGAAAATTTAATAAGTTAATACATGATTGCTTAGAACAATCGCTGACATGTAATGAAAGCTATATGAGTTTGCTTAAACACGATCATAGAAACGGTAAGGTGAAAAGAACCTGTTTGCCTCTGTTTTTAGAGGTACCACTGTGCAGCAGCGAATATCATTCATTCTCCTGTGGCCCACTGTGAAATGCCTGCTACATGCCAGCATTTTCGTTATTTCCTGCATCAAATGCTTATTGAGCACACTGTGCATTGGGCCCCATTTTAAGTGGCAATGACCAATTCTGAAAATGTCAGGATATTTAAGCTTCAGGAGCTGGCAGCACAAAGGGGAGAATCTCACATATACAGAAAGACAAAGGCTCGTAAGCACCTTCGGTAAGCATCTTTGCAAGGTAAAGAGGAGTGGGAAATTTTAAATTAAGGCCACTGTGGTGTGACCACAGTTAGTACTCTGGAGCCAGTACAATTTAGTTTAAATGCTAGATCTGCTGATTATCAAACTTCTGAACAAAAATAAATGATCTTACCATTCAAGCTTCCATCTCCTCTCCTCAAAATGTGGAGATCACATTTCTCTCTGTAAAATGTGGAGATCACATCGTAACAGTGATGTTGTGAATAATTTTTTATGACAGTAGCTAATATTGATAGAACATTATAATTCAGGTAATAAGCTGCCGACTTTCTGTGGATCCTGAAGAATTGTACATAAAGTTGTTTGACTAATGCCTTACATATTAGTAGACATTTTAAAAACAGCTGTTAATATTTGTTTTATTTCCTTTAACATAATATAAATCTGCATGTGAGTTGAAGGGATAACTGCCTTTCAGTAGTGGATTGTTCCACTGGGTAGATTTTGATTTCCTCTCTACTTTCTGAAGAGCCTGACTGAGTCTATTATTGGATCAGAAAGCCTTCTGTCCAGGGCGGTTTATGAAAAAGGGGTTCTGGAGTGTTTGCTTGCTTCAGTGAATGGGAACAAATCATTAATTCTGAAAGGTCATTGTAACTTGCAAAGTATCTCACATAATCTGAACACCTAAAATGCAGTGAGGGGTGCATGGTGGATGGAACACAGCCATTTTTAGTCTCCTCAGACAAAATACAAGTGAGGACACTATGGTCTTTCTATACAAAGATAATGTATTTCCCAAACGAGTCAGGCTGTTCTTAACTCAGGCTCACTGGTTCTTGGTTAGACGTAGAAAATACAGTTATACAATAATTTGGCATGATAGATTCATTTCATTGTAACGTTCAGAAGGCAAAAAAGAGACTGTTATGAGACAGGGTGGGAGCAAGTTGTGTTTAGTCAGCAAGGGACAGGATTTTTAATTATTTCTGAGACTGATGACAAGCTACCTGAAGATTTTAAGCATGAGAATGTCAGGATAGATTTTATGTGGTTTTAAAAGTTTATTTGGCTGCCAGATGGAGATCACAGAGAAGGATTAAATGCTGAGTGGAAGGCCAGATAACAGGTATTTTAATAGTTCAGGCAAGATATGGAAGTGGAGCGGTGACTTACACTTGTCATCCCAGCAATTTGGAAGGCTGAGGCAGGTGGATCACTTGAGCCCAGGAGTTTAAGACCAGCCTGGGTGCTATATGGAGACACCATCTCTACAAAAACTTTAAAAAATCAGCCAGACAGCCGGGCCCGGTGGCTCACACCTGTAATCTCAACAATTTGGGAGGCCAAGGCGGGTGGATCACAAGGTCAGGAGATCGAGACCATCCTAGCAAACACGGTGAAACCCCATCTCTCTCTATTAAAAAACACAAAAAATTAGCTGGGCGTGGTGGCGGGTGCCTGTAGTCCCAGCTACTCGGGAGGCTGAGGCAGGAGAATGGCGTGCACCCAGGAGGCAGAGCTTGCAGTGAGCCAAGATCGCGCCACTGCACTCCAGCCTGGGCAACAGAGCAAGACTCTGCCTCAAAAAAAAAAAAAAAAAGAAAAAGAAAAAGAAACGAAAAGAAAAATCAGCCAGGCATGGTGACACACACCTGTGGTCCCAACTACTTGAGAGGCTGAGGCAGGAGGATCTCTTGAGCCCAACAGGTGGAGGTTGCAGTGAGCTTTGATGGCACCAATGCACTCCAGCCTGGGCAACAGAGTAAGAGCCTTTCTCAAAAACAAAACAAAACAAAAACAAACAAATAAACAAAAATATACATATAGAAGTGCCTTGGATGAGGCAGTAATACTAAGAATAGAAATGGTATATTTTCATGAGATAGCTGACCTATTTTTTAATCCAATATGGACCCTTTGGAGACCTTGGTAAGAGCAGTCTGAGGGAAGCGATGTGGTCAAGTTCAAGTCGGTTTTTACTGGTAGTGGGACTCAGCAAATGACTAGAGACAGGAATGTCAAGATGTTTCATTGAGGAAAGGCATACCAAATTGGATGGGGAATCGGAAATGAATGTGACGTAAAGGGATATTGTTATATTATTTAATTTTTAAAATATTGTTGATATTAGGTCATGTTTATGTAATGATGAGGATAATCTGATGGGGGGAGAAATTGGAGATGCAGAAGAGAAATTTCACAATTGCAGAAGAAAGTTTCATGGAAATTTGGCAATACGGGATGGGATCCATCAAATTAAAGGAACAATTTGGCACTGGTAGAAGGGAACTTTCATCTTTAACGATAGGTGCAAGACTAAAAATTATGATTTCAGAAGCAGAGAGGTTGGCAGTTATGGCGGTGAGATGATGAGCATATTTTCATCAGATGCTTTAGGGCACTCCTTTTTACGTCTATGACTGTGGAGAAAAGCACAGTTGTCCTGTGCATAAGCCTGGCGGGCATCTCTAGGTTGTCCCTGTGATGCTGAGTCACGGGCCTCCCTCCCCAGCTGGCTCTGTGTCTTGCCCAAGCTCAGTGCCTTGGTAACCCAGTGTCCAGATGCTGAGAAACTGGTGTTTGCCAACACTTTCCTAAACAGAAAGCTTGAGATCAATGTATTTATTCCTCACTTACTGTGCCCTCATGCTCGTCTCATAAAACAAGACAGCAATAAGGTCGCAAAGTTTCTCTCCCAAAGGCCATACTCATGGTTCCTCTAGACCTCTTCATAGAATACCAGAACATAGAAGCTGTACACCTGCTGCAACTGCCCATATGCTTCTGTGCCAGATGCAGCTTGCTGGAAGTTCATGCATGCAAACTTGTATGGATGCTATTGACCTGGCACGTGGCAGGGGCCTTAAACTGAGTCATCTCAAGGGCTGATGTCATCTCCTGGGGTACAGGGTAAGTTATAAGAATGGACAAGAACTAGGTGGCCATGTTGTCTCTCTGTAGGTCACTGCTGCTCTTGAGTTTTTGGGAGCTGGCATCTCTCTTGAGGGTGACAGTAATTCACTGTGAATACCAGATGGCATGAGAATACAGGTGTCACTTACTTCCCAGGTGTACACCGGGTCCATAGGGCATCAATGCCTGAGATAAGGCAGGTTACATGAAGGCAGCTGATGGAGTGGCTATTTTATACACCAAGGGCCACGCACTTCTGAGTGGCCAGATCATTCAGAAACCCTAAATTACAAGGGACACCTGGAGTGATTCTGCCACCAATTCTGTAACTTGGCTCCCCTTCAAAGTTGGAAGTTCTTCCTAGCACTAATGATAAGAAAGAATGGTTAAAAACTGTCCACTCCAAATCACTCCATGCCCCTTGAAATCCTAGAGAAGAAATACTGAGCTACCTCTCCTGGGAGTACCCAAGGGGAAAAGAAATCTTGGGATAGAGTAGATACATCCATGTAGTTGAGTGAAATCAAGAGCTTGGTGACAGGGAGTTAAGTTAAGACTCGTAATGCAGATATCCTTCTCTGAATTCAGGACTCAGGAGCAATCTACTTTATACTTGAGCTGGTTTTTGGTGATTTTAGAGCGTGTCCCACATAGCTTTCTGAGAGGCTTCCTGACAGCCTCACTGAGACATAAATGTAAATCAGAATCCTTTTACCAAAGCCACTCTGAAACAGCATGTCATAGTATTATGGTTACAGAAAAATTACAGGTTATATAAATAATGTCAGGAAATGGAACTCTATAACCAGGACTCTGTGTCTCTGTCTCTGCCCAAAGGGAATATTAGAGATAAGATAATAGGAGAAGAAGAGATGAACAAGAAAAGGAAAGATAAATCATCACATAGACTTCTTTGTGCAGCAGATTATGGCAGTGTCTCTGACCCAGATGTGTGGTGCGCCCAAATATTCTTCAGTCAGAATATGACTTTTGATCTGGCTTGGCTTTTTGTCCCAATCCAAATCTCCTGTCAAATTATAATCCCTGCATGTCAAGGGAGGGAACTGGTGGGAGGTGATTGGATCATGGGGGCTGTTTCCCCCATGCTGTTCTCATGATAGTGAGTCCTCATAAAATCTGATGGTTTAAAAGTGTGACACTTCCCCCATCCGTCTCTCTCCCCTGCCACCATGTAAGATGTGCCTTGCTTTCCCTTCACCTTTTGTCATGATTGTAAGTTTCCTGAGGCATACCCAGCCATGCACAACTGCAAGTCAATTAAACCTCTTCTCTTTATAAATTACCCATTCTCAGGTAGTTCTTTACAGCAATGTGCAAATGGACTAATACAACTGCCACAATTGGCCAAGAGATGAGGCTCCCTTGGGTCTCCAGCATTGTGTCCATGAGTTCCCACACTCAATGGTACCTGCTGTTCACCCTGAGCACTGAGCACTACAGATGGACTAAAAACATGAATTACTCCCTCAGAGTACATATCAAATAGATTCTGTTTGTATGCTTTCATTGTAACCTGTCATCCATCAATACTTTTATATCTTAGTCTCATTAATCGTATCAAAAACATATAGTAAGAATACTTCTCTACAAAGATACATGACTAAAATCATCACAGTGTTTTGGAAAACAACTAAACCAGCAGTTGGACATCCAGGAATCTAGTTCCTACATGCCTGCACCTAACTGTTGAGACTTGCGCCAGCCCTCACAACTTGGTTTCCCTTACCAGAGTGAGCAGCACCAGGGCCCCCTCTACAGTGAGATCATGCACATGACTGACCCACCACCATCATCAGCGTCAGCTTTCCTCCACAGGGGCACTTATAAGTGTCATGATTTTAATTAATTTTGTGTTAATGTAGTCATGCTTTCCTAACAGATTGCATTAGTTTATATTGTTTTTCATCACCAAAGTGTTCAGGATCCTTGTCTTTGTAAATACATTGCAAACATGTGACATCATATTGCTAAATTTCTTCCTGCAAGTTGGTAAAACAATTGTTTCTATTTTTAGTCCAGTAGGAAATATAGATTACATGCTGGTCTAACTTTAAAAAAAGTTTTATGAAAGAGAGAAAAAAGAGAATTTGTGGAATATAGGCTCATTTCACCGGTTTTAGGTAACTAAGCAAATAAATATGTTTCTATGTCAACACTAAAATACAGTAATGACAATGAACACCTAAAAATAAATGAATGTGCAGCGTATTTTTAAAGTCTGTATAATTTCAGTTATGATATAATACATGTCTAACATGTATGTGTTTAATACATATTAATTTTATTTATATATATTTTTAATGATGCAACATTTTTCTATTTTTTCTTTATAGTACCAATATATTGTTGGTGACATAATTTATAAAAATGTGGTAAAGTCAAATAATATTTAAGCTAGTAGAAAAAAATATGTTTTATTTGAAATAATATTTGGCCACTGTGACTAAAATTTTCTGGGATTACTTACGATCTGAACTCTCTTGGGCATTATTTTCTATATCAACAGTATGAAATAATTGTATTGATTCCCACAATATTTTTATCCTAGTTTAATGTAATTATGTCCATAAATCTCTCATCCCTCTCCTCAGTGTTTCTGTCTCTGTCTCTCTTTCTCCCTCCCTCAACACACATTCAGCCATATTTGTATGATTCATATTCATATAAATGCTAATTATTTCAAATGAAAACTAAAGAAAAAGGGTTCAGATTTTTAAAATTTATACTAATTAGCAGATAAGAGAAACACAAAAATATATTTTTATTAGCAGACTTTGAATCAATAAAAATATGTTATAATATTATGCCCTTATAAAAAATTAAAATGATTAATTTACATAGCTGCTAGCCTTGTTTATTGTCTATAATACTGGTCTTAATTTGGAAATCAAAGAAAAATATTAAAGCAAAGGAAAACAAAACAACTGTACTTATATGTCAAAAGTTTTTGAAATTTAAGCAATATAGTATTCAGTTGGAAACAAAATGAGCAATTATAAGAAATGTCATGTCATACTAGAATTTTTATAGATTAAAAGCAGTATTCAGGTTTGGTAAGTTCTAAATGTACAGACTATATGTTTAAGGTACTATGGACATGTGCTTTATATTCAGACAAGACTGAATACAATATGATATTATTTGGAGCACGATTTTGTACCAGTGATACAAAGAAATGTACATCTATAATACTGATAAAACATTTAGTTACATTCATTATTTCACTGTGTTACAAATCAAATGCACTGAGAAAAATGTTTTACATCTTTTAATCAGTATGGGGATTAAAATAGTATATATTTCTCAAATATATTAACTATTGGGGCACTGTATAATTTCAAAAATTATTTTTTATTTATTATAACATACATATATAAATTTGTTATATATATATACACATTTGTTATATATATATGCATTTGTTATATATATATATATATACACATTTGTTATTTATATATATATGTACACATTTGTTCTACAATAGTTTATAGATTTGCATTACAATTTTCTATGATCTCACCAGGAGTTTGCTGCAGCCAGGAGCTAGCTGCTGGCTATGATTAGAGAGATTATCTGTAGTAGAGTATCAGAACAATCCTAACTGGGATGTGAGTAGATTAAACAGAAAATATTACCTTCATTAAGACCATGTGCTAAGCAAATCAGCCAATCACCCTTAGGACATAATGCTAACAAGCTCTTATGAATTCTCTGCATTAGATGGTGATTTCTTATACTTTTGAAGTCACTTCATATATTTGTCATTTAAATTTATCACCTCTAAACAGAGCTGCCTATACTACAGACATATGCTTCCAAAATGATGGTCATTCCTAAGAGAGGAAAACAGGTGAGAAAGTCTATCATCTCTCTTTATTTTCTAATAACTTTTTAAGAACTCAAAGTTCTTGATCATAGCTTTAAAAATCGTCAAATGCTGCAAATGGTATGATGAGATGAATTTTAATGTAAACAGCCTGGGAAAGGATAAACTAGTTCAATCTTTCGAAAAAAGTTTTGACAAGGTTTACAAATAGCCTTAAATATGCCCACAAATTTATATTTAATCCATTATTTCAATTGTGGGGTTCTATTCAAGGAAAATATTGTATTTTATAGATAGATACAGATATATACAAACCAGAGACAAAAGTTTGGAAAGGGCAAGTAGAAATCACTCAGCCTTCCAGCTAAGACCAACTTATATACTGTCAATTTTTTTAATTTTAGTTGTCATTTTTATGGTTATATAAGAGTTGTGCATATTTATGGGGTACATGTGATACTTTGATACAAGGATACAATGTGTAATGACCAAGTCAGGGCAATTGAAGTATCCATCACCTTAAACATTGATCATTTATTGGTGTTAGGAACATTCTGATTCTAATCTTCTAGGTATTTTGAAATATACAATAAATTACTAACTATAGTCACTCGATTGTGCTACCATATGCTAGATATTATTCCCTTTATCTATCTGTATGTTTGTGCCTATTAACCAACCCCTTTTTATTCTGTCCTCCTCTACCCCTCCCAGTCTCTGGTAACCATCAGTTTACTCTCTAGATCTATGAAATCAATATTTTTAACTCCCACATATGAGTGAGAACATGATATTTATCTTACTCTGCCTAGATCATTTTACTTTACACACTGTACTCCAATTCCATCCATTTTGTTGCAAATGACAGAGTTTCATATCATTTTATGACTGAATATTCCGTTGTGTATATATACCACATTTTCTTTATTTATTCATCCATTGATGGACACTTGGGTAGATTCTGTATGTTGGCTATTATGAATAGTGCTGCAATAAATATGGGAGTGCAGACATCACTTCAATACCTGTCAATTTAAATTGTTCTTATAAGGGACAGGAATTATTTTCTATTTTACTGATCAATTTATGGCATTACTAGAGAAATAAAAATTATAATAATTTAATTGTAATAAATACATTCTCCATGAATAAAAGATTCATTCACAGTTCCAGATAGACCAATGAGTTTTAATGTAACATTGTATAAAAGTATTGTCAGTGTGGTTTTAGTTGTCACTAACCTTTAAGAAACCACCATTTGTCACCTTTTGATGTAGTATCAAAGAAGAATATTTGCAAGTATCTGGATCAACCATGAAAATACCATCTCTCCTTTAACTTAATATATTTTTGAATTTGGTCTTTCATTTTATGCATCAATCAAAACAACACATTGCTACAGACTGAGTACAAAACAGCCAGGAGAACTCAGCTAGCTTCAATTAAGCCCGGTGTTAAAGAGACTGAAGAATATGTAATGCAATTTCAGCCTTCTCCCCATATTATAGTTCTTTTTCATAAAAACATAACAATAATAACACTGCATGGGTTTATTATTGTGACTTTAATTTATAAGCACTTTTTAAATTTTAATGTCTAATAAGGTAAATATAATTGGTGTTGCTCCTCAGTAATTTTTAATAGTGTTAGAGACCTATGCAAAAGTATAAATCTCACTTTTTAGAGGTTCATGAAAGAGAACTTAGTGGTCCCCATATTCTTCACCAGAAAAGTACCTGCTCTAAGCTTTAACGGTGATATTGTGAACTGCGCCAACAGCCGATTTCTGAGAGAGACAGGGAGAGAGAGAGAGAAGAAAGAGTCTTTTAGTAACCTGTATCTATCAAATTGATCTTGCGGACAAACACCTCACCATCTGATCCATCTCACACTCAAAATTCATATATTTTATACTTTTCCTACATTTATGAACTCTGTTTCTCATTTATGAACTCTCTTTTCCATTTATGAACTCTCTTTCCCTTTTAACCTTTTTTCTCTTAGAGAAATGCAGTCCATGTCTATGACACACCTTGAGCTCACATGCTCCTCCTGCCTGCTTCCCCGACAGCATTCATGGTTGACCTGAGAGGTCCCTGCCAGTTCTTTCCTTCCCTAAAATGTAACTTTTAATCTAAGTTTTAAAAGGAGCTATTTAACAGGTCCAAGGGATTCTGTATTGTTAGGTTGGTGCAAAAATAATTGCAGTTTTTATCATTACTTTCAATGGCATAAACAACAATTACTTTTGCACCGACCTAAATATTTCTCAGTTTTTGAGAAATTCAGTTTTTTTTTTCTTTTTTTAATCATATTTATTATATTGTGTGTGGTGGCTTTTTTAATGTAAAAAACACATTTTGATAATTTAAAATCTTTTTCCAGAAATATAAAGATAGTTTAGAAGCTGTCTACTTGGGGGTCTTTTAGTTTTCAGCTGAGAAGACTAAGACTAGAAGAAGCTATGTGACTAAACTCATGGATTGAACAGTGTCACTTTTCTGCCTGGGCTCTGTTGTCACGAAATTCCGGAGCCTCCATCTCCTCAACTACAAAATGGAATGTGTGTTAGTTTTCCTGTCGGTGTCATAATAATATACATAAGCTGAGTGGCTTATAAAAACCAAAAACCAAAAAGTGTATTGTCACACAGTGTTGGATGCTTGATGTCCAAAATCAAGATGTTGGCAGAGTTGGCTGCTTGTGAATGCCATGAGAAAGAGCCTGTTCCATGCCTCTCCCCAAGCTCGTGGTGATTTTCTGGAATCTTTGGTGTCCCCTTGGCATGTAGACCCATCTCTCCCTCTCTCTCTGCCTTCATCTTCACATGAAGTTTTCCCTGTGTGTGTTTCTATGTCCAAATCTTTCCTTTCTATAAGGACATCAACCACACTGGATCAGGCGTTCACTCCCTTGGAGTATGACCTCTTTAAGCAACGGCATCTGCAAATGCCCTAATTCCAAATAAGGTCACATCCTGAGGTACTGTGGGCCAGGACTTCAAATATGAACTTGGGGGGACATAATTCAATCCACGACAGTAATATTTAAAATACTCTGTCAGAGTTTTTTTAATAATTAAATGAGGCAAAGTATAGAACATGCTTGTGCAGCCTCTGAAACACAGTCAAAGGTCAATCAATGAAGCTACTCTTTTAGCATTTATGTGTAAAATGGAATCAAAGACACCAACTCCTTAGTGGTTTCATTAAGATTAATGCACCAGTGTGTTATAAAATGCTTAGTAGTGTCTGTTATATATTAGTATCCTAGAAATGGTAGCTTTCAGGTGGCTTAATGAGAAGCAAAAAGAAAAGCATCTCTTTTTCAGTATCAATACATCAACCAATGACAAGTGGGGAAGAGAAGAAGGAACAGACTCCAAGAGACAAGAATTTTTAAAAAAGAATCTCTGCATGTAGCTGCCCTGTGGGGACAGAGCTAAGGAAAGAACAACTCAGGAAACAAAAGACAATCCATGTGGCTGTGGCCTAAGTCACATTTCCAACAGAAATTGTGTATCTGAAAGCTTTAAGTGGGACTGTTAAAATATTCAATACATTCACTAATATTAGACATTTGCATGTTTTGACTATGATCTACTAAACTACAAACTTCTTTTTTCTAACATGACCCCAAGTTTCTCGGGAATATTAATGCTAGGTCTATCTGGCATGATATAAATTGTTCCCAATTTTCCTTCTAGGTATGTTTTTCATTAATGAGCCAAGGACTAGAACTACCTAGGTAAATCATGCCCTAGGCCAAGCCCAGTTTAATTCCAAGCATGTTAAGACATATGCACTGGCTTTGGGAGACATATTTTAATTAAAAATATAGATTTATATTTTAGATGGATGAACTGAAAGTACAATGTGGCTCAAAGAGTCTGTCCACTTTTATCATAATTCCATTCACAGACTTGCCAGTATGTGCTTTCATCCTTTTCCTGATGTAAAAACATCTGCTTCTTAAGCTCATTTATTTATTTTCTTTAATGGTCATTTTGCTCAATGCATTCCATATGCTTATTACACAATGTCTGGAAATGTCGCATCTAAATTCTTTGCATATTTTGAATCATCAATACTTTTGTACTATGGATTGTCAGTTTCCTACTCATCTAAAAAGATCTCACATATTTTTCTCCCTGAAAGTAACTCCTTTTTCTTAATATAATCTGATATTTTCCAAAATAATGCAACCAAGGAAATCTATTTTTTTCCCTGTGAAGCCTACAGGGATCTTTTGATACTAATACTCTTAAGAGCGTACTTAACGACTTGCCGGTTGAAGTTGTGCTGAGGAAATCCAAGATCAAAGTTCAAAGTGGATCAGGACCAGGGAAAAAGAAAGAAAGCTAAAACTAAGTCTGTACATAGGTACAAGGCAGCAGCAGGTCAGGGCTTGATGTTACGTCACTTCCGTGCGGAAGCTGTTCAACGTTGCACTTCATCCGACCCTGTGCAACACAAATGTAGTATCAAAATGAGCTGGTGTTGGCCAGCACTCTCCACCACTGACTCAAATTTTAGGAATGACTTTTCCTTTTTACAATAAAAAGAGACTTAAAAAAATGTTGCCATAGAGAGCCAAAGAAAATAATTTTGACTTCTAGTATTTATTTTGATATCCTTATATTACACTGATGAGGATATCATGTTAATTAATTTTTTAAACTAAAAATTTAGTAGGTCCTTGTTGCTCCTCTGCCCAACTCAAAAACTATTTTTAAGTGAAAGTCGTATTTACAATATATAAATCCCAACAGGTTGGGAAATTTCTGTACTTAAAATGAGTTGAAATTATTGATAAAATCCCAGGTAAATTATTTAGATCTTTTAAAGATACCAGGTGTTTCATTAAGGTTAGTTTTTAGAGCTAATTACTGTTTGGATAATTGAGAAAAGTGATGATAATCTATTTAGTATACATATTTTTTAATCATTTAAAAATGAAGTCAAAATATGATTGCATAGTTAGATAAAATTTGTATCTACTAAGTTTATATATGTAATGTAAGAAGTACAACATTTAAACAGGTGTTGAAATAAACAAAGCTTATGAATAACACTCTCTATTGTCAAAACTTACAGAATTGCTCACTTCTCTTCAATATTCGCTGTTTTGCTTTCACACTAGGAGATATTTTCTGTTTGCTTTCATTTCTCTTGTCTGCACATGTATACTCGAATTGCTCCAGAACACTAATTCTAAATAACTAACAGTTTCATTTGTCCCTGGTCTTATCTGCTCAGAGGTTCTATCAAATTGGCCAAAAATTCCTTTCGTATGAGGCATACCTCAAAGACTTTTTGTGTTTTAAGTTACAGAGGCCTACACATTTCTTCTTCTTCGAACATTAAGCCAGTGGTTCTTAACAGGTGACAATATTGCCCTCACTCCACTGGGGACCATTGCAAAGCCTGGAGACATTGGCTACTGGTATCCAGAAGGTAGAGGCCAGGTATGCTGTTAACATCCTACATGCACAGGAAAACCCACACAACAAAGAATAATCTGACCCCAAATAGCAATGTCAAGATGGAAACAATCCATCATAAGTGATTCTAAAATGACACTTAAATTAAAATTACATTGCATTGATTTAATTGTTCCTCACTCCTGCCTTGAAATCTCCTTTCTTCTTTACAGTGACTGAACCAAAATTGGTAGTTTATAGGGAGCGGATTCTCAGCAATCCAAAAAAATAAAAATAAAAAAGCATGCTCTACATAATTGTCTACAATCATCTCTACATCAATATTTGAAGTGTATTGTAATATTCAAAACATATATTAACATGTTTCATTCCCATTTTACATTCTGTTGATGCCATATACTTTTCTGCTTATGATTTTCATCTTTCACTTGATTATTAATAATATTATTTCAAAATATATAACACAGAAGTAGTAGAAATTATTGCTCATTCTATGATAGTTTCAATCATTTGGTTTTATTCTAACATACAGCATGGTAACAGTATATATGTATACTAAAAAAATAAAGTTATTATGTAGTATTAACAACTATAATGATAATGACAAGGATGATGACAGCTTATCTATTATCAGTGTAACTAACATTAATTTTGTACCTAACAAGTGTCAAGCATGGTGGTGAGAACTTTACTTATACCAGCTACTAGTACCATACTAGTACTTACATTATTAATACATTTAAATTTTAGAAGGTTGAGGAATGTCAATGTAAGTCTCCCTGGATTGAAGTTACTTGTGATCTTTCCCATTTTAATAAATTTCCTCACCAGTCTGAAAGACAATAAGCATTCACTATGTACAAACTGAATGAATTAATGTTTGAAGAATTTAATCTCATTTCACAGACTCAAAATACACCAGTCATCTATTTATTTTCAGGATCACCCATTAGCTTCAATATACAGACCAGGCAATCTTATTCGCAACTTCCTCTTACAAAATAGTGCCTGGAAAATGTCAGCTTCATAACAGAAACTTTGAAATGAATTCATGAATGAGTATTTGAACCAATTATTTTACACCCTATTATTTCATCAGAAATTTGTAAATGAGACTACAAAGTAAACATTGGACATTGCAACAGTCTGCTTCCTTGGGGTTAACTAAAAAACTGATGAGAAAAAAAGTCATTCAGATAAAACCTTATCACAAATATGTGACTTTATTTGCTCTTTTTGACAGACTGAATAATTATCTATCTATCTATCTATCTATCTATCTACCTATTTATCTTTCTGTCTATTCATTCCTGTCTACTCTGATGAAATAAATAAAAGACTGTGGGTTGTTTCATCTCTATTCAATAGTGTTCATTATAAAAGCTTGATGTCTATTTCTCATAAAGTAAAAGTACTACAAAATCTAACAAGCACTAGGTATTATCATTTACGAGAGAGAGAGAGTCATTTCTCTTTGCTTGTTGAGGGGACAGATTCCCATCAACAATTTCATATTATTATCTACCATCTGTATGATGGCTTTACATAATTTCTTACACACCATATCTTTGATAGGCCTTATTTCTGATACACAGAAAATACAATTAAGCTCTCATATGAGATCCATTACAGAGGAGGCTTGGAATAAATATAGTAGCTTTAATTTTCCCTTTCACAAACCTGACAAGGCAGCTGCTGGAAGGCTCACTTATAAATCTTTGTTTAGAAAGAAATTCAAAATGATGAAGCTTCAGCTGTTAATGACAAAATGTGCTATATGGTCAATGGGAAAAGAAGTGTTTCCCAGGCTTCTATCTTACATACACCAAGATTAAAAGAATATGAGATAATTTAGAATGATAGATAATCATTTTGTGCCACTGAATTTTAAATCAACACCTGGGTGAGGCATGGTGAGTAGAATAGGAAGCCAAATACATTCAAAGAAGCACTAGCATTTGCTTTTAATATTCATAAAGTTTTAAAATTGAAGCTGTACAATATGTTGTATCACAGGTGGCACTTCAGGAAATTATGTCATTTGATGGGAAATCGGCAGGTGTATGACTATTAGCGTACCAAATGAGGTTGGACACAGGTAGGATACTGATCGCTGAAAGGGAAAAACAGCAAAATACATATCCAATCTGGATATGTAAAAATCTGTTACAAAGTGAGAAATAGCTAAGACACTATTGTCCCTAAAAATTACATGTCAGAAAATAAGTTATGTTGCAAAAGATGTGAAAAATCACACTAACAACAACAACAAAAAAATTAGCATCATTAACATAATGCGAAACATACAAATCTTAAGTGTTCCGTCTTTTTACTTTTGGAAATTATTTATACCTGTGCATCTAAGACTTAAAGATACGGAACATCCCATCATCTCAAAGAGTTTCTCATGACCTTTCCAATTCACTCCAAGGAAACTCTTTTTCATTTATGTAACTATAGTTGTCCCAGTTCATGGGATATTATAAATGAAATCCATCAGCATATTATTATTTGTGTGCATTTTCTCTCACTTAAAATTCTCTAGGTACATACATGCTGTTTCATGGCTCAGTAGTCTTCATTCTTTTTTTTTTTTTTTTTTTTGAGAGGGAGTCTCGCTTTGTCGCCGAGGCTAGAGTGCAGTGGCGCGATCTCTGCTCACTGCAAGCTCCGCCTCCTGGGTTCACGCCATTCTCCTGCCTCAGCCTCCCGAGTAGCTGATACTACAGGCGCCTGCCACCACACCCGGCTAATTTTTTTGTATTTTTAGTAGAGACGGGGTTTCACTGTGTTAGCCAGGATGGTCTCCATCTCCTGACCTCATGATCCGCCCGCCTTGTCCTCCCAAAGTGTTGGGATTACAGGCGTGAGCCACTGCGCCCAGCCTAGTCTTCATTCTTATTGCTGACTAGTAAATAATTCTTTGGGTAAACTACAGTGTTCTTGTTTGTTTGTTTCATCCATTCTTCTACTGATGGACAGTTGGATTATTTCTGGTTTGGGGCTCTTACGAATTTGGCTGCTAGGAAGGTTCTTTAAGAAAATCATTTTTATGAACATACGTTTTTCATTTATTTGGGTATGATTAGGAGTGGAATTGATGGATCGTACATTGGCTGTATGCTTAACTGATAAGTAAGTGCCAACTAGTTCTTCAAGGTGATTGTGCCATTTGACACTTCCACCAGCGAAATATGACTGTGTCACTTCCTCTATAACCTAACACAAGGTTTTCAGTACATATTTTTAAAATTTTAGACATTCTAGCAAGTGTAAAATGATATCTTACTGAGGTTTAATTTATATTTCTCTGATAACTAAAAATGTTGATTATCTTTTCATGTGAGTGTTGGCTATCATAATATATGTCTTTTTTTGTTGAAGTGTCCAAGTTTTGGGCTTCTTTAAAATCATTTTTTAAAAATAATTTTGAGGTGACGTTCACATAACCTAAGATGAACCATCGTATTCGTCCGTTTTCATGCTGCTGATAAAGACATACCAAAGATTGGGAAGAAAATTTCGACTTGGCTGGAGAGGCCTCAGAATGATGGTGGGAGGTGAACAGCACTTCCCACATCGTGGCACCAAGAGAAAATGAGGAGGAAGCTGAAGTGGAAACCGCTGATAAACCCATCAGATCTCGTGAGACTTATTCACTATCACGAGAATAGCATGGGAAAGACCGGCCCCCATGATTTAGTTACCTCCCCCTGGGTCCCTCCCACAACACATGGGAATTTTGGGAGATACAATTCGGGATATGAATGGGGACACAGCCAAACCATATCGACCATTTTAAAGTGAGTAATTTAGTAGTATTCAGTATATTCACAATATTTGTAACCACTTCCTCTCTCTAGTTCTAAAACATTTTCATTTGTCCAAATGAAAGCCACTTACCATTAAGCCGTTGTTCCTCCTCCCCGACTCCCCTAGTGTCTGGCGACCACCAGTCGGCCTTCTGTCTCTAAGGATTTATGTATTATGAGTAATACATATAACTGGTTAGAATGTGACTTATTGTGTAAAATTTTTAAAAGAATTTGTAATTTGGCATAATGTTACGAAACTTTCTTCACATTGTAACACATGATGGTACCTCATTCCTTTCTGTGGTTAAATAATATTCCACCGTATGCCCATACCACAGTTTGTCTGTCCATTCATCTGCTGATGAGCTTTTGGGTCGTTTCCAACTTTTGGCTATTGTCAATAGAGCTGCAATAAACATTTGTTTAGATGTACTTATTTCAGGTTTTTTTGGATATATAATGAGCAGTGGAATATTGGGGTTATATTGTAATTCTGTGTTTGTTGTGTGTGCTATTTTCCTTTTAAGTGTTGACTTATAGGAGTTCTTGTATAGGTATATAAATCTGTTGTCAAATAAGATGTAAATATATTTTCCATTTTGTGGTTTAACTATTCCTTTTTTATAAGTACACATTTTGAACTTGGAAAACATTTAATTTATCTTTCTTTTTAAAAACAGACGATGCTTATTGTGTGACAGTAGAGTTGACGAAGAAAGCCCTTTACAAAATTCATTTTGCTGATAGATGTAATGGAATGAGGGTCAGCCTACTGGGTGCAGTGGTTATACATTTCCCAATTCAGAAGAGGCATCAGTACAGAGGAAGGAACAATGGCTTTCCCTTTTGCTATGTGGGCTAATAACATTTGTGGTGATTTTCTTTTCAGAGCAATTACTGAGCACAGTTTTAGGCACTATTCCTATGAGCTTAGCTTTAAGCTTTGTTCTCTTATACAGCCTTCCCAACTCTGTGAGTTATCAAGTTTTTTTTTCTTATAATAAACTGCATTCCCATACAATCAAGATTAAGCAAGTGTTCCCCGCAACAAGAACACTGACCAATATACCAACTAGGGATATTATACTGTTTATTGACAATTTTATGGGTGAAGTTGATTATCCAATATTTGATTATTTTTATATTAATGATTATTGAGACAGACCGTTTTAAAATATTTTATTGGCCTATTTTATTTATTATCTTGTAAATTTTATATCTTTTGCCTGCTTTTATGAAGTGATTTCTTCATAAAATTTTTAAAAGAATTTGTAAATGTATTGAATACCTATATGTCTTCTTCCACCAGGTAATTTGTTATTTCTTGTAACCCACACGGATTTAGCTAGAGTTCTAGTTAGCTCATGAGTAGGGACAGAACTGGGTTTGGAGTTAATTTTACTCTGTACTTATGACTTAAAACCGGATTGGAATTACCTTCTGAGTAAGTGTTCCCATATTACCATATCTAAATTAGGTGTTTCATTTTTTATAACTACGGTAGCATCTTCTCAGCATCAACTATATAATTTTTAGGGCCCAGTGAAAACTGAAACTATGATGTCCTTCACTAGAAAATGATTCAGAATTTTCAGGAGGTGCCAGCAGAGTGTTAGTCCAAAAGCAGGTCCTTCTACAGGACCCAGAATGATGGCACAGCCTGGGAAACAATAAAGCTGGCCCTGCCCCCTTCCTCAGTATTTATCAGAACTTGTAGTTGTAATTTTTATAAAATACGTACGGTAATTTTTCTGTTGCATTTGCTTGTTTTCTGGAAAACTGCAAGCTTCACAACGTGAGTGACATGCATACTGTATTTCTTGGGTCAGCTCAGCATCTAGCACAGTGCCTGATGCAGCAGACACCGATAAATTCTGTTTGAGTAAATGAATAAATGAAAGTCTAAATGAACTAATAGATTTCTATGTAATAATGTTAACATCTCAGTTACAATTAAAACCATAGAAAGAAAACGAAACAGCACTGTCTGTGCAGCAATGAGAAGAACACTACCATAGCACTACACTTGCTTAATGGGAAACCCCTTCACCCTACAGGAGTAGTTGTATTGGCCTCATCCAGAGTGGAGTTACTGAAGACGAAGTACTACAATGCCTGCATACCACATCATTTAGATCACATTAGTATACCCAGTCAGTAAAAGGAGAGGAAGTTGGTGCCAGTCCCTTAGCCAGATTTTGACTTGCTTCAACTCAAGTCACATCCTGTTTTCAGGACTTCACCAATGTTTCCTGCTGGCATAACCCATAGATAGTTTGTATGCATTGATTCCATTGGTCTTTAGTACATTAACAAGTGGAGATGGGGTGCAACAGAGAATTGGTATGTATTACCTCTTTATGTCCCTACTGTAGGTATGATTTGCTCATGGTGGGCACTAAAAATATGTTTAATTATTCAAATTGAGACACTTGTGACAAAAATAACATTATTAATGCTAACATTACATACTTCTCATAACTTTCTTGGATATAACACAAAAAATAGAAATATGAAATAGAAAATACAAAAATAAAAACTACAATAAAAATAATAGGCAAAATTTAGAGTGTATACATTAGACTTATTGGCATGTCAAATATTTTATAAATTCCTTTCCCCGTTTGAATGTGTTTCATATGACACCAAACCTACTTTTTTGGAGCATGTCTTCCATGCAGGTAAAAATAAGTAGTATTAAAGCTGCTTACAATATAAAACTTTATTTTAATCCATTTACAACTAAACAAATATGAAATTTAACAACATATACTGTTGACAGGGAATAGAGTAGATGATGTAAGATCATATGATTACTGGAAAATTACACTTACCTCATGAGAAAACTAAGCAGTGGCTTCATTTCCTAGTATTAGAACTTTCTTGGTGTCTGCTTGTCCTAAAAGATAAACAACAGCTAGCATGCAACATGAGTCTTTCATTTACACAGGACAAAGAGTACATACTTACTCTCCTTGTCTTCCAATATTAACTTGTCCTAATGGAAAAATTTCATCACCGAGTGAAAGATAATTGCCCTACATCTCCCTCTGGGAAACAGGTTAGCAACAGACCTAGGACATCTTGAAATTTGGATTTCCATATTCAGAAACTGCATATTACTGGCTAGATACAGTTGAGTTAGAGCAATCTAGGCAGATGATGGGGTTCAATTTCAGTGTTGTTCCTTTTCAGGCAATGAAAAGTAATGGAACAAGAGCAGATCTCTCCCCTCATTGCTAAATGCAATAAAAGAGCAGGCTTCCTTTCTCCAATGCAAATGACACCATCTTCAGGTTGCTGAATAAATCCTCTATTGTTGACATTCTAAGGAAGAGGAATTCAATTCCATAGCATCAAGAAGGAGCCAAGGACATGGTAATTGATACTCAGAATTACAAGGTAACCTATTTTCACAGAAAGGTCTTGAAAGTAACAAAAAAGTCTTAGAAATTACCCACAGATTCTGAAAACAGTGGCCACAGAATTAGGTGGTATTAAGTATTGTGCTGTCCTTTTTTTTGGGGGGGAAAACTACTTCTAAGAAACAGGGTATGTTGCAATTTAAACTCTAAGAAAAAATAAATATTATATTTTAGAAAACACTACGAAATATGTCTTCATATTTTTTATGAAAGGAAAATGAATAGAGTGATTTACAATAGTCCAGAAAACAAATAATTTGGTGTCATACAAAATAAATGAATATGTTATTATATGAAACAAATAAATAATTATTTAGACACATAAAATGGAATGTGCACAATTATGTGTGTAGTCTACAAATATATTCAGAACTTTTAGTTATAATATTGAAATACTACCATTGTCTTAAACCTAAATCTGAAAAAGGGATATAAAGAGAGGAATGAAAGATAACTGAAAAGAAAATAGAAACTACCATCAACAAAATTCCTTTCCTAAATGTATTTTTCCATTTGTGTGTATGTGAGTGCGATGGTGAGAAATATAATGTGTTGAGAATAAAACAATACTTATTTGAATTGTCATTCTAATTAATTATGTACATGTAAGATTCCTTAACTTAGGCTAACTGAAGACTTAGAACAACATAAAAGACAAATAGCGCAAGGGGGATTGGTCCACACAATTTAGTTAATATCTGAGATGTTTCTTCTTTCAGTGGGTCTTCAGTGGTTCTCCAAACAGAAACCAAATTCTCCTCCTCCAAATTTCTGTAGCTTTTTGTGGCCAGATGCCTTGTGCTGCTGAATATATTGCAGTATAGTTGTTGAAACTCCTTAAGTGCAAGACTGATGTCAAACTTAATTACCTCTGTCTAAGATCAATTTCATAAAATGTATACTTATGACAGCAATTTGCTAGAATTATATCACTATACATACAGTAACATGAAACTCTTCAGTGAATAATATTTGCAAAAATAGTTCTAGGTATCAACGTTTTAGCTTAAAACAAAACATATTTTAAAAATAGAAATGTCTGAGAGTAAGTGAACATTCCTTGTATGCTTATTAAAGATGAAAGCAAAACATAAATATTGGCTTTTCCCTAATAAATGAGTTGTGTTACAAAGGAGACATTGTTTTATGCACTGTAATCTGACCTCATGTTGTCCTTATGTAGGTTCCTTTTGACTTTTCTTAAAAAAAAACCTTGACTTTTCTTCTGTTTCCTTTGCCTGCTTTCTTTTTCTTTTTCTTTTCCTTTTTTTTTTTTTTTTTTTTTTTTTGACACAGTCTTGCTCTGGCACCCAGGCTGGAGTGCAGCGGCATGATCTCGGCTCACTGCAACCTCTGCCTCCTGGGTTCAGGTGATTCTCCTGCCTCAGCCTCCCAAGTAGCTGGTACTACAGGTGCACACCACCATGCCCAGCTAATTTTTGTATTTTTAGAAGAGATAGGGTTTCACCATGTTGGCCAGGATGGCCTTGATCTCTTGACCTCGTGATCTGCCCACCTCGGCCTCCCAAAGTACTAGGATTACAGGCGTGAGCCACCGTGCCTGGCCTGCCTGCTCCTTTTTTGTATACCACCTCCCTTCTCCAAATATGAGGGTTCTAAGATCTTCCCTGGACTATCTCATTCTTTCTTATTTCTCTCGTGATAATCTTGTTAAATCTCATGACTTCAGGTCACAGTTCTCTTCAGAAAATTAACAAATCTTCATCTCCACTTCAACCATTTCCTGAGTTTTAGTTCCAGACTTCTAATTGCCCAATGAACATGCCACCACAAACCCACACTTGGTCTTCAAACCCAATAGGTTCAACGCAAAACTCATTATCTGCTCTTTGAAATTATTTCCTCTAATTCTTTTGTTTCTACCTTAATTGTACCAGCTTCAGTGCCAACCAAGTTTAAGCATTCAGCTTTGGTTTTTACTCTACTCCCTGTCTTGTTCCCATATCCATGAATTAGCTAAGGTTAAGCTTGTCTCTGCAATGTCTTTTGTGTCCTTTTCTTTAAATCCTACTAAAACATGAGCCCTTCATAACTTTCCCTCATTTCCCTCCCTTCTGTCCAGTAATAAAACTTACCAACAGGCTTCTAACTCTAGATTCTTTTTAGCCTAAACCACCTTTGTTCTAAACCGAGATTATTGATCCTAGATCATAGTTTCTTATCATGTTGCTCCCTTAATCACATTCAAGTTCAAATTATCCAACATAATACAGATAGGCAGTCAGGAGCTATTGAAGGCCCCTGGCAGCTGCTTCATCTTTTCGCTCTCATATCCTACCCCTCCATTTCAAGCACACTTCGCATACTCAGTCAGCCCTAGTTGACGTGTTCATCGCTGCTTGAAGGTGCTCAATTTCAGAATATTCTCAGGCAGGAACAGAAAAATAACTTCTTCTGAATCTTCACTTTTCTGCATTCCCCTCTTTCTTCAATACTCTGATTAACAATTACCTTCTCCACAATGCATTATTCACCTTGAGGGCAAACATTTTCCATATTCATCTTTTTAGTCCTAGTACCTAGCAAAATTTATCATCTATCCTAACATTCAAAAAAGATTTATTGAAAGTAATTGAATCATCTGAAATAATTTCTTCTTTTGAAATTACTTTAAAATATAAGTATACTTTTATTGTCATTTTAATATTTTTCCTTAGTTTTCCTTATATTAGATTTACTTTTATGTTGGTCTTATCTCTCCAATGAGACTATAAAGTCTTACTTGGTAAGATTAATCTTTTTATCCCCTAAAGACCTAGAATAGATTCTCTCATATAGTAATAAGCAAAATTTTAAAGAATATGTCTTTGGGATTTTTTCGATATAAATCTATTTAAATAGTTATTGGTTTATGAAGCTAAGCACAAAATCTATTTAGCTCATCATTGTTGCTGGCATGTTAGGTATGTAATTTTTTTAAAATGTGCTAAACATTTATTGAGGAATATGAATAATTAAGTAGAAAATAAAATAGAAAAAATATATATTTACTATTGGTTTGCAATAGGAGCAGTGGAGTGAGAAGCATATAAAGAAGAATGCTACACAGATTCTGATATGAAATTCTATGCCCTTTTATGAGGTGCTGTAGTATTTAAAGTATAGGTACTTTATTATGTTGGAAATGATTGCATATATGTCTATATATGTACAGGCATATGTGTGTATATAAGTGTAATTTGTCTCGATCATCAGCCAGTTATTGGTATTTGTTTCACCTACATTTGACATAGATTTGCATATGCTATGGCTGACCACTTCAGTGAAAGTAAAACAATGAAGAATTGGAAATTCTGAGCTCTAGTAAGGGGATTTCCATGTTTTCAGCTTAGTTACATTTGATAACATCATGTATATATGTATATATGTGAGAAATCATAACTATTTGTTGGGTGAAATCTATTTTTTTTAAGTTGGACATCCTGTCCTTTAGCTGTCCAGGTCCTGATATGCACATTACACACGTGAGTGCATGTGAGCGTACCCACCCACCCCCAAACATGCACACGCACATTTATCACTTCATATTTTTCTTGTTCAAAGTTGCCACCTAACCTACTTCCCACTTAAAATTATGTGGAAAAGTCTCAGCCACCGCACGGTGCAGCAACTGCAGGTTTGCACATTGCCTGGCATCCTCATTAATCGGATGTGAAATCCAGGAAGAATGTGGACTCAAAGCCTCTTCTTCACACGGGATGTGCTATTCTGATTATGAAAACAGAGCCTCCAACACAGTGCTCGTCCTAAAGGAATTGCCCCTTAGTGTGGACTGCCTGGAAGAAAACTGTAAAAGGCTCTCTGTAATTTTATTTTCTTTAACGTCTCAGTTGAAAGCATATACTCTTTTTTTGTTATTTTATTGATTCACAGCCCTAAAAAAAAATTTAAATATAAGATGTTAAAAATTGTAAAGAAAAGTGCAACAGCTGAATTACATACACTTGTATCTCCTTTGAACTCTAGGTACTCTATCCAATTGCCAAGAAAGAACTGTATAGCCTCTTTTATTACCCTTGTAAATGTACCCAGAGACTATTATGTGATGTGGGTGCATCCAATAAATAGGATAAATAAGTAAGTTTATAGCAGAGCCCTTTCAGGCAACCTTAAAAAGACCAGGCAGCTAAGCAATCACGTGGTAGCTAGTTTCAGACAAGTACTAAAACTTAGCAGGCGTTCCCGAGTCGCCAGATGCCATTACTCACATGGCTGTGATTAGAAAACCTGAATGATTCTTCCTTTTTTAGGGCTCCTATCGCCTTTAAAATTTGATTACATCTTACAGCAATATCTCAAACATATCCTGTCAGGGAAAAATACATACCAATATTTTATGTTTCATTTAAGAATACCAGGCATAAATGTCTAATGGAAACGGCTAAAGGATGTCGCTGTACAGCATGAGCTCAGATGTCCTATGTCGTTATGCTACCATTAAAACAAAAGAATAAAGAACCTCACAGCCTCCGTTTGAAGCTTTAGCTTGTTTTGAACTTTCAAACCAGAAACATTTTCCTGAAATGTGTAGACAAATAGATAACAAAGTGCTGCAAAGTGTGCCAACATTATAGCTTTGCTTCATTGTTTTTAAAACATAAGCACTGAGTTTGGATTCTCTGTTCTCTTGGAATGCCATTTAAGTTACTAATAATTGGCTTTAAGTGCATAGCTTCAGCATTCTTCTCACTACCTTAGAAAAGTAGGAAATAACTGCGGACACATTGTTCTCCACTGCAGGCCCAGGAGCTCCAGGAAAAATAAATAAATAAATAAGAGAACACTCCTTACTGGATGTTTTAGCACGCCATGATCTAAAGTAGAGGTTTGTTTTATTTTTCTGTTTTTAAAATTGTATTTTCATACCAACAAGACAGTTACAGTGAAGGGATTCTAATCACTGTTAAGCACCTAGTGTATGCCAAGCACTGAGCAAGGTAGTGTTACAGCCTACACGATATTCTGAAGTTCAAATTATGGGAAGAGTGCTATCCCTACCAAGAAGATATTGGTGATCTTACGTGCCGCAAATTGCCATGGCCTCTAGAACATGAGATGCACTTTCAGTCCATGTTCCGGTCAAAAAACAGCCCTACACTGGGAAGAACAGGGCATAGGCTCTTTGATCTGTCTAAGCAAATTTCTTTTTCCTTTTTTTTTTCTTTTGAGACGGAGTCTCGCTTTGTGGCCAGTGCAGTGGTGCGATCTAGGCTCACTGCAACCTCCGCCTCCTGGGTTCAAGTGATTCCTCTGCCTCAGCCTCCTGAGTAGCTGGGACTACAGGCGCCCGCCACCACGCCTGGCTAATCTTTGTATTTTTAGTAGAGACGGGGTTTCACCATGTTGGCCAGGATGGTCTCGATCCCTTGACCTCGTGATCCACCCACCTGGGCCTCCCAAAGTGCTGGGATTACAGGCATGAGCCACTGTGCCGGGCCCGCAAATTTCTTTTTCAAAAACAAAACCACCACCACCAACAACAACAAACAATTGTCTCTTATCAAGAAATCCTTCAGATATTGCTATACATAATTTGACCCTGAACCGGGTTCACCCTACTTGAGACTTACCCTGAAGCTTCTGATACACAAAAAATGTTAATGAATTGGCATCTATTCCACAAGTGTTTGTAACCAGCCTTATATTCTTTGTGTTGCTAATGCATGGCACCAGTGGTTCTCAAAACAATCTACACACCATCATCATCCGAAGACTTTTTAAAAATACAGATGCCTGGGCTCCTGCCCAGACTTACAGAATTCATAGTAGATTCTTCAAAGCAACCAAATTTGAAACTCTGCGCTAGACTTTATATGTATATACTGTGTATATACATATATACAACATTTATATATAAAATTTAATTTAATACTTACAAAACTTCTGTAGGCAGGGATTTTACCTGTATTTTTTACGAAGTAGGAGTCAGGCTAAGGAATGAATAATAATAGGCTCAAAATTGTATATCTAAGTGAATGGTAGGCTTCATATGATAAGGCAGGTAAATCCATCTCTAAATTCTATGCTCATCCTATTTATCGCATTGCCTCACCCAAAGGAAATCAAATAGGGAACTCTTTCAGAGAATGAATGAAAAAAAAATTCTTAAATGAGGTCTCAGGTGATCCTGAAAAATGCAATAACCAAAGCATCTCCAGGATATCTTACACTGTAACATTAATCAATTAATTCATTAGTCCATTCAGTGAGCAATCATTTATTGTTTTCCACCTATGTACCAAGCACTGAAAATATGTAGAAAATAAACAAGTCAAAATAATCTTGAAAGTATTTGTTTACAAACAAATCTCGGCAAAAGTAAAGTTAAAAAAGGGGTTGAAGTCAATTTGTCCTAGTGTAAGTGGGCTTTGTATAAAACATAGCATTTATGGGTTGATTTTTTTTTCTCTGCAAAAGATGCGTTGAAGTCTTAATTCCTAGTATCTATAAATGTGACCTTATCTGATAATAGAGTCTTTGCAGATGTAATTAAGATGAAGTCATACTGGAGTAGGCTGGGTCATTAACCCAGTATGACTGGTGTCCCTGAGAGAAGAGACAGGGGCACACACACATACACACAGAGAGAGAGAGAGAGAGGGAGAGACAGAGAGAGAGAGAAGAATGCCATGTGGATACACAGACCCACAGAGGGAAGACGTCAGAGACTGAATTTAAGAAACTGCAAGCCAGAGAATGGTAAGGATTGCTGGCAACAGCAGAAGGGCTGGGCCATTAACCCAATATGACTGGTGTCCCTGAGAGAAGAGACAGGGACACACACACACACACACACACACAGAGAGAGAGAGAGAGAGAGAGAGGGAGAGAGACAGAGAGAGAGAGAAGAATGCCATGTGGATGCACAGACACACAGAGGGAAGACGTCAGAGACTGAATTTAAGAAACTGCAAGCCAGAGAATGGTAAGGATTGCTGGCAACAGCAGAAGCCAAGACAAAGACATGGGGCAGATTCTCCCTTGAACTTCAAAGAGTACATTTGGAACTCAGATTTCTCGCCTCCTAAATTTCTGTTGTTTTAGGCCATCCAGTTTGTAGTGATTTTTTATGGCAGTCCTCGAAAAGTAATACTCAGGGATTCTCAAAATTTTGAAGTCAGAACCTCTTTAGATTATTAAAATTTATTGAAAACTCCAAAGAGCTTTTGTTTTTATGGGATATATAATCAATATTTATTGTTTAATAATTAAAAGTGGTAAATTTTTAAAATAGTAACTTTTAAAACAGGAGCATCCTCATTATGTATTAATATAAATAATATATTTTAAAGTAACTTTTTTCAAAAACAAAATTCACTTAGAAGAGTGACATTGTTTCACATTTTTGCATCTCTTTAATGTCTTGCTTCATAAAAGGCAGCTGGGTTCTTATATTGACTTCTGCTTTCAATCTGCTTCAATATGTTGTTCTGAGTGAAGTATATTAAGGAAATATGGCCTCATACAGATATATAGTTGGCAGAGAGGAATATTTACTTGTCTTTTCAGATAATTCAAGATATTCTTCTTGGATGCTATACCTAAACTCATTAAGTGGTAGTATCTTAAGCTTGTTGCTATGTAGAATCCGAAACTTTATAAACTTTTTATACCCTTTTCTATTAAATCCATTGGTTTTTTAATATCTAGCTTTCATTTTGAATGGATCTTTACGCGTGCATAATTTTGTATCAATGTGCACTATTCATTTTGAAAATATTGGTTTACTCACTTAGGGCTAATCTTCCAATGTTGACACATGTCCTTATACAATAGAAAAAAAAATAGCACGGGTTAATGTCAACAATCTTAACTGAAAATTCTTTAAGTTTTGGGTAACCAGTAAGTTCATGGTGGCCAATACAATTTTTTTATTCTAATTTTGATTGGTAACCGAAATTTTATAATTGATAGTTGATACTCTAGTTATCCTTGAAGTGACATGCTCATTTTATTCAATTTGAAAATACGTCTGACATACACTGAATCCCTTATAAAGATCATTTATCTGTCAAGCATTCTTTCAAGTAAACATGGTTCTCTGTGATTAAAACTGCTAGTTCAGCTTGTAACTCAAGAACATGCTATTATCCCAGGACAACCATCAGAATTGGAGATGAAGCAGAAGTGCCTTTCATGTATTTCCCCTTTTATTACAGGGAATATTTTTTAAAGTCTATTTAAGTGTAAAAATATAATAAGATTTTACTGCTTCTGAGTTAACAAGAGAAGAAAGAGAAGAAAAGAGTGCATGAAGACATGTAAATAATATTAGGCACTGTTTTCTGCTTTGGGAAATGTCCAACAACTGGACAAAAATCTTTCCCAATTATTTCATACTTATGCGACCTTAAATATTTTACAAAATCTCTGTAGGCCTCTGCTTCCTTAATGGCATGAAGAAAGCTTCCACAACATTATTATAAGTCTCAAATCCAATTATTTATAAGGCATCCAGCATGGGGCCTGGTACTTGTTGGTGATGACAAAAAATTTAGTCCTTCGCAACACTAGTCTTCTGACAAGGGCTCTTGTCCAAGGTATTAGAGCATTGACATTTATTTTCACCTGACATGTACCTGACATGCAGGCAAATTTATCTTTCCTCCATAGAGCATTGCGGGTGCAGAAATGGTAGAGATGGGAGTACCTTTACTTACTGAGGGTGAGAAACCAATGGCATAGAGAAAGAGAGATTTAATATTCAGTTGTGACAGGATGTGGGAGCAAAATGTCAAAGTTCTCAGGAGAAGATAGGATGTAGATTACAGATGAAAAATAGAAGGCCTAAGTAGGAGGCGAGCGTACCTCTTCGAGAACAAGAAGAAATGAAGTTAACACTGAGACCTATGCAGATAAGTTTTCATGGGATTGAAATTGGATAGAAATATTTTTGTTCCGATGTATTTTTGTTACCAGGAAGGGACTGCGGTTTCTGAGTTTCCTGCACACCCATGTGGATGTGACAGAGCAGGAGGACCTGGGGCTAACTTGAGGGTCATAAGACCGGGTACTGCTCCAGGAAGCTGTCTTCCAGTTTAGAGCCAAGGGGCTGAGGGTCACAATGCTCATCCCAGTGTTTGTTGGAAAGAGGAGTTGACAGTCAAAGGAGTCGTCTCACACTCTATGGGATACTGCCCTACAACATTACAATCAGGATTGTGCCATTATGTGAGAAATTCTACAGCTAAATTTCTTTGCTATACGCTTGAAAAATACCATTCAGCTTATTTCCTTCCAATGAGAAAAATCTGGGGAATATTTGCTAAACACAACTCTTTTTATGTTAAAATATTTACATTCGTTCTAAATGGTTCAGTAAAGGAAATGGGATTGTTTACTGGCCTCTAACTCAAAATGAGATGTACCTGATGTCATATTCGTAGTCTGGTACTCCAAGCTTTTTCAAAGTGCAGAATTACCTGTGAAGACAAAGCAATCCAAACTTGTCTTTCTACTAGGATTTGGTGGTATACAGTGACTAAATTTTTCAAAATGCTTCTTTCTCTATGTGGAGAAAGGATGAAGAAAGTATAAAGTACTAACTTATTTCTAAATTGTCAAAAATACAGATATGGGAGTTCCTCTGTTTTGTTCTTTGTCCATTGAAAGAATTTACCTTATTTTATATGTATTTTTCACTGTTTTTTTTTTTTTTCTTTTTTTGACAGAGTCTCGTGCTCTGTCGCCCAGGCTGGAGTGCAGTGGCAAAATCTCAGCCCACTGCAAGCACTCCCTCCCAGGTTCATGCCATTCTCCTGCCTCAGCCTCCCGAGTAGCTGGGACTACAGGGACCTGCCACCATGCCAGGCTAATTTTTTGTATTTTTAGTAGAGACGGGGTTTCGCCGTGTTAGCCAGGATGGTCTCCATCTCCTGACCTTGTGATTCGCCCGCCTCAGCCTCCCAAAGTGCTGGGATTACAGGCGTGAGCCACTGCGCCCGGCCTTTCTTTTTAATATGATTGTTTTCTTCACTTAAATATGAACTGGTTGATAAAGTTTTATGGAGATATTCTACAACAAGGTACATCATGTGAGTTTGAGATCATGTGATTGGATTTCTGCTGCACTAATTACCCCAGGGATTAAGGTGGCTGAAATGTATCAGATTGTCTAATTTGTTTACCAAATAGAAAGGCAGGCATATAAAGTCATCTATTTCATTTGAGTATTAGAGACATATTATAAGTAGAAAATCTCATCTCTATGTCTTGCAGCATAATTATCCTTTTGCTACGAAGAAAATATTTCACCTTCTACATCTTGACTTACAATTTGCTTTATTACTTGTCTTCCTTTAGGAAATAGCTCCTCTGCTGTCTCTTTTTAGTCTACTTATCCAATTGTGTTTTATAAGCACCTAGTTTTTGTGGTAACATTCTACTCTCACATGTATCAGTGCACTCAATTCTATCACTGCCCTGGAACTGTGCTTACTCAAGTATCTTTCCCAATAGAGTGAGGGACTTAAGATGAAGAATACATTTTTTGAAGTGTTGCATCCAGACAATGAAGCTGCTATTGAATGGACACTTGAAATAAATTAATAATTAAGAAATAATTGTATGATGATGCACCTAATTCCATTTCCAGCAGGTGACAGCCGTTAAGAGAATCAGGACACATTTCAGCCTGTGTACATAGAATTTATCTCCATTTTCTGTGTCCTTTATATGGATATAACCAAGCCCTGTAGCTCACAAAGGCACAGAAACTAATTGCAGTTTCTATAACCCCTCCTGAAAAAAATTTTGACCTCCTAGAAGCTTATTATAAATGAATCCAGTTCAGAGGATTGAAACATTTTTATGTTGTGAATCTATGTTAGAAAAGGCAATGGCATATGGCAGCAAGAAGCTATTCATATTGACCTAGAGAAAACAGACTTTTGCAAGAGGAACATAGTTAGCATGATTGCCCCCTCTTCTTTTTGAGACTATTGTATATGTGAGCCAGCAAAGACAAAACTGATGACTGATTAGAGTTTTATGAATCAGAAAAATAGTTCTCATTTTGGAAAACATAGGAAGTAAAACAACTGTGCCTCATGGGAAAGATTTTCAAAACTAGAATAGAGGATTTCCCAGTTTAAAAAAACAATGGAAGAAGATGTTATTATTATTTTTTCTACGTTGTCCAGCTTTTAGACCCAGTTGAACTTTGCTTTTCTGTACTTACCCATCAGCGCTGGTCTAACTACTTCAAGTGCGAGCCTGCCTGCAAGCAAGTTGAGTGTGACCTTATGAATTCTTGGATATCTTCTTGCCACTTCTATAATGCAGGAAGGGTCCTAAAAATTATCTTTTATAATTAGATCATTTATAGATTTTAGTTAATAAATCTAAGATTTATTTTTTTCTGTGTAAGAACCTTGATTTGTGTTAAACATTTATTCTCATTATACAGTACAATTCATGTGCATGGTACTAGGCAAATAACAATCCTGAGAATAATAGATTCATCTCACTAGATTAAGCAAGACAGCTATTGAATGCTTAATTAAAAACAAAGTGATAATAAGAATATATTTCCAGAGATTCAATCAAATGGCAACACATACACAATCTACCAAATAAGCCATCATAAGATAATTAAAAATTTTTAAATAATTAGCTATTATAATAAATGTGTAGTTAAGTTGATTTAATATTATCTAATTCTTTGAGGGATATATTTCCATAAAAGATGGGTTAGAGTATATTTAGCAATACCAATAGCAACTTTTCTTTTAATTTATAAATGTTAGGAGTATGAAAAAGTAGCCTATTTATCTAAAGATGAAAAATATTTAATTTTTAAAGTATTCACCAAAATACCATTGCAGAATTTGAAATGGCACTAAGTTTTGGGTTTAGGGGCAAAGAGTTTAAAAAACATCTGGAGATGCTGAAATAACCTGCATTCATTTATGTTATTTAGGTTGTAAAATCATATTCAATCTTGACCCACTCAGGAAATCTAACATAAACGTCCTGCTGATTTTGACAGTCATACAGCAAAAACACCCTCTAATGAGCATTTAATAGTCACCAAAAGTTTTGCATTAAGTACAAAGCCCTTTTGATTACTTATTCCACTAATTTAAAGTAAATGCTTTTACAGATGGCATCTGTTAGGCCGCAGAACGTGTGCAGCATTCATATGCACTCATTGAAAATAGATTCCAGCTTCACTAGAAAGATTGTACCAAAAAGATCAAAAATGAGACACTGAGTAAACATTTACCAGTGATATGTTTTCTTTAAACCTCTTCATAAATACTTATCCAATAAGAGAGTACAATGCTTAGGGCCGAGCAGTAATTGAGAAATACCTTGGCAAATTAACACCTACAACTGAATGATCTAGACAAAGACATAGAGCTCTCTGTTCTACCTCTCATCTTCTTACGTGTGGAAGCATGTAATATTTCAGTCCCCTTCAAAGTGTATTATATTACATACATGAAAAACGCCATGAAATACTTTCAGATGGCCGAGCTGATCAGAAAAAAAAACGACACATTGCAAAGAAAAATCAAAGGAAGCCAAAGATGGCCTTATAGACAGATGAATGGATAATTTTCTGGTTTTCTTTTCATTAATAGATTTACTGTGAGTAATAATTCCTTCAGACATCAAGAGACATTCTAACAGAGAACTAATATAAATTGAATTATGAGATTATATAACTGAACTTCATTTATTCATAAGAAATATCATACAATGAGAAGACATGAAATGAATCCATTGTTCCTGGTGTCTAATTCTGTTTTTTATGCTTTGGGAAGAACAGGAGCTCTCTCTGGCCTATGGAGTACAATATAATGTAGTAGAATCATAAATGGCGACCCCGTAAATGTAAACGAAGGTGAGAACATATCCCACACTTGCTAATAATGCAAAAAGTTGCTTAGAAAATACCAAGAAGTAGCCATTCTGATATCAAGTGACTCATTGATTTGTAAGTTTGGAACTAATTAATGAAACTTCAAAGGCAACAAGAATAAGTTTATTGAATAAGTACCAGCATCTAGTTTTGTATTAAGAAATTGAGTGATAGAATAAATGTATATGAAGACTTTGTTTCAATTTTTTTTTTTTTTTTTTTTTTTTTGAGACGGAGTCTTGATCTATCCCCCAGGCTGGAGTGCAGTGGTGCGATCTCGGCTCACCGCAAGCTCCACCTCTCGGGTTCACGCCATTCTCCCACCTCAGCCTCCCAAGTAGCTGGGACTACAGGCTCCCGCCACCACGCCCAGTTAATTTTTTGCATTTTTAGTAGAGACGGGGTTTCACCGTGTTAGCCAGGATGGTCTCGATCTCCTGACCTCGTGATCCACCCGCCTTGGCCTCCCAAAGTGGTGGGATTATGGGCGTGAGCCACCGCGCCTGGCCCCTCAAATCTTTCATTTACTAATATGGTTAAAAATATATGCTTGAAAGCAAAACTACGATAGAAATATATCAGTTTGTCCAGCTTGGTACTATTGTATTGCAGGCTAAAAAGTCCTTTGCTGTAGAGTGCTGTTAGACACACTAACAGAGAGATTTAGCAGTATCTGGCTTTGTCCCACTAAATGACAGCAGCATCCCCCAAAACCAGTTGGAACATTCAAAAATGTCTCCAGTGATACAAAATAGTCGCTGGATGAAAACCTGTAAAATAAATGAATCTGGCTGAAATATTAGTATAATCACTTAATTGAGGTTACATTACATATGAGTACCGAAAACATATTTGAAACTTTGATAATTTGTCATGCTATTTCATATGGCCTTATGATTTTCAGACCCTGCTAAAATCCCAAGTCTTTTTTATTTTCGCTAGTATGCATCCTATTAGAAATATAGGGTATGATTGCAACTCTTTTTTTTTCAATATTCTCTTAAAGCAATGCATAGTTTTGTGGAATGCATAGTTTTATACCTACTATGAGACTAAAAGATAGCTACGGAATTTCTTAAAGATCTGTAAGCATTTGAAAATAAGAATAAAGCAGGTAAGACATTGACAAACACCTTGTCATATAATAAATAGCTGAAGAAACTGTGATGATTATCCTGGGGGAGGGGGAGGAATTCAGGTGGAGGTTGGAATTATTAGCAGCTATATATACTTAAAGCCATAGCCTTTAAGTATGGAGAAACTGGAATACAGTTATTCAGATCTGTTTGCAAAATATTTATTAAGCACCTACAATGTCCCAAGGAATTTTGTTATGCTCTAGAGCTAAGTAAATAAATAACGTACTCTGATGTGACACATCCACAATTAAGACAAGTAAGTATACATGAATTTCATTTGATTTTTTAATTAAAAAAGATAATTATATATATGTAGGCATATGTATATACACATGTAAACAGAAGAAGGAATGCACGTGATGACACATACAGTACTTGAAAATATTTAATGCCCAATAGTGTTTCTTTGTAGATAAAATTGCCATATTTTTCTTCTAATATCTAACATAATTAATTAACGAATCGGTTACTCAGAGATTTTTTAAAAAATCTGCCTGGCGTAAGTTTATACATTCTAGGATCAGTTGTAAGTAAGAAGGTTTATTTCAACTAAACTAAAAAAACTGAAGCTTGATTCAGTAGTAGGTTATTACTATGCTTACACTTTATTTCTTCTTTCAGAAGTTATAAGTTAAAAAAATTTACATTTATTGCCCTGAATGTTCAATGATTCAATGGAGTAACTAGTTTATCCTATATTTATGTATTTTTATTTTTATACATAAATAAATGAGTAAAGATCAGGACGCTGAGAAAATAGCAGTTACAAAAAATTTCATTCACAACGAGCGAGAACCTTTTGTGGATTATTTCTTTATGAACTTTGGGTCTTGGTCTATTGCTTCTTATCTTGTTAATATTCTCCAATGTAAAATTTCCAAAACCAAAGTTCTGGTATGTACTTTGCCTCTCCTACAAAACATGTGCTTATGCAGCGGAGCCACGTTTCTTAATACTACATGTATCCAAGAAAAGACCCTAATTCTCATTTCAACTCAGCTAGGATCCACTTCCTGAAATGCCCTGTGGGCCTGGCCTTCCCACTCTCTGGTTTCCACTGAGCTTGCTGTATGGACCTCACTGGGCCACCCAATTCTACAGTATTCTACAGAATGCTCTTATGCTCTTGGCCACCTACCTTCTCATGTGAATACAAGGAAAGAAAAATTCTGTTGACTCTATATTAGAGTTGGTGTAAAAATTTGTAACTGAACTCAATACATGAAAGTAATTTAATGTAGATTTGAAGAAAAAGATTCTAGATACTTATAAACTTCAGTAGCCAACTAAATATTATATGTGATGTTTCATAGATAGAAAAGATTCAGAGAAGTTGTTGAACAAGAAATGTTTATATTTTCATTCTACCCTGAATACAAGTTTAATTAAACCCCAGAGGCAAAATAATAAACTGTGACTGATTAATTTAGTCTACAGTTATGGTTGGGCTCATGTTATCTGACCTCTAATTTAACATATGGGCCCCTTCTATAAGAATAAACAAAGAAAATTATAATTTGAAAATATATATTATCACATTTATTTTTTCTTTATTTTCTCATTCTTTAATTATCTTAATGTAAATACATGGCCATCTCAAATCTGTATGTTGGACAAGACTGATATTTCGGGTTCTCTATCATTTAGAAATTGATTATCTATACCTAATCATTTAGAATAAAATTATATTTTAATTTATTCTTATCCTTTTACTTTACAAATTGTTTCAAAGATATTTACAGTAATAATATAAATATAATAATTATTACCCTGATTAAAAATTAATCCTTAATAAAAAAAGAGAAGATAAAATGTATAGTTATAAATAAAGATTATAAATGACATAATACTTAACCATAAAATCTAATTTTTGCTTTTTTAAATTCTGGGGAAAATAGGAGAAACAATTATGTAGATCTTATTATCTACCAATAGAGGGCAAATCAATTCATTAAAAAAAGCGAGCCTCTTCCTGAACTTAAGGTCAAAGAGAAGCTTATTTTGAATCTTCTTCATAGATAGACACTGAATGACATAAATGATAACATCATTGGCACTATTTAAAAATTCAGATGAGTGTTTCATAGCCCTATGTGTTAGTTACCTATCATTACTGTAACAAGTTGCTCCAAATAAATTGGCTAAAACAACAGAATTGTAATGTCTAAGAGTTCTGGATGTCAGAAGACCAAAATGGGTTTCACTGGGCTTCAATCAAGGTATCCTCAAGGCCATGTTTCCTCCTGGAAACTCTTGGGAGGAATCCTAGAGCCCTTTCCATGGGTGCCATATGCCTTGGCCCATTGCTCTCTTCCTCCACTTCAAAGCTGTCAACATCAGGTGGAATTCTTATCTTACTGCATCATGCTGACCTGTGTCTCCGACGTCTTTCCTAAATAAGGACCCTTGTGATTACAGTAGGCCCTCTAAGTTCATCCAGGCTAATCTCCCCATCTTCAGATCAGTATGCTAGCAACCTGAAGTCCGTCTGCAACCTCAGTTTCTCTTGCCATGTAACATACATATTTACAGGTTCTGGGAACAAATGTGGACAGCTTTGGGAAGCCATTAGTCTGCCTGGCACACCCCATATCTAATATCAGTCACCTGGGAAAACTCAAATTGCATGATTCTTTGCGTTGGAGAAGGAAGAGTGAAATGTGGGTTTGAAGTGAGACAAGGGTATTTATAACATGCCTTAAAAGTAGTTTAGAATATCCTGAGAGTAGTGTGTGCACACCTTAGACTAGTGGGTCTCCATCATAGAGTACATGTAATGGAATGTCATAAATTTGGTTAACAGAAAAATGAAAAGTGATAGCTAGCTAGTATTGAATTGTTTTAAAATAGGGTGCTTATATAATTATGGACAAAAGTCTCAACACTTTTGAGAGTGAACAGTAGGTGTTAACAACAGAAAATATAAACCAGGATCTTTCCCAGTGAGTTGGAGATTATGGTTATACTCATAAGCCAGGCTATTGCATCAGTCAGTAAGAAATGGGTATGGATGGTAGGTTTTGGCATATATAAATGTTATTACAGGGAGACATCATGCAGTTTGGAGGGGCAGTTTGAAAAACAGCCTTGATTTCCTTCCTAAATACCAGTTGTTCTATGTGACATCTCAGCAACACTGAAAGTCAGACCGTGAAAACTCAGATCACTCTAAAAATGAAAAACTAAATGTTCCTTTATAGTAATTCAATGATATGGTTGGGACACTTCTGGTATTTAATTACAGAAACATATAGGACACATACAGACAGGGACAGAAGGACAGTGTGCCATGGGTGTGTTGAAACAAATACCTAGGACATTTGAAGTATTGACCTTCCCCCACATCATGGCTCTTCACCCCTCTTCTCGTGTGAACTTTAGCATAATTACAGAGACCAGTGTTATTCAGTGGTGCTCCCTGATCTGCCCTTTCCATCACTGCATGACTCGTCCAGGCCCTCGCTCCATACCTGCAACAATTCACTCACACTCTAGCCATTCTCCTTCCAAGCTAACACTTCCCTTCAGTACTTCAGATAACCTCGTGCTCAGACACCATCAATACTTTCCACTTACTAGAGGATCAAGACCAAAATCCGCAGCTGGGCATGAAATGCCTGACCCTTCCTGCACTAACCTACATTTAAAGTCACAGGTATAGATTTTGAAAACGTTAACGACACTCAGATCTAATCCACCATTTCATAAAAGAAGAAAACAAAGCTCAGAAAGATTAAGTAACTTGACCTAGTCACACCAGTAGTGACAGGTTAAAAAGAGGAACAAAGGTTATGTGACTAACAGTCTGCCCCTTGCAAATTCCCAACAGTATTTTCTGTTCACCCCAATATTGGATTAGTGCTGGTCTCCATGTCTACTCAGTGTATCATCCTCATGCTGTGCTATTGTATTATTGACAGAAGACAGAAACTTACCTACTGTTAGCTTAACTAAATTATTGAAGATAATATTGACTTTTAAAATTTGTCACCAATAAAAGTTATTTTTATTTTTTTTCTTCCCTTCTAGGTGCTTTAGAATTTTTCGAGTTTTGGCTAAAAAATACAATTTATGTCAACTTTTTTTTTCTGAAGCCAGATATCTTATATTTATTATATTTATTTCCTACAACATACAATATACTATCTTATGCCTGCCTTTCTCTTCCTCCCTTCCTTCTTTCATTTCTTTACTATTTCCTCATAAAGTGTATTTTTTAAATAAATATTTATGTTCAATGATTTTCTAGAAACATTTTCAGTTAGTTTGTGAGAAGGCAGGCAAAACAATAGAATGTGACCAAAAAATAAGGCAGCAAAAGAAGCAAAAATATGTATGGGTACAAAGAATAGCCAAGAATAATACTAAAAATGCAAACTCTAGTGACCTCCATGGGGAAAAGGGGTGGAACACAATTTTGAATCTTATCTTTGTATCAAATAATGTGAAGAGGAAAGATATGCCAATTAATCAATTTCAAATTTATAAGTTTTATATATATATATATATAAACAATATATCTAGATTATTCTGGGAAACTATAAATGTTCTAATAATATTTTGGAGTTCTTTCTAAAGCAGTAATTACATTACATACTATATGTGTGACAAGATGGATACAAGCGGCTGTTTACTAAATATTGATTATCAATTTCACCTGATGATTTCACAGCAAAACACGAATGAATGAATGAATTATTCAGAGATTTCTGGTTTTTGTTCTGAGATATAGACAAAAAATGAGCATCATTTCTAACGTTAAAACATGAAAAAAATCTGGACAAGATACAAATTTAAGAATTTCTTAGAAACCATCAGATAACTGAGCTTGCAGAGTAGAAACTCAGTATCTGGAAGAGACCAGTGAATGTAGGAAGAAACAGGACCAGAGAAGTTGGTTATTTGGGACAGATGCCCCCACATGTCATATAAGCAGATATGAAGATTCGGCTAGAAATGTTTGATAAATTAAAGAAAGCAAGTATGGTTCAGGATGAAAAATCCCTAGGTGCCATAGTGCAGGGGATTCACCTTTTCTGTAAGCTTTTTTTACAGTAACCCTAACAGGTGTTCATAGCTGGAAAGAATCCTGAGAAAGCTTCTGCCTTAGAGAGAAGAGGTAAGAAAAAATAACAGCAGGCAACCCTATCAGCCCCGTGAAATAAATGCCTTTATCTTCAGAGGGAAATAAAAGCAAAAACAAAAACAAAAATCAAAACCATTATCCTGAGGACAGAAACTATTGCATCCTGGGGAAATGAACAAACAACAACAACAAAATAAGCTCTTTCCCTGGAGGAGGAATCCCTGGTAGTTTTAGCATCACTTAAGAAAAAGGGGCAGGAATCCTTGCGAAGGCCACATCTGCAGACTCAGGTTTAACAGGTCTGCCAAAAACTGGATCTTAAAAAACGCACACTGTGTTCCTCCCTCCATCACCACACTAACAAGTACTGAGTGGAAATCACCTCAGAATGCAGTTGTGAGAACTGCAGGAGACAAATTCTCTCTGTCAGCCAGACACGGAGAGCTCAGTGGAGAGCACCGTAAATCCTGTCTTGCTGCTGAGGCGGTGAACACAAAATAGACAGCTAAGGCCTAAGAAAAGGATACACATATCCAATGCCTCTCATTTAAAAACCAAACCAAACCAAAACAAAGCCCTCATCATCTGCAATTTTACACATGTCCATCTTTCAACAAAACCATTTGAGATGTAACTTAAAAGGTAAAAGCAAATACAGTCTGAAGGTTCAAAGCAATTATCCAAACTGTACTGAGATATGACAAATATTAGAACCATCAGAAAAAGAACTTAAAATTACTACCATAAGAGATTAAAGGTTCTCATGGTAAAGGTAGACAATATACAAGTTCACAGAGGTAATTTCAATGAAAAAAAATGGAAAGTATAAGAGAGAATTAAATGAAAATATATTTTTAAAAAACACACAGAGGAAGAATGTATTTTACTTGTTCATGATTAGACTTAATTCATAATAGGAAATCAGTGAGCTGGAAAATAAGAAAACAGGAATTACCTAAATGAAAATTTAAACAGAAAAACATTGAAATAAAAATAACAGAGGATTCAAGAGCTGTGAGACAATATCAAACAACCCAATGTACTTGTAATTGAATCCTTCTGAGAAAAAAGTGAGCACAGCACAGAATAAATATTGGGTGAAATAATAACTGATAATTTTAGAAATTATTGGCAGACAGTATACCAGAGGCCCAAGGGTCACAGAGAAAACCAAAATTAACAAATATTCAAACAGAACAAAACAAAATGAAAATGACAAAACCTAGGCATTCAAACTGCTGAATGGCAAAGACAAGAGAAAATCTTAAACGTAACTGGATTAAAAAAAGCCACATTATCTACACAGGACTAAAAATAAAAATTAGAGCATATTTCTTGTCAGCAGGCATAGAAGCAAGAAGTCAAAGTTGTGAACTCTTTAAATATATAAAAGAAAAGCAAAACTCCTAACCTAGAATTTGATGTACAAATTGAAAATAAACAAGTACAATTTCAAAATTTCGAAAATGAAGAAAAAACGAAGACTTTCACAGGCAAACAGAAAATGAAAAAAATCAATTACCAGGAGATCTCATCCATAAGAAATGAATACAAATTTTCTATCAGCTGGCATCACCAGAAAATTTTACCCATTCAAAGAATTAGAATACCAGAATGGAATAAAGTACATTTTTCTTATTTTTTATTGCTCTAAAAGTAACTGCTCATTAAAATAAAATTTGTATCAAAGAATTTTGTTTTTTGTAGAATATTTAAAACTAAAATATATTACAAAAATGGCAGAAGGAATGGGAAAACAGAATTGAAAATATAATCTATCAGGTTTTTATACTACATATGAAGCTGTGTAACATTTGAGTTTAGACAGATTGTTTATCACTGTATACAATAAATCCTAAGACAACCAAATACAGATTTTATAAAAGTAGTATTAGAAATAAGCTAATATGCTGTCCCAAAATTTCAAAAGAAGAAAAGTAAATAAATAAGCCAATAGAGAAGATTAAACTGGAACCAAAAAAAAGAAAAAAGAAAAAAAAAAAAAAAAAAAAAACCTCAAGGCCAGAAACTGCAAATAAAGAGGAAAAAAAACGAGAACAATGGAAAAAATAGAAAACAGCTAGTAAGAAGGTAGAGGTAGAATTTAATCCAGTAACATCAATACATTAAATATAAATGATCTAACCACAACAGCTAAAGCACAGAGATTTTATTATTAGAGTAAGATTTAATGTGAATCGAGCAATTTTGACAATATTCACATGTAGTGGAATAAATTGGTACTGTTAAATGATTATCACTGATTTTTTTTCCTACATTGTAAATTTTAAACAGTGATGTTTATTAATGTATTTCTAAAACATAGCTTTGGCCATATTACATTGTGCCTTTGGTCATTGATAAACTATACAAAAATTACCTGAGATAAAAATTTCAATCATGGTTCTTCTTTTAACTGATTATTTTCAGATATGGTACTACTAAGAAGATGTATGCAAAAAATTTCAAAACCATGCAGTCACATTCTCAGATCACTCTTTTTTTTTTTTTTTTTTTTTTTTTTTGAGACAGAGTCTCTCTCTGTCGCCCAGGCTGGAGTGCAGTGGCGCCATCTTGGCTCACTGCAAGCTCCGCCTTCCAAGTTCACGCCATTCTCCTGCCTCAGCCTCCCGGATAGCTGGGACTACAGGCGCCCGCCACCAAACCCGACTAATTTTTTGTATTTTTAGTAGAGACGGGGTTTCACCGTGTTAGCCAGGATGGTCTCGATCTCCTGACCTCGTGATCCACCTGCCTCGGCCTCCCAAAGTGCTGGGATTACAGACGTGAGCCACCGCGCCTGGCCTCAGATTGATCATATTATTTGTGACTATTTGCATTCATGGAAGAACATAAATATAATTGCAATTTCTCTCTATCTAGACTGATCAATAATGATCCTTTTTATTTGAAATTACAGCTAAAATTATGAAATAGTTCTGTTGAGCCTAGAACTATTTTTTTAAAACCTAATATTCAAGTCTGAGGGATAAACAGAGTATGTAATTGCCAGATTCAAGCACAATATCTTACTGCACATTAATTGTGCTCTAGAAATTTTAAATTCAGTTTTTTAGAAAGAGAATTATGTAGTTAGACATTTCTTGCATTGATTTTTCCTTTTGTTATCTCTTGGTATTATTAGTATGTTTACCTTGAACAGACACCTTGCCAAAAGTAACAAGGAGGTTGGAAACACCTTCCAGACTAAAGAAATTCTATTACTATGAGCATAACGTAATGAGAGGCAGAATTTTCAAACTTCAATCTTTGAAGACTTTGATTGAACTATTTGAAATGAGCACAATCTGCAGAACTAAAGGCTAAGAATGAATTTAATAATTTTGACGACTACTTTAAAATGATAAAATCATTTTTAGGTCATTGGGACATTGTCCCTGTAAAGCTTTGCCAAGTGATTATTGCATTTTCATGGATAATGTGAAACACACATGAATTGACCAATACGTTCTGTTTTTTATTATTATATTGAGCACATTTCTTTTAGAGGCAAATGCTATGTTAGGTACAAATGATAAATGACAATGAATAGTGCACAGGTCCTTTTTATGTAAGAATTGTACATTGAAATAGACAAAAATATATGAATAAAACAGGGATGTAACTACAAGGAAGCATATAATAAGTGCCAAATGTACTTTAATGAACAATGGGAGGAAATATTACACTTGCCTGAGATAATTTTACTCTGGAGAATTTTTATCCACCTTGTTCCATGAAATATAGATATCATCCAAAGAAAACTAAATCTCTGGGAAAGTTATTAAGTGTCATTGTCATGATATACTTTTCTGGGTCCTACAATTACCTTCCTTTCTTTACCCTGGGCAATCAAATTAAATCAGAATTGAAAGCACCAATTCACTTCTGTCATCCCATTCCATTGTGTTGGGCTGTTCCTATTGTGAATCAAAAGTCTGAGCAGCCTGTAAATGACAGAAACTTAAATTATTTCAGTAGCTGAAAGTCCCAATTACTGAGGAAATAACTCTATACAGATAAGTAGAGTGAAGTAGGATGGTTAGTACAAATTGAAATATTCCCATCAAAGTACCATAGAACCAAGTATGTCACCATGCTGAATAAAAAAGACTAAGTAAAACCTAATAGTTTTCACCCTTTTACATTTACTTATTAGTTCGTTTATTTCCATTTCCATTTTATTTTTGAGAAGGAATTATGCTATTATCACTTGCAAAATTCTTATTAAGTCAATCATTTTCTAAGCCCCTACTAAGTGTGTCAAGTTCCACTGAGGATATGGGAACAAACAAGAAAAGTTTCTCCTGCCATCAAAACCTCAGAGACTAAAAGAAGAAACATATATAAAAATAATTACAAAACAGTGTGAGATGAATAAAGGCAACGATAAGGTGTTAGGAAATTATGAAAGAAGACTGACTTGATGGCATTAGGATATAAAAGAAGGCATCTGAGAGGATGATCTGATATGCAATGAACCAGTAGGAGATACTTAGGCATCTGGTTAGGGGAGCTCTTCCTAGACAGAAGGGCAGCCCTTCTCAAAGATCACATAAATAGAGTAGGGCAAATTCAAAAATCACAAGCAATCCAGTATAAATGCAGTGAAGACTGATGAAAGGAAATTGGCATGGGAAGGCAGGGGCCACATCATGAAGACATTTCCATGCCATAAAAAAAGTCTTGATTTAGCCTCTAAGGTACTGAAAACTGCCGATGAATTTTACAACAGGGGATGGGGTGCTCAAGGCCACCAAATGAGTCATGCACTTTGGTCACAGATGAGTTTGCCCGGCAGTGGAACGTCATTCTGCTCATCAATCTATATGGTCACCTGGGCCAGATTCTGCCTGTGGGAAAGAACATCTATTTTGTTATCTGTCTGCAAAGGGAATGCCTTGAAATAAGCTTAGAAATTAGCAAATTTGACCTTAACAGCTCTATGAAGAAAGAATTTTCTCTATTTTGAAATGGAAACAACTGAAGCTCAGTGGGGCCAGCCCTCTTGAACGGCTAAGAAAACGGGCCCCAGGTTTGAAATTTATACGCATCTTTGCTGACTATCAGATCTCTGAGAAATTCATTCACAGCTCTGCATCTCGATTTTACCATGTGTCAAACAGAGACGATAATACTACCTATCACAAAAGGTTGTCATAACCATTAATTTATTATTAATGAATAATTTCATTAATACAAATGATTATGACAGTTACTGACACATCTTAATTACTCAGTAAGTATTAATGGCTGGGTGCAGTGGCTCACGCCTGTAATCCCAGCATTTTGGGAGGCTGAGGCAGGAGGATCACTTGAGCCCAGGAGGTAGAGGCTGCAATGGGCCTAGATTGTACCACTCTACTCCAGCCTGGGTAACAGAGTGAGACCCTGCCTCAGAAAAATAAATAAATAAGTATTAACAATTTATATTTCACCAAATCTGCTAAGTAATGAGAAGTAGATTAAGAAGCCCAACCTTGACTCCCGGCTAAGTAAGTTTGTCTATTTCTTTATATATGTCATTGATATTTACATTTTATAATGAGATATAATAATTTTAAAGCACAATTTGATTAGAGTACAAATTCTCCCTGTGACCATCAACAGTGGAAGGCTGGGAGAGCAGAGGAGTGAGGGGGGACCAGTGGTTACATTACCTGGACAAGCCATGTTTACTATGATATGAGTGTTTGCAGTGACTGTATAACATTTACTTTCACCCACTTCGTTGACTGAACAATTTGAATATGATCTGGATATGCCCTGTTCTTCCTTCATTGAGATGTTCCAAGTTTGCTATAGGAAAAAAAATCAAATGCAATTAGAACACGACAGCAAAATTTATCCTCTGTAATTCAAAACTTAAAAGAGAAAGATGGTTCACGACTGTAATCCTAGCACTTTGTGGGTCCGAGGTGAATGGATCCCTTGAGGCCAAGAGTTCAAGTCCAGTCTGGCCAACATAGTGAAACCTCACCTCTAATGAAAATCAAAAAAATAAATTAGCCCTGCGTGGTGACATGCCTGTAATCCCAGCTACTCAGGAGGCTGAGACATGAGAATCACTTGAACCCGGGAGGCAGAGGTTGCAGCGAGCCAAGATCCCTAGATCATGCCACTGTACTGTAGCCTGGGTGACAGAATGAGACTGTGTCTCAAAAAATAAAAAATAAAAACAGGAGGAAGAATGAGCAGAATTGACCACTGGGGCCTGGTGCTTCCAGTCACTGTTGGGAGGCATTATCTTCTCACACTGATTCTTCTTTTGACTGTCTCATTTTATTTTCTAATACTGTTTTCTTTTAGGAGATGGCTTTATTACTTGTTTATTTATTTATTTGATTATTTTATTTTTGCTTTGTGTCGTTTTGGTTTTCATAACAATACCAAGGATACAACATTTCGGTTGAGAAAAACCAGCCCTTCACCTTCACCTTTGGGCCACAGCTTCTCTTACCTTGGGTCCTGAACTCATTCATCTTCTCAGGAAACTTCCACTCACTTTGTGGTGAAAGCTATCTGACTGGTAAATCATATATTATGTTTTTAGATTTAAAAATGTTTTGTTATATTCATTATAAAAGTATTAACTGTGAAAGCCAAAGTTTCAAATCTACTTCTGGTTTATACAGAAAAAAAAAATGTAAGGCCCAATAAGAAATTTGACTTTACTATTGACAAAGTTGCAACAGATCATCATTTTCTACTCAGAATATCCCACCTAATTGATTTCACTTGCTGGATAGTTCCAAGGTTCAGGGAATACTGAATACCCAAGATAGACTATTTCTGTTTCTACATTACATTAAGAGAATGTTCTCAGATACAGTGCTTAAGGTACAAAAACATAAAACTATCCCATCTGCGTTTAAATGCTCAGCAGTTACTCTTTTGTAAAGCCTCAAGAGTATAAAAAAAATTAGATGGAATTCAGAATAGAGCCATCTAGGAAGATGATGGTAGTCACTCTGTTCAGACATGATATTCCACCATAGCTGCCCAAGGCCTGAGGAACCCCTTGCCCCAGTGTTCCCTGGATGTCAGACATGGAGTCAAAAGAGATTATTTTGGAGCTTTAAGATTTAATAAGTGCCCTGTTGGGTTTTGGACTTTCATGGGGCTTATAGCCCCTTTTCTTTGGCAGATTTCTTTCTTTTGTGATGGAAGTATTTACCCAATGCCTGTACCTCTATTGTATCTTGGAAGTAACTTACTTGCTTTTGATTTTACATGCTCATAGGTGGAAGGGATTTGCCTTGTCTCAGATGAGACTTTGGACTGTGGACTTTTGAGTTAATGCTAAAGTAAGTGAAGACTTTGAGGGACTGTTGAGAAGGGATGATTGTACTTTGCAATGTGAAAAGAACATGAGATTTAGGAGGGGCCAAGAACAGAATGATATGGTTTGAATCTGCGTCCCATCCTAAATCTCATGTTGAATTGTAATCATCCCCAGTGTTGGAGGTGGGGCCTGGTGGGAGATGATTGGATAATGGGAGCAGATTTTCCGCTTTGGTGCTGTTCCTCTGAGAGAGTTCTCATGAGATTTGCTTGTTTAAACGTGTGTGGTATCTCCCCCCTTTCTTCCTCTTGCTGTGCACATGTGAAGATGTGCCTGCTTCCCTTTCCCTTCCACCGTGACAGTTCCACATGTTGTACAGGAAGCATAGCTGAGGTCTCCCCAGCAAGAACAGACTAACGCAACAACACAACCACACAGAAACCTAATATATGACAAAAAATGTGGAAGATGAATTGTAAATGAATTCTCATTCTAAGATGGGCTCATTATTTTAATTATGAGGAAACTTTTCATACTGATAAGCCAACAGAAAAGATCAGAAAGCTTTAGAAGTGGTATAGATAGGAAAGCCTACCCCCCCTTATTCAGTATAAGGTGAAAATAAAATTATGGAAACTATGATCAAACTCCCTAAGCAGTATAAAACAGGGAAAAATATCTAGGCCTATGTAATTTTAGTGAAGGGACCATATTCTGGTCATGTGAAAATATTTATTGCCTTGTGAAATTGCCACAATGTTCCACATCGCAGGCCTTTGTACAAATTGTACCTTCTGCTTAGAATAGAGCCTTTCATATCTGCCTGATAAAAAACTACTTATCTTATGAGAAGAATGCCAAGGGCTACAGCCTCTAGAAAAACAAGCTCCTCTTTTCTAGGAGGATCATATAATGAGCACATTGACAATTACAAATATTTATCAGTGAAAAAACTCATAAAGTAAAAATTAACCAATTCCAAAGGGAATGGAGTTAGTTTAAAATGTGAAACATGTTATTTTTGACAATATCTAAGTAAAGTATATTTTACAACAAAAGTTGTAAACACATGAAACACTGAAGATTTATAGGAGTCAAAAATGTAGACACTCCAGAGAAACTTACATAGCTATGGGAGCTGAAACAATTCTAGAGAAGATGGTATAGATATTTATGCTATACATGTAATATTTGTGATTTAGTTGATACATGAGAATACTACAGCCTTTTTAAAAAAATTTTGCAGTGGCAAAAGTTATCTGGTAGATGTTTTCTTTCTCTTTTCTTTAGATGTGATATAATATTCTCGTTGTTGTCATCCTATAATTTCTTAAATTTTATTCATAAATACAAAACAATGTATATCATTAACAAAGTTTGTATGTGTTACAATATTTTTCTTCATAATTATAGCTAGTAATTGAACAATTCACAATATATGAAATATAAGTAGGTTTTGTTCTTTCAATACTTTTATTCTTTATTTCCACTAATAATATCTTAAAAACCTAAAACATTAACAAATGCCATAATAACTTGAGCACTCTTAAGTAAGGAAAGCTGTCTTTCTCCATAACTGTGTTTTTTCTGAGATTAATGGCATGAGAAGCACATCGGATGAGTTTCTGAACCATAATACATATGCTATACTCATGACAGGTGTAATGTGAACTATTAATCTGACTATATGGAATTTCTCTCCAATTACCAATCAGGATTAATGTCAGCAAGTGCCAAGGACATTCTAACCTTCCAGGGCCACTGATGTGTTATATAATTTGTAACTCCATCTTTAATATGTTCCCAACAGCACCTAGAATGATATTAGCTAACATCAATATTTCAAAAATTGTGTTATTATATTGCTGACCTGGTTCTTTCTATCAAGATTAAGACCTGGTGGTACAATTTCTAAAAATAAACACAGTTTAATTTAACTTTTAAATTATCCTTTCCGTGATATATTTTAGTTCATAATTCCTGAAAAATCAAATTTCCTGATCACTATTGAAACAACTTTAGAAGATATTCAGCATGATTCTCCTCTTCTGTCTCTCTGCAGTATGTTGGAAAATGCCTTCAAAGTGGTTTGCATGAGAGAGAGTGTATATTGTTATCTTGATGTTAATTTCCTGCTAAATCATAGCTTATGAGCTCAGAACCACAGGACATACCAAGAAAAGTTGTGAGTAAGGAAAGAGAGACTAGAGATGCTTTGGAGACAGAGCACCAAGAAGACACAGATTCCCAGTGTTCTGCTCAGGCATTGACCCAGTCACCTTGGGAGACTCGCTGATGCACCCATAGTTTTGTCGTTCTACATTTTAGTGCGTATCAGATAACATGTCAGAAGTTGCACACGCATATACATAAAATCTATTTAATCTTCACAATAGCATAACCTGCGTTGATAAAATGAGGAGGGTAAAATAGCACAGGACCAGCACTTGAAGACCTCTGGGTCACATCCCAGACTATCTGACCGTAATGTCTCCCTACTCCTCATACCCTGCATACATTTCTTTCATTGCATTTAATGCTGAGGCTAGACTGAAGTCAAATGTTAAAATGAAAATTGCTAGAACTAAAAATTATCAATGAATGCTCCTCAAACCATTTTGTAATTTTTGGGACCTGGGAACTTGACTCCTAAATTGGCAAGAATAACTATTTTTTGTCAGTTTTTCTTTTCCATAGACTATGGGGCTAAAAACAGATGAACTGGAAAAGGACAAAAGGCAAATTCATGCCTTCTCTTCTCCAGCACATTCTCTTTTATCCTTCTACACATTAGCCAATTCTCTTCCCCTCAGTCACAGGGTTCATTTATATCCACTTGATATCCATGCATTGAGCCACGGCTAAGAGGTAGAAGGAAAAAGCCTAGCACCTCATTGTTGGTATAATTACTTTGTGAACATACACGTGGCAGATATGTACAGCTGTTAGGCTCTTGATTCATAAATTGTGCTTGACATTTACACTGTTTATTCCATTGTTAATGACAAAATCAGAACACTTTTTGTTGCTTGTTTTTTATTCTGAAAATATTTCTTTAATCAAATTCCATAATTTTTATTTAAGCAACAAAAAGCAGAAACATGATTAATTCATTGTTAATCCAGCTTGCTTTAAAATTAAATAAAAAAGATAATAACTGCCAAACAAAAATTATTTTTTCCCACAACCCCAATGTATAGTTCAGAAGCACATATACTAATAATAGTAAATTTTTGGTGATAGCAAACTATAATTCTTGGGAAAAGTTTTCAATAATGTGTTTTCTACAGTCAACTTTGTACCAAAATATCATAACTTAGGCAAATCTCAAAATCCATTAATTATACCACCAAAAATCATTGATAGTTAATAAGAATCACTGGGAAAATCTTTTTTAAACATACACTTTCAGTCATAAAAACAAATATACAAAGAATTATTTTTTGAAAGATTATTGTAAAATGTGCTGGGATAATGCTTGCTTAGCTTTTTTTAAATGTACCATTTTTCTCTAGCAGCTCTTTATCATATTTTTAAAATGATTTTTTCTCTAGATATTTGTGGTGATAAATGTGACCTCTTCTTTTAATTTGTCTTCACAAAATATGAAACATTTCCAAATAGAAAATAGTTTTTGACTATCTGTTCCTGCGTAACAAAGTACCCCCAAATTTACTGGCTTAAATAAAAGCAATTTGTTCATGACTCTGAGACTAGGAACTCAGGTTAGGCGGCACAGTTCTGCTTCTCCAAGTGGGGTTCACTGGGATCGTTTACTTAGCTGCATTTAGCTGGTGGTTGGTCAGAATGGGAAATTTTTAAAATGATCTGGGTCCATGTCTGGAAGGGGCTGCTGGCTGCCGGCTGGGAGTTCACCTGGGACTTTCAACGGTGGCTGTGCTTCTACTCCACATGGCCTTGTGGACTTCTCGCAGCATTGAAAGTGCCTTCCAAAGAAATGGCAGCCCACATACATGGAAAGCAGAAGCTTCTCATCTCCTAAAGCCAACCTGAGAAGTGACATAACTTTTCTTTTGTCACAAATTATTGTAGACTCCACATCTTGATAGAAAGCTTCAAGATGACCAGGCAAAAAGGCCTTTAAGATAGAAAGTATTGCTCTGGCCATGTTTAGAAATACAATCTGCCAATAAATCTTTTTTTTTTTTTTTTTTTTTTTTGAGACGGAGTCTCACTCTGTCGCCCAGGTTGGAGTACAGTGGCTCACTGCAAGCTCTGCCTCCAGGGTTCACGCCATTCTCCCGCCTCAGCCTCCCGAGTAGCTGGGACTACAGGCGCCCGCCACCGCACCCTGCTAATTTTTTCGTATTTTTAGTAGAGACAGGGTTTCACCGTGTTAGCCAGGATGGTCTCAATCTCCTGACCTCGTGATCGGCCCGCCTCAGCCTCTCAAAGTGCTGGGATTACAGGCATGAGCCACCGCGCCCAGCCCCCCCTTTTTTTCCCCCAAATAACTCATGGCTTAAATGTTTTTTAAACATGACAAAAATATATATTTTGCAGAGTTTATTTCATGATATGAAAGCTTGTACTTCAAGAAGTTCTAGAAAGATTAGTTGCATGAGATAATCTGATCTCTAAAATTCTGCCTTTTTAATATTTTATCAAGGGATCCAAGAACAGTTACTGCAATATTCGTACCACAATCAACTTTGCAATTTGAAAAGACACCAGCTTGTTGGAGGAGAATGAATTGCGAGCGGAGAGAGTCAGAGAGGAGATAAGACTCAGTTTGAGGAAGGCCTATTGAGACATTTGGTTCATGTGACAATCTGGTGTTTTGTACTGTGGTCATTTCCACGGAGATGGAGATAAATGAGCGTATTTTGGACAGTTTATTTAACAGCATACTAACTTTTCATATTTTGAGGTTTCTAAAGTTGAACGCATCTTCTAATTGATGACATGTCAGTTTGATACATTGTTTTTCTCTGTTAAAAACATATGCTATGATACATGGCATCTGAGATGCAAAGAAATATGGTACTTTTGGTGGCACAGAGTGCATATAGCACATAGTAGATAATACCTATTGAACTGAATGACAGCCAAGTCGGATGAGTGTATTTTCTCCAATTATAATGTGTTTTGAATATTATATACAGAGACAATTCAAACATGTTTCATGATTGGTATGCCTGATTTTTAAATTGACCTAAAGAAACATTTCAAGGATTTGACTGCAATGAATCAGAAATGATCATACAGAGCTGGCATAAGGCCTTAGCATTGTTTACCTTTCAACTTGAGTCTTTTTGGTCCTAGTGTGAATAAATGCTTTCTGTGTCCTTTGCTATTAAATCATGTCCTAGGTGGGGTGGATAATGTTCCCCATGCATTAACACCCTTCTCCAGGTACATTTTAAGCAGCAGCCCACAAATAAGAACAAAGCCTACAAGGTGAAACGAGACAGGGAGGCATCACGGAACATCATTTAGGTCTTGCCCATTTTTACTCCCAGCCTTGCTAATTGCCACCTTTTCACTTGTCACTAACTTTGCAGACATCAAGCCTCCTTTCCAATAGTCTGTCTGAAAAATATTTAACATAAAAAAAAATTTAAGACTAAACTCCATTTTTTCTTTTTTTGTTGTTTTGTTTTGTATTTTTAGTAGAGATGAGGTTTCACCATGTCGGCCAGGCTGGTCTCGAACTCCTAACCTCAAGTGATCACCCACCTTGGCCTCCGAAAGTGCTAGGCTTACAGGTGTGAGCCACTACACCAGGCCTAAGGCTAAATTATCTTAATCAAAGGTTAAAAGACTTAGTTTTTCCAATGTGCAGCCTCATTATATACTGATGAATAAGAGTAAAAACATATACTATATAGAACTTTAATGAATTAAAATTAACAAGTTACAACAGGGGCCTCGCTGAAGAAAACCTCAAATGCTATATATCATACTTGCATTCTCATCATATTGATTTTCTCTTGGGATAATTTAATGATTTTGAAATCATGAACAAAACAGCACAAGATGTAGTACCTTATTATTTCAATAATTATATTTCATTTCCAGAAGCTCTCTTAGATGGAAAACACAGCTTATGGTCAGGTGACTGCAGCCACTATGATAGTGGATCACAAAAGTTAAGTGATTACTCATTCAAGATTTATAAAGAGTTACTTCTGGAAGCCACTTCAGCTACCTGGTATTTGGAGGTTTTATGCTGCTAATTAAAGCTAATTAAATGCTAGATATGCTCTTCTGGTGACTGGAGAGGGCTCGATGCTGGAGTGAGTTTTAACTGACTTAACCGCACAGCATTGTATGCGTGAACACAATAGGCCTTATTAGGTTTGATTTCAATGCAATGATGTTCTCAAAGTATAGATAAAATTACTGAGCCTACATTAGAAAGACTTACATTTACTTTTTTTGATCCTCTCAGGAGTGGGGATGGTTTTCCCCTCATACTCACTCTGTCATTTTGATGGTCCATGGCATTTGGCGTCATAGCTAGTTGGCATTAGAGAGCAGTCTGAATCCACGAAACAACAGAAAGCTAACAGGTCCATGCAGGAGTTGACTTGTGATCTTGGCCTTGTTAGCCCATTGGCCTAAGTATGTCCTTGCCATCAAATCACTGCTATTCACTCGCCTAGTTGCAATGACACTGGTAAGTAAAAGGGTAAAGGCCTTGGGAGTTGGAATTATGACTTTCTTTTCTTGAAGTGTTTCCCCCTGAAATTACAGTACAACACTGACAAGTTGTTTGATCTATCATGCTAACCCACAAGGATAATAAGTCTTCTCCTCAGCCCTGTGGATTTACTCATGGGGTGGTTAGGTCTGTCACCATACCAAAAGCTTTGCAGAATCTCATTTCACCACATCTTCATACAGTCTGGCATTTCTAGTACTTTCACTGCCCACGGTTAATAGAGAAAATTTATTATAGAATTTTATTAGCATCTACATCTATAGTTTCTTGCTCATCATAAGCCATTTGAATACATAGTATTTATACATTTTGCTACATCTATTTATTAGTTTAGATTTTTAACATAAAAATAAAATAAAACTTCCACAGTAAAATATTTAAGAAGTTAAATATAGCCTGGTAGTGTGATGTGTCATCATACAAAATGCTAGATATTATTATCATAGAGAAGTGATGTCTGATTTAATCTAGCATTACTTGATTTGAGTCCCCCAAAAATCTAGCCCTAGATTAATTTTGGAAATATAGATTAATGAAAGCTAGTGTTTTAGGCTTGGTTTTCAAATGTAAGACAGAATGATACAAAAATGATTTCCTTGAATTCCTTAAAGGCATACCTCAGAATGTAATTTAATATAGAAAACTGAAGGTTATTTGTTAAAGTATGTTTATTTGCTTTATACTTAATATGCATAAATATTACTTTTTATGAACCAAATCTAATTTGGAACTTAGAGGTTTTCAGATTTGAAAATAGTGCCCTATTATTATTATTTATCCTGCATAAACAATATGATCCTTTGACATTTGTGTACTAGTAATTTTCAAAATTAGTCTTTCTTACTAATGAAAAGTAGCTCACATGTAAGTGGGAATGAAATAGTTAAATAAAAAAACAGCATTCACTACATCCAAGGGGAAAATGTGATGGTGCAATACAGAAATTAAATAATAAGATGATTATCTAAAAAGTGGCAGAAGGTTTTTGAGGTGAAATTTAACAAGAAATTATATAATAGCCAAAAATGCCACAGCAGCTAAGGGGGGAAATTCATTTCTAGGTATTCACAAGAAACTGCAGGATGGATTTTTACAATAAGCACTCTAAGTTTCAACTTTTGATCTGCGTGGTGATAGCTAGTGAGAATAAAAATAACCAGCTAATGAAGATTCTGCACTTTGAATTACAGACACTGATTCTGCAGATAGTTGGCAATTTCTTCAAATATGCAATTAATATGTCAAAGCTGATCCATATCATGATGAAAATGCTGACCAGTTCAGAAGAGCTTCTGTGTAATATGTTGACGATAACTTTTCATCAACTATAAAGCTGATAGAATGAGATTTGAAAAACACAATTTGAGGATCACCAATAACATTATATTGCCAGTGAGCCTACCACTGACAAAACTCTATTTCCTTCTCCAGGATCAAAAATACAGATTGTAAAACTAGAATTGGAGCGGCTGTATTCTAACACATTCCCACAGATGACAGATACCTTCCTACATCTCACGCCATTAGCCAGTCCCCCAATTTCCATATGTATCTCCTAGCTGTACATTGCAACTCTCAGAACGTTGAATAAGGAAGGAGAACTAAGGGGCTATATTTTATCCAGGAAAGTTAATGTTTTATAGTAAGTCTGTTAGCAGATATAGAGAAAAAAAAAACCTGAAATCGTAAATATTAGGACTTTAATTTGTTTGTTTCTGGTAAGATTGCTTAGGAATTAGAAGCAGCTTCCAACTCATGCAGCCATGGGAAATGCCTTGCTAAACACTGGTAATTGACTGAAGGGATACTGATATTGCCCTGTGGTCCAGCTCTAGACGCCAAAAGGAGAGAAAGGCTCAGAATTGTAAGCAAACCCATATACTAGGTTGGCAAACAAAAGATCTGAACAGATATTCATTTTCGAGAGTGGCAATGAAAACTTATATAGTCTATAATAAAAAAAATGAGAGGACCAATAGATAATGCTGAAAACTCAAGGAAGAAGAGACGCTTTTTTTTTTTTTTTAAAAAAAAAGGTACGTATTATAAGATCCAGAGGTTTGAAAGACATGTTTTAAAAATTGGCATGCCCTATGAACTATTAAGAAGTAGGCATCTAAAGAGCACAAAGTAGAAACACACCAGCAAAAAAAAAAAAATATCTGGAGGGCCAGAAACTAAGAACTATAGATGTTTTCGAAGGAAATAAAATGTGTTAAGGAAGCAACTTAAAATTGCATTTAAAAGACAGAAATACATAGTATTAAATCAAAGACGAATTCCTGGATGTTCACTTCTGCCCCAAAATCAGTAATTTACATGAGAATGGCTTTCTTACTGATAAAAATCTAGAAAACTAGATACATGTAAAAAACAACATTTTTTACATATCAGACAAACAGAAGCACAGGGTTGTAAACTTTAAGGGAAAAAACATAAATGGATGAATGGATGTCTCTATTTTTTGCCAGGAGGCAAAATCCAGACTGCACTGAAAGGAGGGTAAACCCACTTTGAGCTAAGCAGGCTGTCTGGGTTCATGAGACAGAGAGGCGCGCACAGAGGCCAAAGCATTTCAAATTCGCAAATAATGTACTGAAAAGAAGGGGCTTTGCAGAGAAAAATCTCCATTAATCTGCATAGCATTGTCTTATGTCCCTTATGCATTTAAAAATAAAAGCAAAAACAGAAGATATAGATTAGAATATATAACATACTGAAAATAATTTTTTTTATTTTTTTCCTCTAACATTACTCTGTATTCTGTATTTCATTACTCATCCTAGGTTACTTACATAATGGGCCAAAAAAGTCTATATCATAAAAGCAACAACCTTTTACAACCTAAACAAAGTATTAAGGGGTCAACACAGAGGCAGGGAACCCCCAGATTCAGTACATTTAGCTTCTCATCTTCTATTTCTTAGAATCTCACTTATTGAAAGAATAAAATACTATTTTTTACTCTCTAATATAGTTATGCTTTCCTTTTAATCTTTATTTTTACTGGAGAAAACAATTGTAATACATTTGCTAAATGATAGTAATCCAGTGCTAACCCTTTCAAGTTCTAATTGATTTTCCTTTTAATCACGTGTTTATAAAAGAAATATCTTCCCTTCCTGTGGCTTAAATCTTTATTCTGTGTTTTTTTTTCCTTGTTATGGAAAACTGACATACTAAAATATGGCTAATTTCAAATCTTTCTTAAAATTAATATCAAGTTACAATATAATAAGCTCGTGGACAATAGCATAAGATATAGAAGAGGGGTGCAAAAAATAGTTATATCTCTCAATACTAGGTTCTGCCTGTTTTTCAAGAAAAGACTAATTTTACAGTATTGTTGCTCCAGAACAGCTATCTACAGTTAAAATGCAGCCAATATAAAAATTCTGATACTCAAGTAGGTTTACAGATATATTCAACACTACACAGCTAATAGGTGGTGGAATTAGGATTCGAATCCATCAGGGCTTCCCCTTGGGTCTACAAGGCCCTAGACAAATATGTTTTTGGGGGTCTTTGTCTATATAAATATAATTTTATAAATATAGACATTATAAAAAGATTTTCAATGTCAGTAATCATTAGGAAAACTCAAAACCAAAATGAGACACTACCTCACACTCATCACGATAGCTATTAAAAAATAATACAACAGAACATAACATGTATGGCAAGAATGTGAAGAAATTGGAACCCTCGTACATTGCTACAAGGAATGCAAAATAGCGCAGCTGCTATAGGAAACAGTGTGGCAGTTCCTCAGAAATTAAAAAGAAAAATACTTCATTCATCAGCCATTCCATTTCCGAGCACATACCCAAAAGAACTAAAAACAATAGGTTTTTGAACACCTATGTTAATAGCAGCAGCATTCACAATAGCCAAAATTTGGACGCCACCCAGGTGGCCATTGAGGGATGAATAGATAAACAAAATGTAATATATACACACAATGGAATGTTATTCAGCCTTATAAAGAAGGAAATTCTAACATACTACAACATGGATGAACCTTGAAAGTATTAGTATAATACACTCATACAGTCACAAAAAGACAAAAATTGTATGGTTCCATTTATAAGAATTTCCTGGAGTAGCTAATTCATAGAGACAGAAAGTAGAAGGGAGATGGTCATGGGCTCAGTGGAGAAGAAAGTGAGGAAATAGTGTTTACTGGGTCCAGAGTTTCAGGCTGGGAAGACAAGACATTTCTGGTGATAGAAGGTGGTGGAAGCTGCACAACAGTGTGAATGCCCTAGTGCCAACAAACTGTACATTTAAAAATGGTTATGATGGTGCATTTTATGTTATGTATAATTTACTGCAATAACAAATACAAAATGTTGGAGCTCCTGTGAAATATAATGATTCAATCTGGACATTTATATCAATGAGTAGATCAGAGTGGATTACATATGTGTCCATTGTCCAGCTACCTTGTCTTTCTTGTCTGATGCGGGAACTATCTCTTTGTGTTCTTAACTGTCAAATATTGAGTGCTGGGCTAATTTTGTATCTCCTACCAGTAAAAAAAGTTAGCAACCCTCCTATTACCCTCCTTGTTAGGCCTGTGTTTGTACTTGAACAATATAGATGGCCTTTTCCCTGTGGTTTCTTGACATCATTGTTTCAATGCTGGGTATATCATCCCTCATCACTTGGCATTGTCCATCCTGCTGCCTGTGACCTCTGAGTTTCAAGGACTCTTCTCTTCGATCATGATCACAATCCAATCCAAAGTATATAGCAAAATGTGAACACTAATTCTTTGTCTGGTTATGTTAAGTTTACATTTAACTTTTTCAACTTTTAGAGTGTGAACACAGAACAATTTTCCAATCAGGTGCTCTGTGGAAATCTGTAACCCATAATTGCTGTATGTAGAGGATGTTCCTCTTCCCATGTTGACGATGCCTCTGCTGGCCACACACCTGATCCCCAGCAGGAAGGATAAACATGGAGTTTGCGTGTGGAGCTGGAACAATCCCATTTATGCAGAGTATGGCAATCCATCATTGAGCCTGGCAGATGACCACTCAGCAAACATGATATCACCCCATTGGTTGAGGTTAGACAGGAGAATTGGAAAGGCCCATTAGCATTGTGGACTAATCATCTCAAACGCTCTTGAAACAGAGAGGTGCAGCCACCCAGATCTGCCTCACATAGAGTACAGAGCCAGCAGAAAGACTGGGTGACCACCCCAGGGGCAAGGACACACAGGGTAAGGAAGGTTGCTGTCACCCATGCCAGCCTTGACTGATGTAAACCAGACATGGTTCCATGGTTGGAACCCAGAGGTGAGAATCAGCATGCAGCCACACCAGAAAGTCACAGTGGATTGCAGGTAGCCCTATGCTCTAAATTTGTCCTGTGTCAACAAGTGTGACAGTGACCAGATCCTCGGAAAGAAATACTGTGACTGCCAGTGGTATATCCTGGACCGATGAGGCCACGGGTCTGAATGGAACCCAAAGACTGAGTCCCAGGGCTCCTCTGGGCACCCATTTGAACCCACTCATAAGATGAGGGACCACACATGCCCCAAAGGGAAGAGTACAGGAACCCGTGCCCACGCGAGTCCCTTTCAGACCCAGGCTAGATTCCTGCCAGCACTGCTGGCCCTGGATGGTCCCAGCCACTGGAAGGGGTACTTAGAATCTTCTGAACAGGGTATTCTAAAGTGGATCTAAAGTTGCTACTAGAATTGATATATGCCTACCTCCAAATTTAGTTTCACTGTCAGTGGGTTTCTAATTTTTTAAATAGCAGAGGCTTTAAAATAAAATCTTACATAAGCCTAAATAGAGAAAGCAGCTAATAGAAAAAAACGTCTGCTTGAAGCATGAGTGAGGCCTAAGATATCACTCACATGTCCAACCTCTTGGCACCTCCATCGTTCGGTGGCAGCTCCCAGGACATTGGCAAAACACCCTGCAAAACACCTTCTGACTGAACGGGGCGGTTGTATTCCATCCCTGCTCAGAGCTCTTTGGAAGAATCAATGAGATTGATATAATTTGATCACCATCAGTCTTTTCTCTCCAGTTTGCAAGCTACCCTGGTTTCCTGTTTCATTCTATTGACCCTCACTCAGCTATCCCTAGGGAATGGACCTCACAGTATCTTACATCTTTAGTTTTATAATCTAACATACATATTCAGTAAATTAAACAATGCAAACAAACACAAAAGTTATGATCAGGGAAAATAAAGCAAAAATAAATTAATTGGTCCTGATACACTGATTCAGTGCTATAGCAGTTTCCTCTCTTACTGGGTATTTCATAATCCCTACCCCTTTGATTTGTACCATGACTGACTTTTCTTAGATTTTAATTTTATTAGGAAATGTCAATGCCTAACAAAATTTAAGTGATTAATGTGTAAATGAAATTATTCTATTTATAACATTTTGTATTCTGTGGTCAGAACATTCTCAAACATATTTTATGTTAGCTGTGGCTTTTATCAGATAGTTCCCTGACTTTAAAACTTTCAATAAGTATTAACCACCAAATGTCATCCAGATTCCTTATCAAACTTTCAAGGTTCACTGCAATTCAATCTCTAGCTGCCTTTGAATCTTCGCCAACAATTCTAATGGACCAACTGCTAATATCACTTATTAGACCATTTTTATGTGCCAATCACTTAGGTAAATAAATATGTTCATTGTTTAGATGTATTTATGTATAGATACATATGCTGTATATACAATATAGATATTGTATATATTTGTGTACGTGTGTGTATATAAAACTGAGGTTTAGAAAACAAATAATTTTACCTAATGACACAAAATCACTGATTGTAAAGTGTAAGTTGATTTCAACTGAAAGGTGTTGCCATTTCTATTAAAGAAGTGAAACATTACCTGCCTCTTTATACCATCTCATGTGTTTATTCACCCCAAATACATTTTCAGCACTTCCTTTCTTCTTCCCTCATTCTCTGTTTCTGACTTCTCTCCATCCCCCTTCCTTCTTTTCTTCCGTTTCTTTGTTTTTGAGAAATTACCGTTATAATTCTGAGCATTGGACTCAATCTAGAGGAGCAATTGACATATAAAAATATTATATATGTATGTGCATATGGGTGTGTATATAATGCACTTATTGACCAGCGAAGTTCAGTGCAGGTGCTGGGAGTTTTACAGGAAAGATAAAACTTGACAGCAGTTAATTGCTGTACACTATCTGTTGCACAAGGAACTTGCATACTATGTTAACATAGTATGCAAAGATTTTATACCCTGAACAGGTAGACATAGATTGATTGATTGATTTATATAGATTACGTAGATGTGCATTAAGCATTAGTTATACCCATATACTTAGGTATATATCAGATATATGTTATACATAGTTATGTATACATTTCTATTATATTATATATAATCTATATTGTATTATAATTATATTTTATGTTGATATGGTTTGGCTGTGTCCCCACCCAAATCTCATCTTGAATTGTAGCTTCCATAATTCCCATGTGTTATGGGAGGGACCCAGCGGAAGGTAATTGAATCATGGGGGTGGTTTCCCCCATACTGTTCTCATGGTAGTGAATAAGTCTCAAGAGATTGGGTGGCTTTATAAGGAGAAAACCCTTCCTCTTGGCTGTCATTCTCTCTCTTGCCAGCTGCCAAAATAAGACATGCCTTCCACCTTCTACCATGATTGTGAGGCCTCCCCAGCCACATAGAAATGTAAGTTCATTAAACCTCTTTTTCTTCATAAATTCCCCAGTTTCAGGTATGTCTTTATCAGCAATGTGAAAATGGTCTAATACAGTAAATTGGTACCTGGAGAGCTGGGTGCTGCTGTAAAGATACCCCAAAATGTGGAAGTAACTTTGGAATGGGTAACAGGCAGAGGTTGGTACAGTTTGGAGAGCTAAGAAGAGGATAGAAAGATGTGAGAAAGTTTGGAACTTCCTAGAGACTTGTTGAATGGCTTTGACCAAAATGCTGATAGTGATATGGACAATGAAATCCAGGCTGAGGTGGTCTCAGATGGAGATGAGAAACTTATTGGGAACTGGAGTAAAGGTGACTCTTGCTATGTTTTAGCAAAGAAACTGGCGGCATTTCACCCCTGCCCTAGGGATTTGTGGAACTTTGAACTTGAGAGAGATTATTTAGGATATCTGGCGGAAGAAATTTCTAAGCAGCACAGCATTCAAGATATGATTTAGGTGATGCTAAAAGCATTTGGTTTTAAAAGGAAAACAGCATAAAAATTCAGAAAATTTGCAGCCTGATGATGTGATAGAAAAGGAAAATCTATTTTCTGAGGAGAAATTCAAGCCCGCTGAAGTAATGTGCATAAGTAATGAGGAGCTGAATGTCAATCCCCAAGACAATGGGAAAAGTGTCTCCAGGACATGTCAGAGATGTTTGCAGCAGTGCCTCCCATCACAGACCCAGAGGCCTAGGAGGAAGAAATGGTCTCATGGGCTGGGCCTAGGGACCCCTGCCATGTGCAGCCTAGGGACTTGGTGCCCTGCATCCCAGCCACTCTAGCCATGGCTAAAAGGGGCCAAGGTACAGCTCAGGTTGTGGCTTCAGAGGGTGGAAGCCCCAAGCCTTGGCAGCTTCCACATGGTGTTGAGCCTGCGAGTGCACAGAAGTGAAGAGTTAAGGTTTGGGAACCTCTGCCTAGATTACAGAGGAAGTATGAAAATGCCTGGATGTCCAGTCAGAAGTTTCCTGCAGGGACAGGGCCCTCATGGAGAACCTTTGCCAGGGCAGTGTGGAAGGGAAATATGGGGTTGGAGCCTCACACAGAGTCCCCACTGGGGCATTGCCTAGTGGAGCTGTGAAAAGAGGGTCACTGTACTCCAGACCCCAGAATAGTAGATCCATCAACAGCTTTCACAGTGCACCTGGAAAAGCCACAGACACCCAGTGCTAGCTAGCCCATGAAGGCAGCTGGGCACAGGGGCTGTACCCTGTAAAGCCACAGGGTCGGAGCTGCCCAAGACAATGTGAGCCCACCTCTCACAACAGCGTGACCTGGATGTGATACATGGAGTCAAAAGAGATCATTTCAGAGCTTTAAGATTTGGCTGTCCTGCTGGAGTTCAGACTTGCATGGGCCTTGTAGCTCTTTTGTTTTGGGCAATTTCTCCCATTTGGAACGGCTGTATTTATCCAATGCCCATACCCCCATTGTATCTAGGAAGTAACTAAGTGGCTTTTGATTTTATAGGCTCAAAGATAAAAGGGATTTGCCTTGTCTTGGATGAGACTTTGAACTTTGAGTTAATGCTGAAATGCGTTAAGACTTCGGGGTACTGTTGGGAAGGCATGATTGGGTTTGAAATGTGAGGACTTGAGATTTGGGAGGGGGCAGGAGTGGAATTATATGGTTTAACTGTTTCCCCACCCAATCTTATCTTGAATTGTAGCTTCCATAATCCCCACAAGTTGTGGGAGGAACCCAGTGGAAGGTAATTGAATCACAGGGATGTTTTCTCCCATACTTTTCTCGTGGTAGTGAATAAATCTCATGAGATCTGATGGTTTTATAAGAGGAAAACCCTTTTGCTTGGCTCTCATTCTCTCTCTTGCCTGCTGCCATGTGAGATGTACCTTTAACTTTCCACCATGATTGTGAGGCCTCCCCAGCCATATAAAACTGTGAGTCCCTTAAAGCTCTCTTTCTTTATAAATTACCCAGTTTGGGGTATGTATTTTTCAGCTACATGAAAACGGGCTAATACATAATTATATAATGATTCATGAAAAGCATATAATTTATCATATATTGTATTACACACCTAGTTCAAATGTAATATAACATATATTGCATATAATGAAAGTTGTATTATATGCTGTATTCTATAGAGCCTATATAACATATATCATAAAAGTTGTGTTATATGCTATATACTAAATAGCCTACATAATGTATGAAATATATAATATATTAGAGTATTCACTAGGACTAGATGGTGAGATCTTGACTCACATGCCAAAGTGTTGGTTCCTCACCCCAAATGTGATGCACAGCCATAGCTGCAATACAGCCCCCTCCTCTGTCATGTTCCTGCATCATGACCTGCTGTAAGCTTCTGTGGTTGTCATTGTATTGCACCACAATAAGTCAATTGCCTTTTAATTCACTATATTTTCTTTGCTTTATTTTCTTTAAATTTGGCTTATGTATCCCTTGCCTCGTGAATTCAATTATGATTTCCTTAAGTGCAGGTGCTATCTGTGTTTTGTATATTTCAGAGCACCTAGATACTTTAAAATAGTAGTAATTATATTTTTAACTTTTAGTTTCAGGGGTACATGTGCAGGTTTGTTTAATAGAAAAATTACATGTTGTGGGGGATTTGGCGTACATATTATTTCATCACCCAGGTAATAAGCATAGTATCTAATAGGTTATTTTTCGGTCTTCACCCTCCTCCCACCCTCCGCCCTCAAGTATGCCATGGTGTCTATTGGTCCCTTCTTTGTGTCCATGTGTACTCAATGTTCAGCTCCCACTTGTAAATGAGAACATGCAGTGTTCGGTTTTCTGTTACTGCATTAGTATTCTTAGAATAATGTTGTCCAGCTCTATCCATGTTGCTGCAAAGAACATAATATCGTTAATTTTTATGGTCACAGAGTATCCCATGGTGTATATGTATGAAATTTTCTTTATCCAGTCTACTATTTATGGGCATTTACGTTGATTCCATGTCTTTGCTATTATGAACAGTGTGGTGAAGAACATATGCATGTGCCTTTATGTTATATACTACATTTCTGTGGGTATATGCCCAATAAAGGGATTGCTGGGTTGAGTGGTAGTTCTCTTTTAAGTTCTTTGAGAAATCTCCAAACTGCTTTCCACAGTGGCTGAACTAATTTATATTCCCACCAGCGGTATATAAGCATTCTCTTTAATCTGTAGCTTCACCAGTATCTGTTTTTTTTTTTTTTTTTTTGACTTTTTGATATAGCCATTGTGACCAGTGTGCATATCTATGATTTTTATTTGCATTTCTATAATGATTAGTGATGTTAAGCATTTTTTAATATGCTTGTTGGCTGCATATATATTGTATTAGCCCATTCTCACACTGCTACCTAAGACTGGGTAATTTATGAAGAAAAGAGGTTTAATTGACTCACAGTTCTGCAGGCTGTACGGGACGCATGGCTGAGAAGCCTCAGAAACTTACTATCATGGCGGAAGGAGAAGGGGAAGCAAACATGCCTTACCATGGCCGAGCAGGAAGAAGAGAGAGTGAAAGGGGAAGTGCTGCACACTTTAAAACAACCAGATCTTGTGAGCACTCGTTCACTATTACAAGAACAGCAAAGGGGAAGTCTTCTCCCATGATTCAATCACCTCCCACCAGGCTCCTCACTTAACATGTGAGTTGGGTTTGGTGCTCACTTGGGTTTGGGGTAGCTGCTCTGCTGCCTTAAGCCGGGGGCTCAGCCTTGTGAAGAGTAGTGGGTGGGGGAAGAAAGACTATTCTCTGCTCTGCATGGCAGCTGTGGAGTGCTGGAGGTGCCAGCGATGCAACCAAGCCCTTTGTTCTTTCCCCAGCCCGAAGGCAGGAAGGGTAATACCACTGCAGCTGCAATGGGAGAGGGCTGTTGGTTGTCTGTGGAATTTCCTCCCCAGAGTAACACGGAGCCACCACCGACTGAAGGGTTCAGTCAGGGACAGGATGGTTGGGCTGGGGACCAGGTTGAGAGTCCCTGCCTAGTGAGGAGTAACAGGGGCAGGGACCTATGTGGAAAACACTGTGGCCACTATTGTGTAAGGCAGCTGCACAGTGCTGGAGGCCTGTGTTAGTCCTTAAGCTCTTCCTCCCTCCTTAGCCTGAGGGCAGCAGAGGCAGGAGCTGCAGAACATAACAATGGTGGGCCTCCCTGCCGCCTCTGGGAGCTCCATCTCAGGGAAGTGCAGAGCTGCTGCCAGCCCGAGAGCTCGGGTGGGTCTGGGGTGGCTTAGGTCCCTGGTTGGGAGGCCCTACCCAGTGAGAAGTAGCAGGGGAAAGGACCCATGTGGAAAACAGTCTGGCAGCTTTTGCATAAAACAGCTGTGCTGTGCTGGGGTCTGAATTAGTCCTTAATCACTTCACTGTCTCCCAAGCCTGAGGGCAGCAGGTGTGGTGGTGGGGGGGTTGTTGGGGGGTGCTGTAGAGCAGCAAAACTGGTGGGCCCGTGTGCGAGTGCTGGGAGCTCCATCCCAGGGAAGTACAGGGCTGCTACTGGCCCAAGAGCTCAGGCAGGGCTGGGTTGGCCATGCTAGGGTCCCAGGCCACTTGGCTTTGTCCTGTACTGTGCAGTACAGGCAAGGCCTGCAGTCCATCTGCTCTTCAGCCCCATAGATTCAGCTCCTATTCTGACAGCGTGTAAGGGAGTCTGGCCTCCCCTGTTGCCAGCGCTTCAGTTGCTGGTGCTGGGGTGTCCAGCTGTCCAAGTTCCCTAAGGCTAGGCATGTGCCTGCACAGTGGCTCTGCCCAGACTCCATGTCACTCTCTGTGTCAGTCTGGAAGCCCTGGTGGGGATGGGAAGGGATGATCACAGGGAATTGCCTGAGCCCAGAGTTGCAAAGGTCTGTGGCAAAAGTGTGGTCCTCGGGGGCTTTCATTCACTCACCGTTCCACACAGTGGGGAGCCTCCTCTTTAGTCCCAATCCTGTCTGGTCTTGCTCTTCTTTGTTCTCTGTGGGTCACATTGTTTCCTGGATGCATCCCAAAGTGTCCTCCTGGACCATCCAGGTCAGGAGCTAATGTATACTCACCACTGTTTCTCCTCCCCATGAGAATGGCAGACATCAGCTTCTAGTCAGCCATCATGGCACTAGAAAATATTTCCTGGCTTCCAGGGATCCTGCTGCCTTAGTTATGGATGGATCTCCCAATACCTTCCAGTCCCAGAATCACAGAGTCTGCAGTAGAGTCACCTAGGGTCTCCAGGAGCAGAGGGCACGGAGCGGTGAAGACAGGATGTGGAGCTCTGTCTGAAGAAAGAGACAAAGGCCCTGCCAGATCCCAGTAATTATTTTTTAATGTAATTTTATCATAATACTTTTTCTAATTTGTTCTACTTTATTTGTATATAAAATGTACTTAAAATGCTATTTTTCATTAATAAAATCATAAAATGTTTTATGTATTACCAAAATTTATATTCCAATTTTTCAAATTGGGAATAATGTCCTTGAATTTTTACCATTTAAGTCTAGCAAAGTTTTATATCATTATTGTATGAATATACACTATATAAATAACATAAACATATTATATATAAGTATATTGCATGTATGTACATGTAAATATATCGATCTAGTATATATGTAGATTTATTGAATATGTGCATATGCATTTGTGTATGTGTGTAATGGTTACGGGGATTACCAGGTTCAAGATCTATGATATAGTAAATATCAGTATGTAAATTTTTAAGAGTCTTACTATACCCGTTCATAGTATTTACACACATACACATGCACACAGCCTGCAAGAAGAGGTGCTAATCATCTTAAAGCATATTGCAGCATTTTTCAAACCAGACTCATACATTATTATCTCCGCTTCCTGATTTAAAGCCTGGCTTACAATTTTATGTATCACACATCTATTTGGATCATAATATATAGAAGACTGTTTTATGAAATGATGTTTATAAACTCTTTGGGTATGAACTTATAATTACGTCCAGATATCAAGTATTTTGACCGAAAATATAACTCCTTTGGTGGAATCTAATCAAATTGGTCCAATTAATGACTCAGTACTTCGTACTTTTTAGATGTTTAAGTGTTCGTTAGCACAAGTTAAATTTTTAAATATAATTTTTTCACACAGAAGTGTTCCTTTTTAACTAATATTTTGTACTGAGTTTTGGGATATTGTTAAATGGATTTTGTTAAAATTTCTTTGTCACTGTTTTTCAAAAACAAATGTCTCCCAGACATTCTATGTTCATGGATTGAACGACTTAACATTGTTAAGATGTCAATACTACCTACCGGTATCTGTAGATTTCATCCAATCCCTTTCAAATTTCCAATGGCATTTTTTACAGAAATAGATAAATCCATTCCCAAATATGTATAGAATCTCAAGAAATCCCAAATAGCAAAAACAATTCTGAAAAGGAAAACATAGCTGAAAAACTCACACTTTCTGATTTAAAAATGTACTAGTCTTACAACAATCAAAACAGTGTGGTACTGACCTAAAGACAGAGACCAGTGGAAAGAAATAGAGAGTCCAGAAGTAAATCCTCAAAAATATGTGCAGGTGATTTTTAATAAGGGTGTTAAAACTATTCAATGGGGGAAAAAAGTCTTTTTTAAAAAATGGTGCTAGGAAAACTAAATATCCACATGCAAAAGAATCAAGTTGGACCCTTACCTAATACTATGTAAAACATGATGTAGTATTTAAATAAAAATGAATTCAGTATCTAAACAGAGACCAGAAATTATAAAACTCTTAAAACAAAACACAGGACAAAACTTCACAATATTGAGCTAGCAATAAGTTCTTGGCTAGGACACCAAAGACACAGGCAACAAAGTAAAAAATAGACAAAATGCATTTTATAGAAAGTAAAAGAAAATAAAAATAGATCTTCAAAGGACACAGTCAACAGAATCAAAATGCAGCTCACAGAATAGGAGAAAATATTTGCACATCATATATCTAATGAGGGATTAATATTCAGAATATAAAGAGAACTCCTAAAGCAACAACAGCAAAACACACAACCCAACTTAAAAACAGGCAGACAGCACAATTTAAAAAAAAAGACTTAAATAGAGATTTCCCCAAAGAAGATATACAAATGGCCAATAAGCCCATGAAAGGATGTTCATCTCTAGTCATTAGGGAAATGCAAATCAAAACTATCATGAAATACCAATTCCCACTCTTAAATACCATTTCAGGCAAAATTGGTCATCTTACTGCTTTAAGTGCATTTATCTGATGCTAACATTATTCTTTTTAAGAGACAAATATCTTTATCAAATAATATATAAAATGTTTCATTTCTTCTATCACTGAAGATGTTTGCATACAATGCAAAATAAATAAATGCTGGCCTCTTGCAAGTATGAAAGGAACTCAGTATACAGCACGTGCTGTTGGTAGAACACCCCTGGCTTTCGCTATTTTGTCATGAACTCTGCTAAGAACCACTTACCCTAGTCAAGGTCTCAGATTGCTCCTGTAGTTTGGCAGAGAGTCCAATTGATGGTGTAAGTTGAAGAGCTCTTCTAATACACACTTTCTTTGTTTGTGGTTCTAAAAAGAGTTGAGCTCAGTACGGAAAGCTCATTACATTCACTATAAACAAGCAGCCTTGTTCTAAGATATTCCTGCTGGGTAATCATCATTGTGAATATATGTACATCTAAGTTCTTGGTTAGCTTTTTTTCCACACCCACCCCCTCCCCAAGGGGTGCCATTTGGTATGTATTAAAATTCTGTCTTCTTGAACATTATTGACAGTCAGTTATAATGATTTCACCAGAGGTGATATGTGCCTTATTCAAAAATAAAAATCTTAAATTCCAAGAACTTCAATGATACTAAGGGGTCCGGCATTCCCAGTGAATCAAAAAATTTGGTTTTCAGATATTAAGTAAGTATGGAAAACTCACATATGCTTAGAAGTTATGGCACAGATTGAAAATAAGGAAAAAAATTGGAGGGCTAGGGGCAGTGGCTCATGCCTGTAATCCCAGAGCTTCAGGAGGCTGAGGCAGGAGGACTGCTTGAGACCAGAAGTTTGAGACCAGCCAGGCAACACAGTGAGACCATGTCTCTATAAGAAATAAACCAAAGTAGCCAGATATGGTGGCCTGGGTGTGCTGTAGTCCTAGCTACTAGATTGCAGTGAGCCCTGGAGTTCAAGGTTACCGTGAGCTGTGATCATGCCACTGCACTCCAGTCTGGGAGACAGAGGGAGACTCTGCCTCAAAAGAAAAAAAGAAAAAAAAAAGATTGGAAATATAGGTAGAACTCACTTGCTTATGGAACTGTATTATCCAATTATAGGGTGGTTAACAATATGTGGCCCTCAAGTGTCTGTATACACATATACATATGTGTCTAATGTTGCATATATTATTGCTAACATATTATACTACACAGTATATATCTAGAAGTTACATGATATTATAACTATAAATAAAATGTCAAATCTAAATTTTATTTTCAGACTATCTTAATAAGTTTAGCATTTGGGAACATATTAGAATCATCTCCGTATGTGAGAAATGGGGAGTAAAGTTTTCAGCACAGCATACATTAGCTCAGGATGAAAATCTTACCTGATTGCAAGTGATTGTCAGAGATTAATATGTTTTAAGTTTCACAGGGAGGACACCCCAATAATCACAGATGCTTCTTGGACAGTTCAGCCATGTCTTAAAGTGACGTGCAGAGCTCTCTGAGTTCAAATCTATAAAAATGTTCTCTTGTCTTATCTAGTTCAGTCTATACTTTTGTACAGATCTAAGGTATTTATTTTTTTGTCGTTAATGTAATAATGTATATTATGCTGAAATAATACCTAAGTAGGTTATAGATACTGAACACTTAACAAAGTGACAAAGTGTTTACTTATTATGAATTTTGTTATTTGTGTTTTTTTGAACTAGTCTATCTATTTTTAAAAGCACAGATGTCCAAACATTATAGTTAGTTGTTTAAATACCTTGTATCTCATTTGATTGTAAGCAAAGCAGGGCTATGAATGAAAGAGAAATACTTAAATTTGATTGCATTAGAATATTTAACTGCATAAATTATTCCAAAAATATAAAGTCTTGTGACTTAAAGGTTTGGAACAAAACAAAATTGTGATGATTATTAATAATGTATATTGACTTGTGCCCTAGTTATTTTTTATCAAGTTAAAGGTTAATTTACAATTCTTTCATTACTAAACTATTAATTGAAATTCTGTCTCAGTATGGGCTCGAGATGTTCAATAAAAGAGAGATAAGTGAAACTTTCTTTGATTACGGAAGCTCATCCAATATTTGCAAATGCCAAATTTTATAATAGATTTAGGCACCAAAGGAACTTATGCTTTTCTCCAGGAAAAAAAAAAAAGAAATAATCAATCACCACCATGATGTCATGATGTATACATCAGTTTTGAGGCAAGTTACAATCCCCACTTTCACTCCCAAACACCCCATTGCAATAACTGCGCAAGTAAGAGTCCTCAATTCTGAAGCCTGGGTGGTCAGCCTGGTGAGTTTGGAGGTTCTAAGTAGTTTCTGATGATCAGGAAGTGAGGAAGCAGAGAGAAACAAAGCAGGACAGAGGGAAATGGGAGATACATACATCTCTCACGATGTGAGCCCAAGTTTGCAGAATGAGAGGTAAAGGTTAACTACCTAAGCTGATTCCCCACAGGCTGGCCTCCCGGGATTGGCCTCCTCTAATCCTCTGAGCAAACTGGCTTTGGTCAAGTGCTAATGACAATCATCCATCGTGGTCAATTGCAGAACTTAGACCCCAGTCTCACCTCAATTCATTAGTCTGTGGAAGAGCCTGTGTTTTCTGAACCAGGAATGCTGATGTGGCAAATACTGCCAGTAGCTTGCCCCATTGTGCAATTGCAACAATTCATGGACGCCTGTACTGAATCATGCCAGTGGAGGGGCTGGAGTCCCCTCTAATGAACACAGAGCAGGAGACAAGGGACTGCTCCGTCATCCTGCTATTGTGCCTTGCTCCCAGACACATCAGGGAGGGAGCTGATGTTTGCCCAAGTATAGAATTTGAATGCCTCATGGCCTTAGGTAATTTGAGCTGCCTCTTTGCCTTCTCTGTCATTCAGACAATCTCTTAAAAAGTAAGATTTCCTTGAAATGTCTCCAGCTAAAAATTGTGGCTTGAGTATGTCCCTGATAAAGGCTTAATTTTATTTGATTTTATCTGGAAATACAAAAACATTATGGGGCAGGGAGGAAGCACAATAAATAAATAAATAAATAAATAAATAAATAAATAAAATAAGATAAAACCAGGGAATAGGAAAAGCTCTCATTTGAAGGGTCATCTTAATTGGATACAAGTTCTTAGAACTTTTATGAAATATTCTTATAACTCTCATTTATGTATCTAAAAAAAATCACTGGAAGTAGATACTTATTCCAAACTGCCCATGACAACAACTATCTGTGCTGTCTCTCCTGCCTTAAAGAGGCATCAAGCTGTAAAGGCAAATAGATAGCAGTTCTGTCTTTTAGAAAAGAATCTAAAATTTGGCTTAAAATGTAACACCTGGTAAAGTAAAGCATATAGTAGATGCTTAATAAATGTTTTGAGAAACATATGAATGATTACATAAATGAATTGATCAAAGGATGGTGGCATTAAGAAATTCTAATCAAATTGAAGCCACTGTGACAGCTGTCAGATAATCTAGGCTGACATCCTAGGGCACAGAATAAAAAAAAATTCTAGTTTCAAATTGCTTTCTTCAGACACTGATTAATACTAATAAACTTTTAATACAATGGAGTAGAATGGTGTTTTGCAGAAATACCTTCTACAAATCCTCTGAATAACAGGCTGCCTGGCTAGATCTCTTTCATGACAATGATATTTGCATGTCTAGAGAAAGATATGGTTTAATAATGTTGTCCCCTGGTCTGGAAGATCCCTCCCTGTAAGGTGAGATCTTCTCCTGTTTTATTTTTATTTCTTCAATTCCTACATAATCACTGTCCACAGTCTGTAGTTAGTAAAAGGTGCTTTTTCAACTGGACTAAAAATATACAATGGCCTATAATTAAAATTTTTAAGTTATTTAATGCAGAAATCCATAAAAATAAAGGAAAAATGACAGACAAAATAGAATTGAGAAATAAAAATTATACTCCAGATGGAATTTAGAATACATGGTCCTTAAAGATATAGAACTCATCTTATTTATTACTGTGTATTTGACACCTAGCCCAGGGCCTATCACATAGTCATCATTTTATCAGTGTGTTTATTGTGTTTATTAATACAGTTGAAATATTTATTAATACATTGTTGAAGGAGTGATTCTGTCCTCTCATTTAGGCCTACGCACATCAGATTTCAGTTTCCAGGTCTAGATTAATGTATGTTAACTTGAATATGAGGTGAAGAATCGGAACAGAAAGTTGAATTTTCCAAGATCTTGTAAATCTCCGAATTACCAATTTTGGTTTACGTAGAACTAATAGAAGTTATGGCTTTAAACTAGATAAGCCTACCCTAGCCAGAAAAACTTAGTGGGTTTTATTTCTCATTTAAGTAAGTTGGCCTCTGTGCAGATGGTAATAGAATCAGTCTCAAATAATTGCCACAAGCTTAAATGAAAAGATACATGTTATTGTGCAAAGGCTGAAAAGCACATGTGCATCAGATAAGGACTCCCAAGCCACCTGTAGTGAGAGACAGTGATTTGCATCACTGTGTCTTGTTACCCTCCAGCTCAGAGAACATGATACTTACAGGCCAGCCAAGCCCTCCTTCTTGGACTCATTCTCATTCAGAATCTTCCACAATCTCTGACTCCTGTACTTTCATCCATTATTGACTCCTCAACCTGCTTCCTCACAAACAGAAGATGACATTCTGTCACAAACACAGAGCGAATCTGTACCCCCAAATTCCAAAAAAGGCAGATTTTCTGCTCTGTGTGTCCACATGAAACTTCATACTCGATGTTCCAACATGAGGGTGTGACCCATCTGAGCAACTTATGTCACTCAAAGCAATTGAAGAAAACACTTATTCAGAGAATCATTAGCAAAACACCATGAGCCTAGGTCTAACTGGGAAGGAAAATATTTCAATCCACTTCGAAAATATTCTGCCAAAAAACATGTTAAAACACCCATCAACTTTTTGTTTTTTAGATTTTCCTTCCCCCATCATATGTGGGCAACTGTTTTGTGCTGTCAAGTACTGACATTTTTCAGCTATAATCTCTCCTTCCTTGGTAGCCTTGGGGTTGTTTATTTTCTTAGGGTTTTAAGTTATTTTTCTTGGCCTGAAAACTCATGGTGCCTACTGTCAGAGCTGCACAGAACCCAGTGCTCAGCCACTGCGTGCCTCCAAGCGCTGACATCCTAACAACAGTCTGGGTCTCTGAGGTCTTGGAGCAGAGGGAGGTGAGACAAAGATAACAGGGTCTAAACTGTGCCTACTGGAAGTCTCTGCTCTCAAATAATAAAAAAACTTAAAATGAACAACATTTTACTAAATATAGCCTGATCACTGCATTTGCATGGGGGCTGGATTGATCTGGAATGATCAGAGCTAACATGAAGCTCTTTTCTGGAGATGTGGGACATCAAAGTCACATACTAAGAAGGGATGAAGACATTGCAGTGTATCGGTCTCCCTCACCCTGTCCTTCTCTAGCGGTACCCCCTCTCTGAATCTTTTCTTACTGGCCACAAAGAACAAAACTCTCAGTGCAATGCCATGACAAATTTCTCCAGGAAGGCTAACCAAATCGTGAAAAGGTGCTTTTTTTGTTGCTGTATTTTTAAGGAGTCTTTAAAGGTTAAAGTGAATCCATAAAAGGCTGAATTAGAAATGTTATGTTTTTAATTTTAATAGGCCATCTTACGTCTTGCTCTACAAACACCAAGTTCATTGTGGAGGCTAAGAAGCAGCGCTGCTGTGTGCATTTGTTTTGTGAGGTCAGTCACCTCTTCTCTCTCATGCGCACAATAACATATGCAAAAAATTCAACTCATACAAATGTGCTCCACAGGAAAATCAATGCTTTTTTGGTCATGCCAACCTAGTTATTTTTCTTTAATGATTACGGGCTAACTACACACAGTCGAACAATGTTCACTAGAAATAGATTAACTCGGCCTTTCAGTTGATGTGAGCTGGCTTCCAATGCTGGTTATGAAGACAAAAGCCGGCCCAACAAAAGCTTCTCCCCTCTCTTTAGTGGCTTTGATGCTGCTTTTCAGCCCCTCTGTGCAGTGACAACCTCATCGCTTGTGATTGATCTGAGAACCTGTGCACTTGGATTCCTTGAAAGTTTTTGTCTTGGTTTCACTGGCATCTATCTCGCATTCAGTTCCGATATCTGTGACTTCATCATATCCATGGCCTGCCACTAGCTACAGAAGCGCATTGTTCAGCCTCTCTTCATGCCGGAGGAGGTTTTCCTAGGGGTTGCTTCTTGTTCTCAAACATGAAAATGTGTGAAGCATAAAACTCCAGCTGTGAATACTTACCTCCCTGCAGTGTTAAAAAGTTCAATATACAAAACACCTGGTTTCAACTAAAATGTACATCAAGATATACAGCAAAGAGACAGATTTAATATCCCCCATAGGGCCCTTGGGCGGTTTTTAAAATTAAAGACACAACACACTTTCTTTTTTTTTTTTTTTTTTCAGATGAGGTTTTACTCTTTTACAAATAATGAACCAATAAACATCAGGCAGTCGAAGGGAAAGTTGTAAGAAAACAGTGGAAAGGGTCATTGTCATGTAAATGAAAATCACACAGGCGTTACTTAGACACATTGTAAATGTATTTATTCCTGGTCAGTAAAATTCTTTTTACAAGTGATAAATGCGGCCAAAAGCCTCAATGATTTAAATCCTGTGGGGAATACTAGCTCTCTTAACTTCAGCGACCTTCTAAATGTTCATCATGAATTTATTTACTAGCAGATAAAAGTAGTAGAGCGGCCATTTTAATGTCTTCTTCCTTGCAAGAATCCTAAACTTGGATAAATGATTATTAGAAAGTAACTGAATGGTTATTTTTATAAGTATCCTTAAATCCTCCCAAAGTTAAATTTAACATTTTTAGATATATATATATCTAAAATATTGAAAGATATTGAGAGGGCAAGAGTGGAGACAGCAGAAAACATTTTAATATGGCTTCGTGCAAGGTATTAATTGAATAAAATATCTTTAACTGTTTTTTTTTTTTTTCTGGATTCCCCATTTCAAGGTTAAAGAGCCAAGTGCCTGTCTTTAGGAAGAGCAGTGAGTGTGGGTATCTGCGGGTGTATCAAGAGTTAGCTCAATGTGGTTCACAGTGTCTTTCCAAGAGGGTGCAGAAGCTGCAGCAGAAAGTGTGTGGTTGGCCTCACTTTCCTTCCCCCTCCACTCACAGCCACGCCCCCCATCAGGACTCTCTCCCCTGCATTTTTGGCCTAAATATCCTAGGATCGTTCAGGGCCAGATTCTGAGATAGAAACAGCTTCCCATTATAATTATGGTGCAGTATTCAGTTACAAGGGTCATTCCCCGCAGTCTACCTTAGAAAAGGAAAAACAAAAGAGCCCAAATTTAACATTCTGTAATTCTCACTTGCTTCTGGTGTAGTTGTTAAAAAGCACAGAGCCCTGGGCAGAATGCCTTAGTTCAGACCTCACTGCTCCTTATGCTGTCTGTGCAACACTGGGTATACTGCTGGTCTGCAGTTTTCATCTTTGCGAAATGGGAATAATATTAGTACCAATCTCATCCAATTTTGAAAAGGATGAAATGAGTTAAAACAGGACAAGGCTTAGAAGAGTGCCTGTCAGATAATAATATTCAGCACGGTTAGCTAATATCATCACTGCCGTCATCTTCTCCATTAAATACTGATTTTAGTAAACTCTGATTCTATCTTGCTTATACACCCTACCAGCAGGTTTTGATTCTATTTTACGTCATCTTTGGTGGAGTTTTTATTTAAAGTATTTGGCAGAAGGAAAGTGATACTGGTAGTATTACACAAAGTGTTGGTGCATTCACTCAGCAAATGCTTATTCATTAAAACTCAAGGAACCCTTGGGCATCATTCTCCAAGAGACCGTTTTTGAAACAAGGAAGATGTATTGGGTTTTGTATTTGGGATATGTAAGTGCCAAGAGTGGTCCTAGTGTTAGTTTAACAAGCTTAACAAATGATGTACCTTTTAACATCTCTTAACTACAAATCCATAGTCATAACCTCATTTGTTTATGGAAGGGTGTTCTGGAATAATAAAATATTTTTTCACTCAATTAGCTCTCCCACGCTCTGCAATGATCTTTTTATTCTCCCTGCAAAAGTAACCAACACCCCTCCTCACTTTCCCACTCATCAAGTTAGATGACCTTGCCAGAGAAAACAGAGGGCATTGGTTGGAATATCTCTCAACATGTCCCGACCCGCATCAGGAACTGTCTTACCTCTTACTAAACAAAAGGAATCATTTTTCTTTTTGCATAAGGCCAGTATAATTGTCCCATGTTTCAGTACTGTTCATATTTGGCTTCTCTGCTTCCACTTTTAGCACTTTCTTGCTTATTCTCAACACAGTCACAATCATCCTGGTGGTCAGCTAATGTCTCTCCTCTGCTAAAAACATCCTTGTGATTTTCCATCTCACTCAGAGGAGACACCGAAGTCCTCCTCACAACCTGCAAAGCCCTGGAGCTGTAGTTCCCAAGGTGCTCCTGGTGTTGCGCTGCATCAGTATTTCCCTGAGAACTTATTAGACATGCAAATTCATGGGCCCCACCTGAGGTTTATGGAATCAGAATCTCTGAGAGCTTAGAAATCTGCATTCCGCAAGCCGCTGGGCGATTTGATATGTATCTCACCTTTTATTTTTTTCTAAACTGATCGTTCTCCTTCATTTTCATCAAACACCCATTAAATATTTTCATCAAAACCATCATGCTCTCAACGCAAGACATTTGCACTTTTGGTTTCCTCTGTTACAAACATCCTTTACCCACATCAACTCAGGCCTCCTTGCCTCCTGCATATATTTATTCCAATGCGACTTTCCCAGTAAAGATGTTCTCAAACATCCTATGTTTAATTTCACCTTTCTCCATTTAGATATATTCCTCTCTCCCTTTCCTGATATATTTTTCTCTGTAACATTTATCTTAATAATACACAGAATGTTTTACTTATCCATTTTTGTCTCCTTGCACTGCAATAGGAGCTTCTCTACAGCTGGTATCATTGTCAGTTTACTTCACTGGTGCCTCCCCAGACCCTGGAAGATCAGAAGAGCTGGTTAACACTTTGATTTGGAAAATTTTTGGTTTTGTGGGTCCCATCTGAACTTTATCTCATGCACATCCCAGTATTTCTTCATACCAGAGCGCATGTATTTTTCAGCTTTTACTGAGGCAACAAATAAGCCCCAGATCTTAAGTTCTTACAACTGACTCATGGTTCTTGCTGAAGGTCACCTGGGGTCTCTGGGAAGTTGCAGTTCTGCCAGGTTCTGCTGGGCACTACAGGAATCAGCCCAGCCCCGCTCAGTGTGGCACTCCATGTCTTTTTATATGGTTCCCAGGTTGAGGGAAGGAGCTCCAGTAGCAGAGTGAGGGGGAAAGAGGGTTCTTGCAATATTTCTAAAGGTTTCTGCTAATATAAGGCAAACACATTATCTTTTCACAACCCACTGGCCAAAGCTAGAAGCATGCCTAACCCCAAAATCTATGGAGAAGTGAACATATTACTTCACAGGACGGGGTAGAAAGGGGATGGATGTAATTGGAAACAAGTAGTACAATCTACTACGTGCAATCTCTTCAAAGTAAAGTTTGTACTTCTTGGATTTCAGAGAATTATAATACTCTGGAAGGAAAAAAAGGTCCCAGAACCCCTGCTAAGTTATGACACTGTACTGGAGAGCCTCATCCTGTTGCATGTATAGAATAATTTCTAGCAGGACACACAGGGAATGCAAATAGCAGCATTCTCTCTGTAAAGTAAAAATCATGAAAGAGAAAATAGCATTCTCACTTTTCATATAAACTACTTAAGAATTGCTTAAAACTGTTTTCAAAAAATATATTTTACTTTTGTAATTCTTGTTTTTTTATTGTGGTAAAAGAGAGATAACACAAAGTTTTCTATTTTAACTATTTTGCTGTGTGCAATTAATTCATTGGCATTAAATACCTTCACAGTGCCGTGCAACCATCACCTCTGGTAGCTCCAGAACTTTGTCATCACTCCAAATGGAAATCTCATACCCACTAAAGAGTCACTCCTTATTCCACCTACCCCCCAGCTCCTGAACAACACCAATCAGCTTTATGTCTATATAGGTTTACTTATCGTGGATGTTTTGTATAAATGGAATCAAACAATATGCAGCCTTTTGTCTCTTTTTTATTTTCCAGTATTTCTTTTTGTAGCTGAATGATAGCCCATTGTATGGGTCTATTCTTCACTTCAGGAGTGTATATACATATATATATATATATATCCTAGAATAAAGAAGACAGCTGAGTTCCTTTTTTTTTTTTTTTCTATTTAAGCCAAATGTTTCAAATGGTAGACACAGGCACTGGAGATAAAAAAAGTATTTGACATTCAGAAGATATAAATAGCAAATATCAACAATGAAAACATGATGAAACAGGGCATAGAACTTATTCATAAACAGGAGGCTGGGAAGACTTCATATGAGAAGCTAGTTCTTGTCTCACCACCATCCAGCATTCCCTCCTCACCCCTCCCATCTCAGTCCCACTAAGAATGATACAGTCATTGTTTAATGAGGGAAAGAGCCAGAATTATGGAAAATACAAAGAAGGTTAATGACTGATGCAAAATTTTTTCAAAAGGGTGTATTAGTCCATTCTCATGCTACTAATAAAGACATACCTGGGACTGGGTAATTTATAAAGGAAAGAGGTTTAATTGACTCATAGTTCAGCATGGCTGGGGAGGCCTCAGGAAACTTACAATCATGGCAGAAGGGGAAGCAAAAACGTCCTTCTTCACATGGTGGCAGCAAGGAGAATTGCCAAGCAAAGAAGGAAAAGTCCCTTATAAAACCATCAGATCTCGTGAGAACTCACTATCATGAGAAGAACAGCATGGGGGTAATAGTCCCCATTCCCATGATTCAATTACTTCCCACTGGGGCCCTCCCATTACACCTGGGGATTACGGGAACTACAATTCAAGATGAGATTTGGGTGGGGACACAGCCAAACCATATCAAAGGTAGTTGTACCTTGGCCTCTAGTAGGATCAAAAACCTTGGGAGAGATAGAATAAAAAGATGGAATTTTCACAGTTGTTTTGGGGAAATCCCAGGAGATAAAGGACCTGATCCCTGATTTCCTGGAAATTTCAGTCAGAGAGAGATGCCCTAATTGGGCATGGAGTTAGAATCGTCAGTAGCAATGTCACAGTGCCTTGTTCAGGAGAAGGGCCTGAAGGCATCCTCAAAGGCACACCAGCCAAGGGAGAGGATGACATGACCTGGCTCAGTCAGGGTTTGAAAAACTCAGAGTGCAAACCCAGGGTTTGGATATTGAGGGGGGACCTCAGACATCAGGCATTGTCTGCAAGAAATGCTGGCTAAGACCTTAGGGGAGCTCCACTGCAGAGGAAGCCAGCGGGAACATGCCTAGGCCCTGCAAGGTACTTACTAAGTGCCAACCACTGTTTTTAGGACTTAAATATTGTAAAATATTTAATTCGATTATCAGTATAGTGGGAAAAATATGGTTATTTCCATATTCCTTTTATAGATACAGAAATTAAGTCATAATAAAGGTATGTAACTTGTCCAAGGAGGTCCAGATGGGAGGAAGACCTGGCGTGAGGCAAACTACCCCTAACATCTACCCTGGAGAAGAAAATATGAGGGAATGAGATCAAATCTAACAAAGCATCTAAGTCTGGATTTTACCTTCAATTGCAAGATGAAGGTCATTGGATATTTGGAACTACCTTGAGTACAGGTAAACAAAAACTAATGTGTTTAATTTTTTATATATTTTATTTACATTGGATATGAAGTCGCCTATTGACTACATGTCTCTATATCTCTTTATCTTCCATGTATTTATTATTACTTATTGTATAGTAATCTCGAAATTTCCCACAATGCCTAGAGCAATACTGTTCTCAGAGTAGGCATTACAACATGTGATTGAGAAATCAACCAATAAATCAAGGAGTTCATTCTTTTTTTGAATTTCCCAAGACCTCCAAATTAATTGTTGCAGATATAATTTTTAAAACAAAAATTGAAATAACTAATTTTATTAGTAGCAATAGTAGCATTCTCTGAACTTTAACGTATCTTTGAAATTTAGATTGACCCAAAGTTGAATAATTTAGTTAAGCAACTAGTCTGAGAGAAACATTTTATTGGCTTCAAATTTTTAGTTGGGTAAAATAAAGAATCACCGTATGCTATATCCAGAAAGCATTAATGTTGTCATTTCATGAATGCAACAACTCTGGTTTTGCAATTTTAAGCAAGATTTTGTTGTTAAATAATAACAGAGTTAGCATTAGTCATAAAATAATTCTAAGCTCCTTGGCCTGTCCTTGAAGGACTGGTGTGTTTTTGGTTAGCCTTTATGTTTGCTTTCTTTTTTAAAACATCTTCTTCATAAAAGTGAAGTGTTTAATAGATCAAGAAAAAAAATTTAGATAATTCCAAGAACTCCTATAACTTCATTTTAGGTCAATAGTCATGCATCCCTCTTGAAATCCTTCAAGCTCAAAGCATTGTATTAAGCATAGACTTTTCTATTAAGTTAACCAAGATATTAATACAAAATATTGTATTAGTCTGTTTCCATGCTGCTGGTAAAGACATACCTGAGACTGGGATGAAAAAGAGGTTTAATTAGACTTACAGTTCCACATGGTTGGGAGGCCTCAGAGTCATGGTGGGAGGCAAAAGGCACTTCTTACATGGCAGTGTCAAAAGAAAATGAGGAGGAAGCAAAACCTGGAACCCCTGATAAACCCAGCAGATCTCATGAGACTTATCCACTATCTCAAGAATAGCATGGAAAAGACCGGCCCCCATGATTTAATTACCTCCCCCTGGGTCCCTCCCATAACACGTGGGAATTCTGGGAGATACAATTCAAGTTGAGATTTGGGTGGGGACACAGCCAAACCATATTAAATATGTTATTTTATCATCAACAACTTTGTTTTCTAAGAATCTTAAATTTAGCTTTGCGTTCTCTATTTTCATAAGATCAGTATTAGGTAAGAGAGATATAATGTTTAAATTTGATACTAATATCCCAATCTTAAAAACAGGACAAATTGGTCCCAGCATAAAGGAGAATAACTTGCCTCAGTCTAGCAATTAGCAGTACTTCTAGAAACCAATCTTAACAACTCAATTACTGGGCTAATATTAGAATTCTAAATAGAATTCTATTCTATTTAGATAGAATAGAATTAGATGGAATAGAATTAGATGGAATTCTATTTTATCACATCAGATGTTCAAATGCAGTTCTTTCTCTAACTGAAGGGGAGTGAGACAGGGACAGAGGTTTTGCTGCAGGCTTTTAATATATAGTGTTTCAAGTATAGTATTTAAAGGCTTATTCAAGGTGGTACCACTAATATGAGTTTGCAGAGGAGTAAACATGAGGTAGAGAAATATATATATATATATAATTTTATTTTTATTTTTAATTTTTTTTTAGATGGAGTCTTACTCTGTCGCCCAGGTTGGAGTGCAGTGGGACAATCTCAGCTCACTGAAAGCTCCGCCTCCCGGGTTCAAGCAATTCTTCTGCCTCAGCCTCCTGAGTAGCTGGGACTACAGGCATGTGCCACTACACCCAGCTAATTTTTGTGTTTTTAGTAGAGGCAGGGTTTCACCATATTGACCAGGCTGGTCTCGAATTTCTGACCTTGTGATCCACCAGCCTCGGCCTCCCAATGTGCTGAGATTACAGGCATGAGCCACTGCGCCCAGGAGTATTTTCATTTTTTTATAACCTTTCTATACTTTTATACTTTTGATAGGTAGATGGAGCTGGTTGTTTTCTTTGTTTCTGCATTCATCATCTCTACATGTTAGTTCTTCCAGTATAATGCTGCCATACGTTTTACAATATAGACTATATACACATTCCCAAGCATAACAACAATCTTTAAACAATGATCTTCCAGTCCACTCCTTTCTCTACAAGTGATATTGGAGCCAAGTTACACAGAATGACTTTTATACCTAATGCCAGAGAAAATGCATTTCTTATTAGCTTGATTTGATCTGGAAAAAATGTAAAAAATTGATATCTGGACAGAATATATTTTTGAATCAGTGTATCACACTGGCAGTCCATTCACAAGCACTGCAGGCACTTTGATGCTTCCATAAGCTGATGAAAACACAAATTGGATTATGCCATAGTTGTCATTTAAACTCACAGTGAAAATAGTCTGATAAATGTCAACCTGCCACTGGGCTGCCTAATTGTTCTATTTTGCCATGAGCCAACGTGATGAGGTACAATTTATTCAATATAACATTATGGACAAACACATATTTAACAAGTCCTGATTAAAATCAATTTCCAGATAACAATCCAGCTTCCATATCAGTGACAGCTTCTACCAATTGCAGGGAAAGCTGAATTTGAAGAAAGAGGTGGTTGAATTTGAGCTCATAGGAGTATTAAAATATTTTTAATGACATTGAAATAAGTACTCGGTGCATTCTGTTTAAAAAAATGTAAGAACCAAAAATGCTGAAATGTAATTGGCTAGAATTGCTGCACATGATGAGGAAACTTTGCAACTTATCAATTATTTTCCTGGATATAGTATCTCTGAGGAGTTGCATGCAGAAGGCCTATTAGGCTGCAGTGAACTCAGGAGACACATCGGCACACCAATGAGAAAGGCCAGAATGGATTCAGGGTGACACTGATGTATAATATGGTTGCACCAGTGGCCACAGGGAGCTCTAGAACTGAGAGGACCTTGAGGATTCCAGCAAACCTTAGGGAAGGAGCTAGGCCATATCCTGCAGTCATTGGCCATGGGCTGCCCTCTTAAAGGGGTGTAAACTTGGTTGGGGTGGTTCCCTGTGGCTGAGGGCAATTCCTAGTGAGAGGCACATCTTCTCTTGCTCAGAAGCCAATATCTACTGCATTTAAGAGGTGGGCATGTCAGTCACACAAGAGGGTATCCAGGCAGGCCTCACAGTGTCCAGTTCATTCTGTATAAATTACCTGCAAAAGATACTGTGTGCAGAGTGATATTTTTACCCCACTAGCCCATAATCCATTAAATCTACCCTGAAGACAATGTGTTTCTAGGCAAAGTTTGACGTTTAACACTCAATAGCAAGGAAAACCAGGGTGTTTTCGTGAGTTTCCAATGCCTGGAAAATGCTAGCACTCATTCTCTTCTTAGGCAGGTCAGGCCTCTGTGGCTTATGTGAACCCTCTTTTTGACCTGTGATTCTATATTCTGGCTCATTAATAAATCTCAAATATTGTGCCTTTATATATACTCATATGCAAGACTCTAGTAGCGTGCATTAGGTCATGCCTCACAGTACTGAAGTTTGGAGTTTAGGTCAAATTACTCCATAAACCCCTAAAACATTTTGTTTGTGCTTAACCCTGGTGTGACCAAAACCTTTCATGTATGCTTAGCCAACCATACAGTATATACACTACCTAGAAATGCATTTTCAAGGCTGAATTCTTTAGCTTTTCTCTTCTACAGTTGTAAAGAGGAAGGGTGTGAAGTCCAAATGGTCTCCAAACCAGAAACCACGGAACGCAAACCATTTTTAAACACAGCAGCTGGCTAGCTTCCAGCCACAGAAGTGCCAGTACCAAGATTTGCTTGCATATGAAGTTTTGAGGTTCAGATGAGATCTGGAGGTTTGGGGAACTAGTTTGAGAATAACAACACTTGGGACCTCTCTTTGGATGTAAGCTGTAGTTTGAATTGACTGCATTAGAAATTGAACATTTTGCTTTCCCATAAACATAGTTGCATACTTTGAAAAAAAAATCCAATCTCATATCAAACTTCTACAAGCTTTTGCCATATGTGATATGTGTGCCTGCATACATATCAGTGGCCACAAAACTTGCTTACTTTCCAAGGTACATATGAGTTTCAGATGCTTAGGAGCTGTAATCAAGACTGGGAAGCAGTCGTGGCTGTTGTGGTGTAACTGAGATGATAAGTACACCTATGAAGTGGGGATGTTGGGGACCCAGTTGCTAGTAGTTATGAGATCCTTGAAAACTGGACTGTGCTTTATTCAGCTTTTATTCCTTCCACTGCACACTAAAAGTGCTGCATAATCTGAATGATATGTTTTGTACTAAATAAGCAAGGTATTGTTCTGAACCTTTGTTAGCTCTTATCTAAAATGATTCAAGTCCCTGGGAAAATATGACTTTGATAGTATTGAAGGAAGGGCATTGGGAGAGCCAGGTACTTCATAAGGCTGTGCACCTGTGAATATGCAACAAGTCTTGGTTGACTGGTTGATTAATATACACAATACTTCATATGGTTCTCCAAAAGATCAAGCAATGAACTAAGTAATCTTCCAAGGTCTCTTCCAGCCTAATAATTCTGCTTTTGTCTTTTCTATTCACAGATGAAAGATGATACTGAAAGCTATAATATTGCCTAATTCTACATGTGAACTTTAATAAATGATGCATGACATATTATGCTACCTACCTTAGGCACATGTGTAGATAGTCCTTTCATTAGGAACGGTGGCCAAGATGCCAGTTCGACACCATGGGTCAGATGCTTCACCTCAGGGGATTAATAGAAACTTTGAACAGTAAGTGCAGCCTCATTCCAAATTGCCTCAGGCCAGGTCTGACTGCTACTGCTCAGAAATCACTATTTATGAGCAATGCCTCCTTGGGCCCTATTTTCTTATATTAAACCTAATGAGTGACAACAGGATCATCCAGGGAGTGAAAGGTCCCCGGGGTTCGGTAGTTAAGATATGAAAAGACACACACTCCTTTCCTGTCCCTAATCTCACTCTTTTTATGAAGATGAAGTCTCTACTGGCTCATAGTGAAATATCAATAAATGATAGGAAGTTATTTTTAAAACAATAGTAAATGACCCATAATCCCATCATTCAGAGGTTTACCTCCTCTGTTTATATTGTTGCACATTTCCTTGTAATAATTTTTATAGATTAATAGGAAAAAAGTGTGTGCATGTGAGTCTATATGTGTGTGCATAATTTCATAGTTAACGCCTTGTGTATGACATTTTATACCTTGACCATACCATAAACATGTTTTATTACATATAAGCGGGCCAAGATTTTGGGAGTTATGAGTATATTTATTATATTTCTATTATACAATTATATGTTCTATTATAGAATATATATTACCATATATTATAATATATAATCTATATTATGCATATCATATATTATATATTCTATTATATATGATATATTATATATATTCTATTACATATATTATTATACTTCTATTCTTTCCTTCACAATTAGTCTCCTGTAGCACATATGCTTTCCTCCCAACACTACATTGTTATTCATTTGTCAACTTATGTTTAAAATCTTCATTACTCCAGAGAATCAGGTGAGTCCTCTCTTTCTTCTCTGCACAATCCAAGGTACAGACTCCACCCTTCACTTAAATTTTCTGGTCACTCCCACAATCACAGAACATGATTTTTTAAAATCTTGATTTCCTGAAAAATAATCAATTCTTTTTTTTAAAATCATTAATTATTTTCATGGCTGACCCTCAAGGTCAGGGTGTCTCCAGAGTTTCCTCCAGCTAATCTTTCTTCTCGGTGATCCTGCTCACTTGGGGGTCTACACTCTGCCTCTTGTCTTATTCCCTCACCACCATGATCTCCAAGTGCCTGTATCCCCAAATCTTTATCCTGAATTCCAATCATCCTAGTATTTCTTAAGTTCTTGCTCTAGGTTTTACGTTGTCTTATGCATTAGGGATCTTAAGGTAATTGAGACACTGTGCATTAGACATTTGGTACCTAAAACTCAATAGATCCAAATCAGATTTCATTGTCTACTAGCTCCATGCCTCCTCAACCTCCTGTATTTCCCATAAAGGCCAAACTCACTAAACGCCTCTGCATCCCAAGTAGCCACCAGTTCCTCTCATGTTCATCCCTTCCTACTCAACCTTCTCTTTCTCTTTGAAATTTCAGGATATGTCCGGGCATGGTGGGCTCATGCCTGTAATCTCAGCACTTTGGGAGACTGAAGTGGGAGGATTACTTGAGCCCAGGAGTTTGAGACCAACATGGCGAGACTTTGTCTCTACGAAAAATTTAAAAAATTAGCTGAGCATGGTGGCGTGCACTTGTAATTCCAGATACTCAGGAAGCAGGGGTGGGAGGATTGCTTGAGCCCAGGAGGTCGAGGCTGCAGTGAACAGAGATAACACCACTGCACTCCATCCTCGGCAACAGAACAAGACCCTGTCTCAAAAAACAAACGCAAAAACCTTTCAGTATGTAATCCTCACTTGCCAGGGTTATTGCAATAGAATTCTGGAAGTTTTATTTCCTTCCTGCTTTGCTCTCACTAAAATTTACTTCAAATTGTTAACAGAGTGAGGCCTGCCATAAAGACGGCAACTTATCCACTTTAAAAATTAAACAAAAATGACAATGGGAACATCATTCTATTGCCCAATAAATGATATACAACTTTCTACTGAGCTAAGTAGAAAACACAGCTACTTGCAAGTGAATGAGTTTTCTATCTGTATCTTAGAGTAGGTAGTTTTGGTAAATATTTATATCTTTCAGATTTGAAGTAACACTGCTGTATATGAAAATGTGATATTAAATTCTCTTTAATCAGTTTAACCACATCATGGGAAATATTGTTCAAAGAGGTAGTTTGGCAGAGTGGGTAAGTTTCAGACTCTGAGTTGAAATGGTACATTTTGAATCTCAGGTCTGCCACTGATATGATTTGGCTGTGTCCTCACCCAAATCTCATCTTGAACTCTAGTTCCCATAATCCCCATGTGTCAGGGGAGGGACCCGGTGGGAAGTAATTGAATCATGGGGCAGCTTCCTCCATGCTGTTCTCGTGATAGTGAATGAGTTCTCAGGAGACCTGATGGTTTTATAAGGGGCTTTTCCCCACCTTCACTCTGCACTTCTCCTTGCTGCTGCCATGTGAAGAAGGACATGTTCTGCCATGATTGTAAGTGTCCTGAGGCCTCCCCAGCCATGCAGAACTGTGAATCATTAAACCTCTTTCCTTCATAAATTACCCAGTCATGGTATGTCTTTATTAGCAGGATGAGAATGAATAATATAGCCACTATCTTGCTGTATAACTCTAGAAAAATCATTTTGATTCTCTTTTCCTGAGTTTTGTCATTGATAAGATGCTGCTGCTGAAAATAACATATTCACCTACATGGTAGGGTTTTTCTGTGAATTAAACAATACATAAAAATAACTTTCTCTGAACCCGGCATATCATAGATGTTTAATACACTTTAGCTAGTTTTATTATCTAGTGATGATTTATGGAATTTGCAAGTGTGTGTCCAAGAGCACTGAAACTGTAGAGATCCCACAAGAAAAACTAACATCTTCTTTACAAACACATCTAAAGACATTTAGAATTTTTATTTTGAATATTTAAATATATGTGCAATTGATCTCTGAGAAATGCTGTAATAACTGAAATCTTATCAGTACTACAATTAACAAGATGTGAGATATATTGCTATGGACACCAGGATCTAAAGGACTGGGTTCAAATTCTTGATTTGTCCTTTGCTATATTGGCCAAGTTACTTAGACTCTTCGGGCCTCAATTTTCTCATCTATAAAAGTGTGATAATATCTACATCAAAAACTCCATGACCTGATCTGTGTCTTTGAATGCAAAGTTCATAGTTCAGAGTTGATACTTGATAAATGGTAGTTACTATTATTATTTTAAATAAAATATAGTTGCTTAATTCATATCAGATATTATAAAAAATGATCCGATGCTATGCAAATAAATAACTTAGCTATGATTTGGAATATCTGAGATGATGCCCACTAACCTATTTTTACTCAACTAAGAAAAAAAGCAAGAGAAGAAAAGGATCACTTATATTGTTGCGTGCCTACACTCAATATGACACCACCTTCAAGCTCCATTAAGTTTGCTCTTCTTATGGTACATTCTTCAAGTAGTGTAATTGCTGAGAGTGAGATTTAGGTACGTGGGTGAATGCTACAAAACAGATCTCAGCATCTGTCTGAGATCTAGGGGAAATTTTTTAACAATATAAAGAATTTCATTTAGTTGAGTTCTGAATTTGTCCTATAAGAGTTGAAAAGGGGCAGAGGTCACATTTTTCAATGTTTGTATTTGCAGACTATATTCTTTTTCCCAATTTAACTGGGTTTGCCTCTTCCAAAGGAAAATATCCTGGATTATATGTGATACTTACAATAAACACCCTTTAAGATAATTTATTACAAAGTAACAATAGATAGCCACTTCTAACACAACAAAATATCCATCACTGAGGCTTCTTTCCCAAAATATTGAATCCATAAGGAAGATTTCTACACATCTATTTATTTCTACAAAATTAAGTGTGAAATAACTTTAGACTCTGTGATAATTCTGGTACTAAATAAAGTTAATGCTAGAAAATGCACTGAGGTATTTGGTAGTTGATGATTTGGTAGTAAATAATGGCATATAATTTAATTTTATAGTCCTTTAATATTTGAAAGCTTTACGATTCTTCAGTGAAAAGACCCTATGTATTATCTTTATACAAAATTCAAATACTGCAATTTGTATCTTGAGCAACAGGTCAATCTTGACTGAAAACTCACATCTTCTGAGTTAGAATTTACCTGAACCCTGGCACCAGGTCTTCCTTGGCTTCTACTGAGAAACCTCCTCCAGTCATTACTTTGTGCTTACCTGTTCGTCTACAGTCCAAACCTCACCTCTCCATACTGGAGAAGGGTGAAAGGAAAGTATTTAAGCCTATTAAATTCCTAGCAACCTTTCATTCTTTCCACCTTTCTTAATGCCATTGTGCATTGACTCCCCATCTACCAAACCCCTCTCTAGGCATCATATTTAAGAATAGCTTTATAACTTCTAGCTACGTAGGATATGAACTGAAACAATTCACAACTGCTAGTCGATTTCTCAAAGTCAATTTTGAACAATGCAGAAAAAGCAGTTTTTTGATTTTTCAAAAATCAGTCCAGATTTCAAAATATTATCTGGATAATGCAGAATTGTAAAAATAAATAATTACACACTTTATGAGCAGATGCCCCTGGGTGGTTGAAAAAAGAAGAGGGGATCACAAGCCCCCAATAAACACAGCTCTCTGGGTGTGCAAATGGAAGACAAATGATGGCGAAGCTCCCCTCTAGCTCCCAGAGGCATGCGACACAGCTGTGCCACTGGGTGCCTTTGCTTCATTATCCGGCCGCCTGTCCCTGAATTTGTGACTGGGTTCCAGCCCTCTCAATATGCTTCTTTCAATTTAGATCATTCATGCTGGAGGCCAAGGCTATTTTCATTGATTCTACCAGCTACTTTGACAGACACGTTCAAAAGTGATATGTGGAGCCTTCGAGAGGAAAAGCCCTAAGTACACGCCCAGCATTACCGTTCTGGCACAAATGAAGTTCATGAAAGCTGGCCTGCAATGAGCCGTCATTATCTCATGCAAACGTAGCACAAAGTCCTACATTCCCATAGCTTTTACAGCCATTAGAGTCAAAGCTAACGAATGCCATTGCTATCTTATTTCCAGAACAATAATGGCACTTAGATAAAATACACTCAGGGTTCTTTCCCAGAAAAAGGCAGTGTCAGTAATGCAGCCTCATATTAATCAAAAGCAATTCTGGACAGAAAACATTCTTTTATGAATATAGAAATTTTCTCTATTATCCTCAAGACATAGTATGCTGGTGGCATTCTGCAGAGTTACAGGGCAAATCTTGAAAGTAATTTACTGGCCATAAAAGAAATTCTTAATTAGAAAATAGGTTCATTTAGATAACTTTACTCTGAAATAAATGAAGATGGGATGGCAAATAAGTGGATTTTACATTTATGTGCTTCAGATTCGTTCCTTTCCTGGAATTGTGACCAACAAAAACGACTACAGTTCTGTGTATTTCCAATGGTACTTGAAATATTAAGTACTTTTAATAATAGGTACTTTTAAAATAATAAGTACTTTTAATGTTTAATTTACAAATGTCTTGGCATTGTAAGAATTAATACAGGCATATTTATATTAAATATTAAATGAAAAAAGAGAAAAATACTCCAAAAACTTTTTAAATGGATGGATATTAGTAATGATTTTTTTTTGCAATAAATGTTTCTGGATGTTTTATTATTCTATGTTGCTATTTTAAAGATAAATTTCAATTACTAAGGAAACACCAGGAACATAGCTACCTTCCATCAAATGAAACATCATCTTTTTGTTTCCTTTATTCTGTATAATTTTTTAAGGAACCAAGATGGAAATTATTAGTTCTACATTTAGTTCACAAAATGTGAAAAGCACTCTCATGCTTATACTTCACTTATGAAACTTTTACTACTTACTGCTGCATTAAATTTGTTACTTAATTGTATCAACTAATTTACAATTAGTAACTCAATTCATCCTTATAGCAACTCTAAAATGACTACTACTGTGATCATCATGATCTCACCCACTTTGCAGATGAGAAAACAAGGTGCAAAAAGGCTCACTAAATTGTCTGAGATCATGCAGCTAAGGAGTAGTAAGACTGGGATGTGAATATATCCCATAGAAACTGGGATGTATTTCAAAATAATAAGAGCTATCTATGACAAACCCACAGCCAATATCATATTGAATGGGCAAAAACTGGAAGCATTCCCTTTGAAAACTGGCACAAGACATGGATGCCCTCTCTCACCACTCCTATTCAACATAGTGTTGGAAGTTCTGGCCAGGGCAATCAGGCAGGAGAAGGAAATAAAGGGTATTCAATTAGGAAAAGAGGAAGTCAAATTGTCCCTCTTTGCAGACGACATGATTGTATATCTAGAAAACTCCATTGTCTCAGCCCAAAATCTCCTTAAGCTGATAAGCAACTTCAGCAAAGTTTCAGGATACAAAATCAATGTGCAAAAATCACAAGCATTCTTATACACCAACAACAGACAAACAGAGAGCCAAATCATGAGTGAACTCCCATTCACAATTGCTTCAAAGAGAATAAAATACCTAGGAATCCAACTTACAAGGGATGTGAAGGACCTCTTCAAGGAGAACTACAAACCACTGCTCAAGGAAATAAAAGAGGATACAAACAAATGGAAGAACATTCCATGCTCATGGGTAGGAAGAATCAATATCGCGAAAATGGCCATACTGCCCAAGGTAATTTAGAGATTCAATGCCATCCCCATAAAGCTACCAATGACTTTCTTCACAGAATTGGAAAAAACTACTTTAAAGTTCATATGGAACCAAAAAAGAGCCCGCATCGCCAAGTCAATCCTAAGCCAAAAGAACAAAGCTGGAGGCATCACACTACCTGACTTCAAACTATACTACAAGGCTACAGTAACCAAAACAGCATGGTACTGGTACCAAAACAGAGATATAGATCAATGGAACAGAACAGAGCCCTCAGAAATAACGCCGCATATCTACAACTACCTGATCTTTGACAAACCTGAGAAAAACAAGCAATGGGGAAAGGATTCCCTATTTAATAAATGGTGCTGGGAAAACTGGCTAGCCGTATGTAGAAAGCTGAAACTGGATCCCTTCCTTACACCTTATACAAAAATAAATTCAAGATGGATTAAAGATTTAAATGTTAGACCTAAAACCATAAAAACCCTAGAAGAAAACCTAGGCATTACCATTCAGGACATAGGCATGGGCAAGGACTTCATGTCCAAAACACCAAAAGCAATGGCAACAAAAGACAAAATTGACAAATGGGATCTAATTAAACTAAAGAGCATCTGCACAGCAAAAGAAACTACCATCAGAGTGAACAGGCAACCTACAAAATGGGAGACAATTTTCGCAACCTACTCATCTGACAAAGGGCTAATATCCAGAATCTACAATGAACTCAAACAAATTTACAAGAAAAAAACAAACAACCCCATCAAAAAGTGGGCAAAGGACATGAACAGACACTTCTCAAAAGAAGACATTTATGCAGCCAAAAGACACATGAAAAAATGCTCATCATCACTGGCCATCAGAGAAATGCAAATCAAAACCACAATGAGATACCATCTCACACCAGTTAGAATGGCAATCATTAAAAAGTCAGGAAACAACAGGTGCTGGAGAGGATGTGGAGAAATAGGAACACTTTTACACTGTTGGTGGGACTGTAAACTAGTTCAACCATTGTGGAAGTCAGTGTGGCGATTCCTCAGGGATCTAGAACTAGAAATACCATTTGACCCAGCCATCCCATTACTGGGTATATACCCAAAGGACTATAAATCATGCTGTTGTAAAGACACATGCACATGTATGTTTATTGCGGCATTATTCACAATAGCAAAGACTTGGAACCAACCCAAATGTCCAACAATGATAGAATGGATTAAGAAAATGTGGCACATATACACCATGGAATACTATGCAGCCATAAAAAATGATGAGTTCATGTCCTTTGTAGGGACATGGATGAAATTGGAAATCATCATTCTCAGTAAACTATCACAAGAACAAAAAACCGAACACTGCATATTCTCACTCATAGGTGGGAATTGAACAATGAGATCACATGGACACAGGAAGGGGAATATCACACTCTGGGGACTGTGGTGGGGTGGGGGGAGGGGGGAGGGATAGCATTGGGAGATATATCTAATGCTAGATGACAAGTCAGTGGGTGCAGCGCACCAGCATGGCACATGTATACATATGTAACTAACCTGCACAATGTGCACATGTACCCTAAAACTTAAAGTATAATAAAAAGAAAAAAAAAAGAAAAAAAAAAAAGAAATATCAAAAGAAACCAGAGTGCAGGCTTTTAAACCCGATCAAATGGTGGCTTTTTCCAGAGGCTGCTTCCTCATCATGATCTTCACAGTAACATGTGATGTGCAAATCTCATGTCATTTTCCCCATTTGAAGAATGGCTTTAAGAAACTGGAAAGATTAAATCATCAATCAGTTATTATAGAATCAAAGTACTGAGTTGTTCTAAATTAATTTGTTTTCCTACAACATGCTACTATATTTAATGCTTGTGACTTTGAGAAACCATAAATATACTATGGCTATGATATAAATATTTCAACTATCAGAAAAACATTGTTAAATTAACATTTCTATCGGTCTTTATTATACTCCTTGGGGAGTAGTATGTTTTTAGAGGAATTCAATCCCCAAACAAGGAAACGTAATCCTGAAATGTATATTAAGAATAAGACATTAACATATTGGCACACGATGATCTTATTTATTTGTATTACAGGCAAATAAAAGTGTGGATCATGAGGAGGCTGCTCAAGAGTTAGGCTTTTAGGGTGGCCAGGTACTTCATCAAGACTTACCATAGGAAAATGTCAGTATTAATTATTTGATATCAATTGTTAAATGCAGCAAAGAAGATTCCTTTTACCCAATCACTTGTCAAGACGAATGATGCTCTCATTGGAATAAAAACAATTTTGATTACAATGTTTTTGATAACATGATGTACAGATAACACAAAAAAATTATAGACTTAAGTGGGAAAACCTGCCATATAATAGAAATGAGAAAACCTGGCAAATAGTATAACCCTATTATGTGTGTGTGTATGCATACATATATGATATGTGCAGTATCTAAGTCCATTTGAGCTGCTATAACAAAAACACCATAAACTAGTGACCTAAACAATCTATTCGCCATTGTTCTTAATGCTGAGAAGTCTAAGATTAAGGCACTGGTAGATAAGGTGTCTGGTGAGGGTCTGCTTCTTGGAAGACAGATGGACTCATCTGGTGGAAAAAGAGCAGAGCAAGACAGCTCTCGGGGGTCTCTCTTTTAAGGGTACTAATCACATCCATGGGTACCCCACCATCATGACCTAATCACCTCTCAAAAGCCCCATGTCTTAATTCTATCACTTTGAGTGTTAGAATTTTTCAACATATAAATTTTGAGAGTATAAACATTCAGTCTATAACAGTGCAGAAAATTAAATCTGAAGTACTAAATATTTAATAGGAGTTATTTCTACCAGTCAAGTTGATATCATATTTTGGTAATTTCTATAATATTGGACAATTTTTATGATAAGAATAGATTGTTTTCCTAACCACAAAAACTACTGTAGCTATATAATAAGGAATTATACATACATATCTTTTACCAAAAAAACTATAAGGTGAAAAAATAACCCTCATCATATCACAGAGGAATCAATACAAGAATGCATGACAGGAATAAATTATATCAAGGTTAATGAAAATTCAACCAACTATTTTTTTCTTTTGCCATCATTTCCAAGTGTATTTCTCCAGAGTATTGCATGATTTGGTAATTGTGGAAAACTTTTGTTGCTGTTGATAGGTAAATAATATTTAACAGCTTAAAGAAGAAAATCACAGTTGTAAGGAAATAGAGAACATTACATACAAAGTTAATAAGATTGATTGGGTTGAAAAGTAAAATTGAGACAACTGTATAAAGACTTAGAATTTCACATTTGTTTGCATAATACTTTTTATCACATCTAACCATACAATATTTAGAGATCACAAAAATGAGACTTAAAGATGAAGTATTCTAATGAGAGGTAAAATGGTATGAACATGTAGTATTTTATTAAGAATCATAGAAAGCTTGTCTTGATTATTTTTCTATTCAGTTTATAGCACAAAGTTTTCTTCAGATGTTAAAATTACACATCTGTAAGTCAATTGTTTCTCCTGCCTTATGGTGTATGCAGGCAAACCCAGAAGAAAAAATATGGAGCTTATCACCACCTCAGGAGGCCTTGAAAGAATCAGAGCCCCAATAACTGTTATGGAGAAAGTAGGATAGGGGTTAGACCCTACACAAGTGTGCGGAGAACTTGGAAAGTTGGGAATGGAACATGGATAGGATTAAAGCAAGAGTCTTTCTGCAGCCACTACACAAGCCAATCATGCACCAAACTGGGACCAAGAAGGAAAACTGGAGGGTCACCTCTGGGAAGCTGAGCCTCTGTGCCATCAGTACTCAGTGGGTCTAGAGCCGAGCATCTGGTTTGTGGAGTTGGCACCACTGTTGTTCAACAGGTTCTGTGGACATGAATGTGAGCTGGGCATGGATCAGAGGACGGCGAGGACAAACTGGAGCCCAGCAGGCACTTATGTGTTCACCTGACATTATATCTGACCATAACAACCTTTACGGAGTAATGATAATTGCTTCCCTACCACCTTGCAATTTCATGGACTACCTCCTTTAGCCAACTCTTACCTGTAGTCATGCAGAGGAGATGAGTCTGAGAAATGTATTTTCCAGCTGAACTAATTTCACACTTTATAAATCCCCAGAATCTGGGTGCACAGTTACGTTGGTAGTTGCTCATGAATTGCACTTCCAGTATTCTGCATCTTCTTTAGCCCCCTCCCATGTTGATCCTGGCTTGTTTATGTGGTTTTACTGAGCCAATGGGACATTAGCAAACATGATCCAAGCAGAGACTTGATAAGCATTCTCTTCATGGAACATGGAACCCAGGGACCCAGCTGCCATGCAAGAACCCAGGTCACCCTCCTTGAGGCTCAGAAATGGTGGATATGGAGAGTCCTCGAGTCCACAGGGAGAGAGAAGTTCATCCAATGCAGAATCCCAGTATAGCTCAGCTACAAGAAAACCCATTGGATAAAGGAACCTCATGAGTGAGTCCTGCAAAGACCACCAGAAGACCTGTCCAGCCAGCCCTCAGAATCAGAAGCACCTGAATTCTGTAGTTGGGTATGAAGCAATAGACAACTGAATCAGCCACAAAACTTACATGAACTCTTTCATTGCTGATGAAAAAATAAAATAAATATTAATTTTATTACTGTCTCACTAACAAGAACCTTTTTAAAAAGGCATGGAATTTGAGTTACTAGAAAAGAGTTTTCAGTTGAGCCTTAGCTTTGTCATTCAAATTACTGAACGGACACTTCAAAAATTTTTCAATACTTAATATTTGCCAAAGTACTCTATTAAGACCCAGTGTCCTCATCACATCAGTGATGAACATTTATTGAATATATACTATGTTCCAGCCTCTGCATTAAGTCTTTTACTCCATGAATTCTCATAATTTTATACTTCAAAGACCATGAGTATGCCTTAGTAAAAACAGAAGCAAAGAAATGGAAGTAACTCACCCCGCTGTATCAACAGAGCTGGGAATGGGATCGTGGCAGAGGCTACAATCTTCCTCACGACCCTAGAGCTTCTCTGAGGAATGTCATGTGCCTGGGGGTTTGGGAGGAAACATCTTAGCTCTGGGTTACTGCAGAAGCACAGGTAAAAAAGTTCAGTTACTTGCCAGATTCAAAGTTAACCTGGGCATGAAAAGGAGGAAAGGAGGTTTATTTTTATTCCACCAATACCTCTGGAAATGGATTAAATGGTTTTAGGAAGTTAGCACAGAGAAGCCACAACACGACTTCCTTTATCTCTCCTCTGATGATGACAGGCCTGCAGATATAAAGCATAGTTTGCCTGTAGCTAAATAAAAACTGGTGTCATGTGAAAGGATAGAAGTTTATAATTTTTCTTCTGATGAACTTTGCCACCCTTTTCATCTCCATTCTAGGGGCTAGAGTAGTCTATCTTAGACTCCAACATGACAAAAAATAATAGAAATTAAGGACTATCTTGCTTTTGATATCCAGGACGCTAAACTGTTATTGGAGGGACTTCAATATGTGAGAGAAATGTCACTGTGAAGAGAGCTGGGGACTTGAGTTTCCCATAAAGGCTGGAGAGAAGATCATTTGCGCTAGACAGAGTAAACGGGGAGACAGAGATGAAGAAAACATGTAAATTCAGTGTCTCAAATTGATGGTCCCATTCCCTGACCCCAGACAGAGGTTTGAGTGAGGGAGCTGGGGAGAGGGGTACGGTGTGAAGGGGATTAAAAGGCTAAAGAATGGAAATGAGTTTTTAGGAAATCTATGTAAATATGCCTCCTCAGACCCTAAGAGGGTATCATATCCAAGTGACTATAAACCTGGTGAATAGCTACATAGCCTTAGATAGGACACAAAAGTATCCGTTACCTACAGGCAAACCGGAGGTAAGATGAGCTCATCAGTGTCCAGCTCGGATTTCTGTTTAAAGATCCCACCACACAATGAATCCTTCAGCAAATACCATCTTAGGTGGAAGATTCAAGATGGCAGACCGGCACCAGAATTCAAACCTTGCACTGACATGCATTGGTTGAATGAGATCTCAAAACTCAAATAGAGCTCATTTAAGTAGAAATGAAGAAATCAAAACTCAAATAGAGCTCATTTAAGTAGAAATGAAGAAAGGTTATTTTTATTTTCTTGAATGCTTTAGTTAGACATTGTTTCTGATCTGCTGCATCCAGCGTACAGCTATGTATTCTACTCCATGACTACTCTCCTAGGCAGTGTTAAGCTTCACAGATAGAGCAGGTTCAGTTTATAAGAGCAGAGGGAAGGATTGGTTTCCTCATGAGGCATTTAGAGGTGAGAGAAAAAAGAGGAGTTGCAAATATAACAGAGAAGGAGCAGTCAGAGAGCGCAAGAAAATACAGTGTCAAGAAGGCCCAGGGAAGTCAGAAGCTTCAAAAGATTAGAACTTAAAGAAGGGAACCTGTCTAGTAATGTTGCAGAGAGGACAAATGTTTAAAGTATTGCAGAAAACATTAAAAAGGTGTAAGATATGGAAAGAAGTAGCCCGTCTGGCTATTCAGATATCTGAAGTATGCTAGATTTGAAAGATTTTGCAAGCGTTAGAGAAAAGGATATGTGCTAAGGGAATGAGCACAGTGAGTATAAAAACGGAAGTTAAAGGATTTGACTATAAAATATTTGGGAAAATACGGTAATCATTGGAAAGGGAGAGGATCAAAGGGTTTTTAAATGGGAACTACAGAAAGGAAGCACACACGAGGAAGTTGACACAGAAGGTATTAGAAAGAGGTCACAACAGTATGAGAATAAGGTACTTCAGGAAACAAAAATAAATTGGATTAAAGATGAGCAGAGAATTCTCATATTCAGAATGCTTGCAGACACATGCAAATTGGAGTCAAAATAGATGACATAAAAAGCATAAATGGTGGGAAATTGGTAAATCAAACACCAGCTGTTCTTAAATTCATAATAAACAGATAGAAGCAAGGTTACAGATCAAATTGGGTGGTGAGAAACTGTGAATGTAAGGAAAAAGAATGTGTTTAGGGAATAACTTTTGTGAGAAACAAGAAAGAATGTGGGTGGGCTTAATGCTTTGCCCATAGTAATAACTAAATTAATATTTACTTTTAAAATTTTTAAAATCACAAATAAAAATGGCAGCCAAACACGGCTGATTTTTTTTTTCTTTTTTGGTCAGTACAAACCTGTGACAATATCTTCTTGTTTGTGAGAAACTCTTCAGTACCTAGCTCAGCATAGCTTGATTACAAGTTGCAAGTTCTTTATCTACAAAATAGACATAATACAGCCTACATTTCCCAGGGTTGTTATAGAAGTTAATTAATGTTTATAATACCCTCTAGGATACAAAGTGAAAACTCTGCTACTCACATATGAACACAGAATAATCTGAAAGGCCTACTTAAGTCCATTTGCCCATAGTGAATAATCAGTCTAACAAATGGAGAAATTAATATCTACTTTTATATACTTTTACTTGATAAAGTTGTATTTCTTAACCATAACAAGTAAAAAATAGAAAGATAATATAACAAAATACTAAGACAGGTTTCCAGAACCAATGAAACTGAAAGATTGACTCACTTATGGCAAGTGAAGGATAATTGTGGAATGCCCCATAAAGACAAAAACAGATATGGACTCTAAAGGAACTAAATACTCCTAAATAGTTAAGGAAGCAAATTATGTTTATGAAGAAAAATGATTGTCACTTTAGGAAACAACTTCTCATTATTGTAAAATGCATTGTGTATCTAAGGGGATTAATAAATAAAAAGTCAAAAATTACATACTTTGTAATGATGTAATGACTTCTCCAGCTCAAGATTGTGTGTTGGTGAGTTCACCAAGAGGGAACTCCTTTAATCCTGCTTCCAGAGAGAAGTATATAAGCTTTCACAGCTTTGACCATCAAATTCTTATAAATAAAACCATTACATATTAATTGATTGTGATTCATTTTGTCAGTTTCATAAAATTGTTGTCAAATCTCACTTGACTCTTCCTTTGTGAATGGGAGAAACTGCTTAATATGCCTGTAGTATTTCAACACTGTATCAGAAGCTGTGGTATATATATTTTAAATGGTTCTTTTGCTTGTCTATAAAAAGCTTAAAATACGGATGAAGATAATGTTCCCAGGGTGCAACAGAATATTCCTAGGAACATTCCTTGCAAAACAACAGAGAAGTAGAACTGACTTCCACCTCCGTTACCGTGGGGCTGCAAAGAAAGAGAACAATCATCAGAGCACAATTAACACAGAATCATGGGCTTGAATAGATTCCATTTTGCATTTTTCATAGCTATTTAAAGTGCTTAAGTGTTGCTTTCCTAATTTTAAGACCTTTGTGGAATTGAAGTCAGAAATCTGAGTAGAAGAGCAGCTTCTGCCTTTTTCTAACCTTTCAGCCTGGACAATCCTTTTCTCTTAGCCTCAGTCTTCTCTATGAAGCTGAGTTACTATTTACATCTTAATGAGGTGGGAAGAGAAAATTAAATGGAATAACCTGTGAACAAACATAATTCATCACGATGGCTCAATACTTGTTTATTTGAGACAATTTTGAGAGAATTGGGACTTGGGGTCAGTCATAATTTAAAACATTTTGAAAACTACATGGGTTTAAAAGAGCACATATGTTCCGAAAGTAATATAGAAGTAGGTATATATTAATTGCTCAACAGGTTTTTATTTAAAAGTTAAATAACTTGGAAGTGATCACTCTATTACATGTAATAAGAAAAAGCTCAACAAACTTAAACATGTTCTCTTGGACCCATTACAGAACTGCGGTTTTGGGGTTAACCACCCCAAAATCTGGAGAGACAGGCACAGCTGACAGGTGGAGTTGATATACCTGGACAGAAGCTACCAGAGACATAATCTGGTAGAACACTTAGATGGTAATTTTAATAAATTGCTGGAAGCTGGGTGTGGGTTAGTTTGAAAGTGAGGAGCTAGTAAGGACCATGTTCTTAGAGACTAGAGTACTAGTTTCTAACTAGAAACTTAGTTCTTAGAGCTAAGAAAAATCCCCTTTTGGCTTTAGCAGAAGGAAGGGAAAGTAACAGCTGTGAAATATACCAAGAAAATTCTCTAAAACAAAGGCCTAACCCCACAGGAAAAGACTTTATCAGAGCCTGATCTACCTGTGGAAAGGTCATTTACCTGAGTGTAGGCCCCTCCAGCCTTCCTGTTTCACCTGAGAGGAGTGGGGAAGCTAAAAAAAATGTGTGAAAGTGAAGGTTGCAGCTCAGGAACACAAGCCCACTAAGAGATGGAGGATGAGTCATGAATTTCCAGAACATTTTCCATCTTCCACATCTATCACTACACCAAAAGTGAATTTTCACTAAAAGATGTACAAGATACAGACCGTCTCTTTGAGCAGAACCACTTAGGAAAGTCTGGAGTTAACAGGTGAGACAAAGGCAAGGCCAATAGAGGAATATGACGACTCTGACCCCTGGAGTACCAATAAACCTTCAACACAACCCAAATTCTAGACAGGTTAACATAAGCCCCCAAACTATAGTCCTATTACCTCCACTCCTATTGTCCTATACAACACGCCCAGCTTTCAACTACAACAAAAAAATTACAAGCCATGACACAGGCAAGAAAAAAAAACACAAGAGAGCCACATTTAGACATGACCCAGGATACTAGGCCTGGCCAATGGAGGAGGATGAAAAGATACTGCTGGAGAAGAGGAATGTGCTTCCTGACTTTGGTGTTCTTGCTCTGAAGGCTCCTGCGGCATGGGTGGCCCAGGCAATACACTGTAGCCAGCAGCACGCAGCACGCAGTGGGCCGTGGCTCCCCTGCAGCATCTTAGAGCTCTGTAAGTTCCAAAGGGTGAAGTTTCACCAAATTCCATCAGAATGCCCCAACAGAAACCTATGTGCCATACAGTGATCGGTGACTATGTCCTCACCAGTGAGGTCTGGGAGCCTAGTTTTCAGCCTGGGAGGAAGTGGGGTGGTTCTTCCTTGGGTACTGTATCTTAGCACCAGTGATGACAGCTATTATATTAGATCATGTTGGATCATACCATATCATATTATGCCAGATTTTATTTTATTTAATTATGTTACATTGTATTACATTTTACTCTTCGTATAATATTTATATTACATAGGTATGTTATATTGTGTCATATCATATCTGCTCATCTTATATTCTTTAGAATTTTTTAAATTCTTTACAATTCTTTTTGCTTCTTGACATTCCTCCATTATTTCAATACTCTGTAAAAGTTAATAATTATTTATGTTATATATTTATTTATAAATTTTTCTCTTTATCTTTAATTGTTCACTTTTTATCTTTAATTGTTTATATTTTATAGTATACATTTACCTGTTCGAATTACTGTGCAATTTCACTTTCTACATTGGACCAAGGCTGATAAAGAAAAACATATTTTAATGGCCGTCATTTTATGCCACTAAGTTTCGGGTGGTGTGTTATTCATAAACATTAACCAAATTTGGAATGTGAGTAATTAAGTAATAAATTGATAATTTTGAACTTTGTCACATTGCTTGAAATTCTCTTGCAACTGGATCAAATAAGATTTTCTAAATATTTTCTATATTCAGTTACTCTGTGTCTGAAGTTTCTCTAAGTCTCAATTTTTTGATCTGCAAAGGTATCTGGGGGTAATAACAATATTTACTTCTTAATAGAGTTTAATGTGAATATCAAAGAAATACTCTGTACAAAAGACTTAGCACAATATGTGGAATATAGAAGGTATATTAACTAATAAAATAATATTAAAACTGTAGGTCTTCTCATTGATGCTACTTTTGTAATAGTTAGAATTATTCTAAAAATTGCTACCAAAAATTACGTCAAGTAAATATTTATGGCAACCCATTAAGGAAGAATATAAATGGAAAATGTGCAAAATAAAAAAAAATTACTTGATCCTTTTGTGTGTACCATTCATATTGTTCAAGACTCGTACTTTTAAAATAGAGTCATATAAGACAAATATTATATAGTGTGGAACCTAAGTTCTTTAGAAAATGAAAAGGGAACTCCACCTAATATGTAGATATTCAGGAAATAAATCATGTAGGTAGAAAACACCTCCTATATTTTCTTTTGGTTATACATTTTTAAATAAATGTTATAAATTTATTTCATAAATTTTTGGTAGATAAGTCAGAAATTTTTTCCTTTACCTTTCCAAAATAAAGAATCTTTCTGCTTTAATTTCACAGCCTTTTGACAGACCACTTACCTATTCCATACTCACCAATTAATTGCTTAATTTGGCTAAGACCTGCAAGGCTGTGATCTAAAATCCCTTCTTAATAAAAGCCTTCTCGGCCTCCAGCTCTGATTTCTCATTGCGTCTTACATGCAGATCTACAATAATACGTTCACACTGCATTGTAAATGAATTTTCCCTTTTATCTGTCTATGTGCTTCAGGACCATAATAAATCAAGGATAAACTCAGTGTCTGACACCCAAGATTAGCACCTTTTGTTGGAAGAAGTATGAATGAACAAATGACTCAGTGAATGACACAACACACTTCATTTTCTGCTCATTGCCAGGCTCTACACACCAAAACCAATGAATATAGAGACAATTCCAAAACAAGGAGAAGGCAAATGTATTAGTCCATTCTCTCGCTGCTAATAAAGACATACCCAAGACTGGGTAATTTATAAAGGCAAGAGGCTTAATTGACTCACAGTTCAGCATGGCTGGGGCGGCCTCAGGAAACTTACAATCATGGCCTAAGGGGAAGCAAACACTCAAACTCACTATCAAGAGAACAGCATGGGGGAAACAACCCCCATGATTCAATTCTCTCTACCTGGTCCTGCCCTTGACATGTGGGGATTATTACAATTCGAGGTGATATTTGAGTGGGGACACAGCCAAACCATATCAGCAAGTTTGTCACTAGATTATGAAATAAAATATTTCAAGTAGTGACTATAATGCACACAAATGTACACATATGGAATTTGGAAAAATGAAGTGATCACCATCTAAATATTGAGTATCTGTTTTATTCAGAGATATCATATAATTGAGTTATACAAATATAATTCCAGATTATCATTTTTTGTGAAAATAGGTAAGAAAAATCAAGAAAGACTTATATTAACAGTTATGAACAGTTTATCCATGGATTAAAATATCACACAATAAATGTTAAAGGAATGGTCCTTTTCCACATTAGTTTTTTATTTATTTATTTATTTATTTATTATTATTATTATACTTGAAGTTTTAGGGTACATGTGCACAATGTGCAGGTTAGTTACATATGTATACATGTCATCCACATTAGTTTTAAATTCAAAAACTATTTTACAACTTATTTGAATAATTAATATTAAAAACAGCATTGCCTTGGGATGATTTGTCAGGAGATGCTGAAAGTATAAAGTCTCAGTGTTTCAGAGCCACAAGATTAGAAATCAAATGACATCATTTCTTTTCTTCCTTTGAGTGCATATATGCCTGTGTTTCTATTACATGCAAGATGGCTGAGTAAAATGGAAAGGTCACTTGCTTATTTTCAAGTCAGAAAGACCATATTAGAATTCCAATTCTAACACACAGTAGCAATGTGACATTGGGAAATTTATTCAACCTTTTTGGGTTTTATAGTTACCTCATCTGACATCTGGGTGTAATAACCTTGCCTGTATGGGGTTGTCATGAGAACTGATGAGATAACAGAGGTGGTAGTGTGAGTAGAGCCTGGCAGAGAGACACTTTCTAAAGTCAAAGAATTAGTCCCTGGGCTGATGGGGTAACAAAGATAGATACTTAAGCTGACCTCAAGGAATGTAATGTCATTGGAGACAATGGAGAGCAATGATATCTGCCCTCCTCATCCAGTATGTTTCATTAAAATAATGATTAAATGAATAAAGTATATGGCAGAGATTGAAAATATAAGGTGGTGTGATAAAATACAAGAATATTATTTCACAATAAAAGAAGAGGTTCAGAGAGCTAAGTTGAACTGTTCCCTAAATAGATGCTATTAATGATTTCACTAATGACACCTGTTAGAAAGGGTCTCTGAGGCACCACCTTAAATGTCTTAAACATGCTTTCCAGTCACCCCCTTGGCTTCATCTTTAGGTTCTGTTTTCTTGACAATGTCCTGGATTTATTCTCTGCCCAAAAGCCATTTTTTAATCTCAGCAGACTTTGCCATCTGGACAGACTAGGAATAAAGAAGAGTTTTATTTTCAAACCCAGCAAATCCCAGGTCTTTTGTAGTTAACAGTTCTTTCTCTAGTTTGTCTCACCCTCTCTCATTTGTCATGTGGAGGTAGAGAAAGTCACGTGGTCCTGTGGTTCACTACCTGTTTCAAAATCTCTTCACTACATTATCAACTTAATTAGAAGCCTTGTTGATTTCCTATGTTACTTCAGGCAACAACGTTGTGAAACTTATTGCTAGTATAAAGCAAGGGTCTCCTTTCTGCCAGCTTTTACTATCATTTTAATTTTTCATATTTTTTGTTAAGCCCTACTCAGAAGCCTCCTCCAGGCCCATTATGTCTCTGCTAACTCTCTCCAAGGTTCTCTTGTGAACATCGTTTAGTGTCTTCCTCGATTGTGTCCACTGCGTCAGCCCAGAGCTAATGTCAGTGTTTGGGTTGTTATAGGAGCACCTTCCTCCAGGTACAGAACTCTGTTCCAATTCCCTTTAAAACTAAGTGGCATCAAACATCAATGATTTTTTTTCTCATTAAACTGTTATTTGGGCCAGACTTAGAGGAGGTATCCCATGTGGCGTCGAGAGGGGCAACTGGAAGGCCTGGGATGGCTCGATCCTAGGTACTGAAATAATCAGTGTTTCTCATTCATGCCTGATGACTGCTGTTGGCTGGAACCCCAGATGGGGCTATCAGCCAGAACACCTACGTAGGATCTCTTTATGTTGCTATTTGTTTTTTCTCACAGCATGGTGATGGGATCCAAAATTGAGTGTCCTGTAAGAATATCAGGAGTGCATGGCCTTTTATGGCCTCACCTTGGGTCTTGCTTTGCATCACTTTCACCATACTTGCTCACGTGGAGCAGCCCCTAAGTCCCACGCAGGTGCAAAGGGATGGGACATATCCCCTCAGTGAGAGCAGGTCAACCTCACATACACAGAGGAAAATGTAGGGTGCATTATGATGACTAACTTAGAAAATACAACCTGCCACTGTTGCCAGGGTACTCCTTTACCTGCAATAAGAAATGATGAACCCGAAGACAGCACGAGGATTTCTAAGGAAGAACTCTCTCCTACAAATATAAAAACACACTCTCCCTTATAGAGGGCTTTAATTTATCTTTTAAAAGAAGGAGATCCATAAAGTTATCACCAAGGAACAAGCAGTATGTATCCCACAGGATTTCAGAATGGCCATGGGCTAGTGGTTTCTGTGAGCCTCCTAGTCTCTTCCTTTTAGAAGAGGAGTTTTGAAAGTCTATATCCCATGCTTGTGTCACCATTGTATATTGTGTGCGATGGGGCTGGAGAAGGAGAGACAAAACACTTCTCTCTTTAATTCACAGTTCTTCAGTCTGAAAGCAAATACTCAGGGAATGCAACCAAGTAGAATCATCTGTACCTGGAGACGATTTAGGTAATAGACTTCAAACAGCTATCATGGAATAGACTAAATTGTGTCCTTCCAGAATTCATATGATAAATGTCTAACCCCTAGTGCCTAAGAATATGACTATATTTGGAGACAGGGCCTTTAAGTTGGTAATTAAATTACTATGAAGTTATTAGGCTGAACCTGAACCCAACATGGCAATAGGACTGGCGTCCTTACAAGAAGAGGAAATTTGGAAACAATTACAGAGGGAAGACTGTGAAAACACAGGGAGGAGATGGCCATCTTCACAGGGAGGAGAGGGCCATCTACAGAGGGAGAATCCTGGGAGACAGGGATCAAAAGAAACCAGGCATTCTGACACTTCCATCTCAAAATTCCGACTCCAAATTTGTGAGAAAATACATTTTTATTGTTTAAATCACCCAGTCTGAAATATCTGTTATGGCACCCCTTGCAAACTAACATATAAAGGCCTGAGACTTAGATTTTGAGGGAGAGGTTGAATGCATTTTACATGGAAGAGGGGAATGGATTGTTGTGGCCAGGTGGCAGACTGTGGCAAACTGTATTTTTCAAAGAGGGCCTCTGCAAGATATTTTGTTCCCTGGGCTCATGTTAAATGACATTCCTCCCATGAGGTGGTTTCCATGACAGACCCTCCCTTTGAAAGGTAGAACTTTGTGAATAGAGTAGAAAGGATGTTATGTGACCTTCAAGGCCGGTGATATGGTTTGGCTATGTCTGCACCCAAATCCCATCTTGAATTGTGTCTCCCAGAACTCCCACGTGTTGTGGGAGGGACCCAGGGGGAGCTAATTGAATCACGGAGGCCGGTCTTCCCTGTGCCATTCTCATGAGAGTGAATAAGTCTCATGAGATCTGATGGGTTTATCAGTGGTTTCCACTTTTGCTTCCTCCTCATTTTTCTCTTGTCGCCACCATGTAAGAAGTGCCTTTCATCACCTGCCGTGATTCTAAGGCCTCCCCAGCCATGTGGAACTGTAAGTCCAATTAAACTTCTTTTTCTTCTTAGTTTCAGGTATGTTTTTTGGTTATGGCTACAGGAAAGCCATGGTTGACCATTTTGTCTCCTTGGGATACTCCCTTGGGAACCCGGTAGACATGCTGCTAGAAAGCCAACTAGCCACAATGCAAGAACATGTGCAAAGGTTCTAGCAGATGGCCTCAGGCAAAGTAGCAGCTGACAGCCAACCTTCACTGCCAACCCAAGTGATGTCTGCAATAATTCTAGTCCCACCTGTCAAATAACCCCTACTTTTGGGCTGGCCCAGCAGATGCATGCGGAGAAGAGCTGAGATATCTACTGGAGCCTTGATCGTACTGCAGCATCAGGGACAAGATAATCATAATTGCTTTCACACTGAGTTTTGTGGTGACTTATTATGCAGCAATACATAACTAGAACAGAGAACTGCAGCCCATATAAATAAATTGTTTGTAATGTAGAGGTTTCCCTTGCATCCTCCTATTGACCTGAAATTCCTTAATTTCTCCTGATAATTTTAGTTGGTGTGTTCTTATTAAGTCAACTATTGTTTTATAACCTCAAGTAGCAGGATTGCAAATTTCAAACCAAAAGCAATTAAGCTAAGTAAAAACCAAAATGAAAAAGTTGGCAGAGGAGGAGGAGGTGACCTATGAGTTCATTGGTTCATTCCACTTAATCTAGAGAATTCATTTTACCTAGACAGACACTAAAAAAGACACACAGGTGCACACACACTTAGGCATAAATTGTCAGTTTTTAGCCCAGGTCTGTCCTATTCCCATTATTACATATAATTGGATTAGAAATGTCATTTTAAAATTATTAAGCTATAGGTAAGGCCTTTCTTTGCTACATATATATATAATCTTGACTTCTTTAAAATCTAGCCTAGAAAACATTTTTGTTTCTTTTTCTCTTTTTCCTGGTCCCTTCTTTAGCTCCCAAGAATTTCAGAAAACTGTTGCATTTTAGATTATTTTGCCAGCTGCATACTTTTCTGTCTAATTTGCAGATGTCACTTACTTGATAACACTTCACACAGCTGTCTAACCCAAGCTTAAATGATTTTCTGATTTCTGAAGAAGTGGCTACACAAATAATGGCTTCAGACCAAGGTCTTTGGCAGGATAATTTTATCACCAGGCCTGGCACAGAGAAAAGTGAAAAAAAAAAAAAAAAAAAAAAAGGAGAGGGGTTAATTTTTATTAAGAGTTTGAATTTTTGTTTTATCAAATGTTGAAGAATACAATTCAAAACTTGCTTATAGCATGCCACACAAATATCTTAGTGTCTTTTTTTATCTACATCTTCCTTTGGAGTTTATCATACTTAGAGGTAAGTTTTTTATTTATTTTTTTTAGTGTTTCTTATTTTCTCCAGTAGAGTATCACCATGATTCTGGCAACACTTTACACTCCCTTTTGTTACAACCAAAATACATCTAGCCCTTCAAGCAGCTATTAATGGTTATCACCTCGAAGAAGATATCAGGAACCTGAAGCTGTCACTGTGACGTGGCGGGGCTCACTGACATTACCCCTTTTAACATACCTCAGGCTCTTTTCTGAATACATACTGTATGTGAAGTTACTGAAACGAAGACAAAAAAGTGCTAAACAATTCAAAAAGTCAATGATAACAACACAAACCACTTGATAAGAGTCAAAGAAGCTAAAGAAACATCAATTACAGTTGGAGGAAACAGTTTTTTTGTGATTAAGCAAATGAATAAACACACAAGAAGTAAAACCTTTCTTTATTAAATACCTGACAAACTATGTGAGTCAATAAATGTTTTTGTAGAAATAAAATACCTTAGGATTAAGGAAAAAAATAAGAAAAAAATATTCATAAAATTCTGGGAGCAGAAAAGACGGTGGCTATTTCAAAATCCATGATCAGTTTTCCAGCTTGTGCTGTTTTGCCATCATTTGACTCCAAAAACGCAAGATGAATTTTGCTAAACAATGCAAGATGATTCCAGGTTAGATAAGAGTTAAAAATACACTATTATAAGAAATCAGTAGTTAATTCCTAACTTTTTAAATTATGTTTTGCAAACTCACAGCATCTCAATAACATCTTTAATTCCCTTTTATTTTTACCAGATTTTGTAAGTTGTACTAACACATGTGCTGCAAAGTACCTTTAAAACTAAAAGGAATAATGGCAAAGAACACTAACTTCTTATAGCACAGGCCTTTTTATTAAGTTTTTAAATATAACTAAGTATAACTAAAAAAAGAATTCAACAGAACTTTGCAAATGAACTTGGAAAAAATTATTTTTTAAGTGAGTAGGCTGAATCTCAAAGTGCATTTTGAATTCAGTCTATTGCATTCTCAATAATATTTTAAATATGGGGCAATTATAGTTCTCTCCAAAAATTTCTGACTTTATGCAAAGCGAATATTAAGCAAAATTGCAGATAGCTCTCAAAATTGGATAGCACTTTATCCTCCCCTCTAGACCAAAACCAAGATGAGTTGAACTTACCAATCAGGGTACTCTATGAATATGAGAATATTTAATCAAAATAAAAGCAAAAGGGAAACAATATGTCTTTCCAAGGACTAGAAGCTATGCAAATGGCTTTCAACTGCCCCTTTATCACAGAAATACAAAGAATGGGAAGAGACCAAGGAGAGAAGTTTGCAGTGGAGTATTATTCCAATTCAAGAATGATATTTCCAACTCTTTTATGTTCATCTGTGTATGAAAGTATAACTGCTGCATAACAGGCAGTTTTCTTTCGCAAAGGTACAATAAAAACTGTTCAGGGCTTGGTGAAGATAATCTTTCTTTGTTGGTATTCTCTGAAACTGCAAGCATCTCGAGTGTAGAAGACACCCACACCTAAACTCATTTGATTTCTTTTTTTAACCACTTTGTACTTTATGAATAAGTACAATATATAATTTCAGTCTATATTACATGCTGTAAACAGAAGAAGATGCACATAATCCTGTCAGAACACTTCTTGATAATCTTTTTTCCAGGACAATATTTATTGTATATGATATTCACTTCTTCAAAATTATTGACAATCTACTATGTTCTGGTTCTGGGAAAAATAAACACCATACATTGTGTTTGCATTGTGAACTTGGAGAGTGAATCTCTATTCTTTGTTGTTGGCAATGTGCTTCATTGTTTGTTACAGTAAAAAGTTATTTTATTGATTGATTTTATTTTTTCTCCAGTTGTATGTAAGCTCCCTGAGGGCAGGGAGCTTTGTCTTACTCACAGTTGTATCCTGGCAATTAGAGCAATACCTGACAGAGGGAAGTGTTCATAAATATTTGTGGAATTATTGTAAGAATGAATCATTGAATAGATAGATGTGCTACACTTATAATTTATAATAAAGTATAATGCAATGCCTCAAAATGTCAGGTTTTAAATGTCTTAGAAAAGTTATGCTAAGAATACTACCAACTGGCAAAGGAATTTATGTTTTATAATATGTCATGTTTAAGAAAAAACTGTAGAATACAAATTTTCCTAAAGCATACTTTGGTTGATGAAATACTGTGATTGGAGGGATTTGGTAGAAAAATACATACTAAAGCATCTAAATCTTCAGTCTGTAACAATCAAAGCTTCAAGAGGATTCTGTAAATTTGTCTATGCCTGGGATAATAATAGATAAGGTTATTAATCAAGTATTAGAATGTGAGTGATAATAATAAAGGTGTTAAGGTTATGATTTAAATGACCCACTATTAAGGTTACAGAAAAGCTAATTTTCACGATGGGTAATAAATTGTTATCCAGAGATATTTTACAAGATGAAACTACAAGATGAAACTAAGAGTTATGTTCCAGTACAGTTTAGATCAATTCACATTTCAGAGCCACTCTTGAAAACTGTGCAACCTCAAGTGTTTTAACCTGAAGAAATGCTCCTTCAGAATGTTCCTTGAACCACTGGATTGATTGAATTAATATTTCCCCCTGCTTTGCCATCCATTCAATATGTTAAAACTTTTGTGCCAGAGGTATTAGACATACTCATTTTCTCAAAACTATGCTATTTCTCATTAATTTATTTTCTTCATATGTATATTCATTAGGAGAGGCACTCCAGGAGAGGAGAAATTATTCTTTAAATATACACAGAATTTCAGGGAATACATTAGAAAAAAACGCTTTATTTTGGTCTTAAAGGAAAAGAAGTTAAGCTTTAACTTCAGTTAATTGAAGGAAGAATAAAATAAGATTAATTGCATATGGATTTTCTAGGAATGTGAAAGGATTGATTGATGATAGAATTGACATTGAAAACATCAGCAAATCTGGTTTGCTACTTGGCACTAGATGAACAGAACTCTCAGTGAGAGATCAGAGCAGTATCCAGGGAATGGGACCTCAGAATGGATACTGACGCAAGTCATTTCCAGAATTATTTAGTAAAAGACAGGATTAAAGGCATCAACTTTCAGGTTTTCATTTAACCTAAAGATCTATGTTTTTCAAGATCTGGTAATATTGTAGTGAAACCCAACCAAGTAACTAACTGCGATGGAAAGGTTCGGCCACTGCCAACTGGCCATGAAGAGGGCCCATGTGCAGGCAAGGAGATAGCTTTTTTCTTTTCATTGTATGAAATCGTACACCTCAGGTCATCTGAATGACATTTTTTATGACTGCTGAATATAGAAATGAGGTAATACAGGAGCTTCCCCTGGAGAGCTGAGTTATGGATTATTCTATCCGAGAATTAGGCAGGCCTTTACTTAAAAGCATTGCTCCAGCTTAATGTCAACAAGACTTCATTACTTCTCCTGCTGGTACTAGAAAAATACTGCTACTGCTGAGGGTTTATACACGTTTTTGTTATAGACCCAATTTCCTGGGGTCGATTTGTCTTAGCAGACATTTTAAGTTACAAATGGTATCTACTCTCAATGTACCTAAGTTGTCAGATCAACTAAAATGGTGTTTTACAAAATAGTGCATCATTATTTTTTTAAGTCCATTAAAATAACAATAAAGATTTCACTGAACAGTCCTGGAGCAGGGGCAGTTATGTTCTTCTTAAGTACTAGCTTTTATTTATCAAGTGAGAAGTGTTCTGATATGTGCCCAGCGTGCTAGTCAAAAAAGAGTTGGGCTGAACACAGGTAGCTTGAGCCTGTAATCCCAGCAACTTGGGAGGCTGAAGTAGGAGAATGGCTTGAACCCAGGTGTTCAAGACCAGTGTGAGCCTTATAGATAGATTCCAGTCTCTAAGAGAAAAAAAAAAATGAAAGAAAAATTAACTGGGCATGATGGCATGAGCCTGTAGTCCCAGCTGTTACTGGAGAGGCTGAGATGGGAGGATCATTGACCCCGGCGTTTGAGGCTGCTGGGAGTATGATCATGCCACTGCACTCAGCCACGGCAACAGAGCAAGACCCTGTCTCTAAAAAAAGAAGAAGAACATTTTTTTTAAGGTAGGATTATTTATAGAAAGTTACTAAAAAATTTAGTATCATGATAATTTGTTACATTTAGAGAAGGAATTCTTATGACTCAATTTTGACAATTCATGACATTCAATCAGTAACATTTATTAAAAAAACTAGTATTTTGAGCAAGGAAAAAAATTTCACCAATTTTTTAAAACTGATTCCTTAAGAATTACCGTAACTCTTGCAGTAACGGCATTTGTTTCTAAAAGCAGAAAATCTTTATTTTAGTTAATATAAGTAAAGCAACCACAACAGTAAACTTTGCTTTTAAAATATATTTAATAAAGATTTTCAACATAAGTATCCTTTAGGGTAGAAAACTAAAATCTAGTACAGAAGATATAATTAGGGAATTGATTTTAACAGAGGATCCAAATAAAACTTGGGAATAGAAATAAACAATATTTCCCTTGTTTGAACTGATACCCCAATTATTACAGATTGTTTTCCTGTATGAAAACATTACATGTGCTCCATAAATATATACAACTATTATGTACCCATAATAATTAAAAATAAAATAAATTTAAAAATCATGCACTTCATTGACATGGAGAACACTTAAAATGCCAGGGGCCATTTCAGGGAAATTGGAATTTAGCCATTGGTAAGTTCAGACACGACTATCACATGCATAGCCCTCTGGCAATATTTATTAGCTTAATGAAATTAGACACTTGAGTGTTAGTGAGAAACTTCCTAGTCAAATTATATTATTGTTATGTAAATATATTCTTAATTGGATCCATCTTTTAATAATGAGGTCATTATAATAAAATATCAATATGAGTCAATGATAATTAACCATCTGTATTAAAGTAGAATGGATTGACTTTCATTAGACATCACTTTTTTCACAGGATGTAGTGGGCTAGGAACAGAGGTGACTCTGCCATAATTCTCCAATATTCCTCCCTAACATTGCCCTACCCTTCCTAATGTAGGTTTTATTTCTTCCAGCAATGTTTGCTAGGGTAAGCGTGCAAAATAGGAGCAGCTCTTCATACTTCTGTACAGAAAAGACCAACACACTTCTGAACATTGATGCAGCTCATGAAGAAAAATATATTAAAGTTAGTTCTATAGATGAGGAACTGGCAATTTTCCGTGAGACTCAGAAAAATTCCTAAATTCTAAAAGCTAAAAAAAATATGGAGACAAGATGCAAGGAAGTCTAATCGCAGATTCTTTCTTCCTCTGCTATTCATATTGAATTCTGTACAAGCCATACCAAGGGAATACACACCGTGAATATTAATGGTTATCTTAATAAAAGGTCTAACATTAGTGGTAGCAGCTCTAATAATAGCTGTCTTCTTCAGACCCTAACATACGCCCTGCCTTGCTTAGCTCAATTCCAATAATCACAGCAGCTGTACAAGATGGCCTGAAAATCTTGCAATTTACAGAAGAGGGTAACTGGGACTCACAGACACAAGACCAAACTGTCAAGTTCACAATGTTCCGAGTTGCCTTTCTCGGCCTTTGGAATCTAAAGCTCGTGTTTCTACCACCACAGCATAACTTTTGAAGAAATGAATTCATGTTGTTGTCAATTAAACTGTTTCCATAGTATTTTTTCTTGTTTATTTCCATCTTTTTAATGGCTAATTGTTGAATGCTATCTAGGTAAGCAGTCAAATAATTCAATACAATTTCTTTATTAATACCCACAACTCCATAGGGCCAATTTAGCTAATTTAGTTTTGGGAACACACAAACCAGATTAAATATTTACAATTCAACTAGCATCTTGGTTATTGATTAATAAGTACTACATCACAGACTGCTTATCAAATCACAAGTAGAATAATCTGCATGACTGACATTTGGGACCAGGTAATTTTTTGTTGTTGTTGTGGGAGCTGTCTTGTGTATTGTAGGATGTTTAGCAGGATCCCTGTCTTCAACCAACCAGATGGTAGGAGCACCCAGTATCACCCCAGCTGAGAACATCGGTACTACATATTATAGTCCTGTGACAGGAATATTAGAATTTATAATAGTGTCTTAATTCAGGCTGCTATAATAAAATACCATAGACTGCGTGGCTTCTAAACAACACAAATTTCTTCCTCACAGTTCTGCAGGCTGAAAGTTCATGATTACGCACTGGCAGATTCAGTGTCTGGTGAGGACTGGCTTCCTGATTCACAGACGGTTTCTTTCTGCTGTGGGTCTTTACATGGTGAAGAAGTAAGGATGCTCTCTGGGGCCTCTTTTTATAAGGGCACTAATTCCATTAATGAGGGCTCCATCCTCATGAGTGATCATCTCCCAATGGCCTCACCTGCAAACATTATTACATTGGAGATTAGGTTTCAATACATGAATTTTGGGGGAACGTGTACACTCATTCTAGAATAAACTACTTAGTTTCTCTATCTTCTAGTTAGGACTAGGATTTCCTGGAGTTTGTCATTCTCTCTTTAGTACCTTGCACTGGCAATATTTCTACTGCTGTCACTAAGTTATGCTTACTAAGGTAAAAGTCGGTCTCTCTTTCTTGGTTCTGCTGGTCAAAATGAGTCCATGTTTTTGAAAGGTAGAACTCATTGTTAAGACCGTATCTCATTTATCTTTCTTATCGTCCTAGGTTTAACCCAATACTTTGTAAAGAGTGAATGTTTGATACATTTTTTTGTTGTTGTTAGTGGTGACAAATTTACCTACATAGATGTGTATGATCTGATTGGGAACACTTGAGAAATAAGACATAAACTTTTAAGCAACCAATAAAATCAAGATACAGTTAAAACTGCAAAGTGCTTCTTAAAGAAAAATTACCTCTAAATGTTTTGTGTTTTAAGGAATTGGTGTACTGATCCTTCACATTTTTAAGTGGAAATCTTTTATTCTTGCTTAGAAAACAATAAGTCATAACACAAAGAGAGGACATGATGAAAAATCATATATGACCATGCACAGTCAAATATATATGTTTAAAATACCAATTATCTCACCATTTTTGAAGTCAATGGTTTTCTACTTGAGTCAATAGTTTTCCATTTATTCTCCAATTCTGTTCAATAGTAAACGGCTAAAATGGACCTTATTTGAGTTGCCTGGCAGAGGGACACTCATCTTAAATGTAGATAAGATACTCAATTTTCCATTCTGGGCACTATTATCAAATCTGTATTATTTTTTAAATGTAATTTGAGTTTGCCATGGTTTATGCAGTCTCATTGTCCTTCCTAGCTTCTCTCCATGGATAACCCAACTTCATCTATCATTTCTGCAATCACAAACCAGGCTGCAGCAGCTACTTCTAAGCATACCACTTTCACTTTTCACACTTCTCTTGGAGTTGCCTATAGCTGATATGTGTAACTAACTACTTAACTTCCATTTCTAGACATGGAAATTAGCTTCTGGACTGGATCCAAGTGAGTCAAATTATTTTTTAGACCCTCATTAAGACTGAGTTGAATGAGATTAACAAGAAAAAAGTTTACTAGTTTTTTCTTTCATCCTAATGAAAATTTTTTTGTAAGTATAAAAATGGTGAACAATACCAGTTGGAATAAAACTTGAAATGTCATCTGTAGGTTGATGGAAAACTCACAGCAAATTTATAAATGTAGTTGTAATTATATAATTAAGTAGTTATGCTTTGCACTAAAGATCAATCTCTTGATCATTTTTTTGAGATTACCATGAGCTATTTTACATTTTACAACTCAATAATAAAGATGAAGTAGCTAAAGAATACACATTATATCTTATCTTGAAACAGGGAGACTGTTTCTACTTATCAGAACTAGAAGTTCACGGCCTAAAGAAAATATTTATGTGCTAAGCACACACAGAGAGAGATACCCAAATTTAATTTAAATACTTGGCAAATACCAAGAATCACTGTCTGATAGACACTTCATAGGTTTCACAGTCTGCTCAATGTCTTTCTTCTATATTTTCAGATTGAGCCCAGCAAAAAAAGTTTCCAATAGGCATATACAGTATTCTACAATATTTTTTCATTTATTAAAAATAGCAGGGAATATCTGGGAACTGTCTCATGGTAGCAAATTCTTGCTGATATTGAGGGGGGAAAATCCATTTTTGGTTTTGTGGTTTGCAAAAAGAAAAAAAAGACATAATTTGATTTAACATACTTATTGTATCTATGCCCTTATTTTATTTTATTTTTTGCCTTACGAATTTTTTTCTATATAGTTTCTCTTTCTCCCATAAATGAAACAAAGTTGGCATCACTAAACATTTTAAATAACTGGAAAAATCACAATTTAGGTATGGTTACAATCATGTTTTAGAGGTTTTCCAAATATTATACCTAAAAATGATATTTAGATTAGATTTTATCTGTTTTAAAAATGAAATTACAATATAGCACCTACGTTTAAATGCTTAAGCCCACCAACATGGTCATATGTATGGTGCAGGTTAATATTTTTTTATGTGTACCTCAGAATATAATTCCTCCTGTCATCTCTATGCACATACCTGAACTGCTAGCAAATGGGTCATTTATTAGGAAATGTGTAACACTGCAGTTTTTTTTAAATATATATAGGTTAGCCTTATATATATTGGTCATGAAAAACTGGTACAGGTTGAACACTAATACCTCACATGTGCGCCATGGACTATTAAACATCAAAACATCCAGCAAGGCTGGTGTTTGTTGGCTGGGCACGTGATCTTCTCTTGCACATTCCTGAGGGAGCCCGAATCGATCTCACTGTGATGACAAAGGATTAAAGACAGCTTTAGATTTAAGCTTGGAGTGATACTTTTCTCCATTTATTGACAAATCCTTTGAGCAGTTTTTAGATCTCTTGGTCTTAACATTTTGACACAAAATATTCTATTGTTTTATTTTTAGCCTTTCAAATTATTTGCATTCAAGATGACCCTGAGATTGTGAAGCAAGTCGATAAAACACAGAGACTATTGTTGACTATTTACATATGGAAACCAAGAGAGATGTTTTCCATTTTATACAACCAAAACGAAAGATGAAGAGATTTAAATCTTTGGAAAAATACTCAACGCAGAGGCATAGCTAAGGTTAACAGCTTGGGAAATATGACAGGGGTAGGGTCTGGGGAAGTATCGAACAGAAAAAAAAAAAAGAACCACAATATAAAGAATATATAGATAATGTCAAAAAAATTTTAAAATATATGCCATGGTTAAGGCAGTGACATTTTCTTAAATGTTATCTCTCATGTTTAGGGGAGTATTTATCATGTTGCTGAAAGGTGAACAAAAGGGTATATCAAGATTTTAACAACACAGAAAATGATATTTGTTTTGGTTTCAAAGTTACTCAAACCCCCAAATTTTACTTTTTGAAATCTAAAAAGATCTCTTGAAAAAAAAACAGAATTATATATTTTTTATTTCAAGTTCATTGAAATAGTTTCTTTAGGCATTAGTTGTCTTTAAAATAAAACAAACAAACAAAAGCAAAACCAAACAAACTCTAAGAATTTTGAAAGTGTAGTAAAGTGAGAGATTGGGCTTTAAAAATCAAATTAATTGCTACCTTAATGAGATAATAGGAAAGAGTTTAGCAAGCAAGCAGAAATGCTCTAAGGTTGCATTCATCCAATAATGTTTTCGTATTATGGTAGCAGTAACTTTAAATACATTTCAAGACTGTTAAAATGTAGGGTTTTAAATGTTACCAAATGGTAAAAAGTAGAAGTTTAGAATTTTACTGATCAAATACTTTTTGAAATGGAAAATATTGTAGAAATCAGTCTTACGGTCTCAGTTGGGAAGGGAAGACTTCTAAGTGTTTCCTCAGGGCTTCTATATCATTAGTAAAATTTAGAGGTTTAAAAATCAACCACATGCCCTGGCCGGGCTCCTTCTTTTACACAAAAGAGTTTCCACCTGCCCTCCACTTGTTTCCAGCCATGAAAGTCTAGACAAAGACTGTTTCATTCCATGTATTCTGGATTTTTCACATTTTCAATATTCAAGAGACAGAATCTTAAAATATATCATTAAGAATGATTGCCTGGAGGTTGCCATCAACTTAGGCTGAAGCTATTTAGTAGTTTGAGGTCTTTAAAATGAACACTATGAACAACAAAAAGCAGTGTTAAAAATGTCTTTGAAATCTATACCAAATAAATATTTTGATAAGCTTTCTAGGAAATTACCCAAAGGGAATAATATATACTTATTTTTTAGTTAAACTTAAAGCCTTAATGACCCCTCAAAATGAAAACTTAAAACTCTGCCCCTAACGTTTCACCTTACTCGATTAAGTTCATACGACAGGACTCGAAATATTCTAAGACTGAGCTGAGTGCAGTGGCTCACGCCTGTAGAGAGCTTGGGTCTGTTGGCAGGTGGGGGAGGAAAAACTAGGTATGATCACCTGCATTTCTAGCTATTAGGGAGCAGGTGGCAGGATCCCTGGAGTTTAGGATTTACAGGCTCCAGTGAGCTATGATAGCGCCAGTGTTCTCCAGCCAGGGCAACAGAGAGAGAACCTGTCTTTAAAGAAGGAAAAGAGAAAGAAGAAAATAAGTATTCTAAGACTAAATTACCTGAAATTGAATACCATTTTGTCTTATAAACATTGTTTTTAAAATAATTATAAAGTATAAATGCCATAGATAATGATGTAAAATAAAGGGTTAACGGTGGATTATCTATATACACAAACGTACGTCCCTTAAAAAAAGTGTAAAGACAAAGGAAAAAGATAAAACAGTATGAGAGTAATTTGATCTAGTTGAAAGATGACCAGCAATGACATTAAGTCACAAAGGAATTGAACTTGAAGGAAACAATATACATTTCTTAACAATTAGCAATTAAAGCACACAATAAAAGTGGCATCACTTTATCATCTTTCATTGTATGAAAACACTAATACCAAACATTAAGGAGTCACATAAACTATTAATAATGCACTTAAAAGAACTGAAGTGGGAGCATAAACAAAGATATCTATGGCAGCTCATTCCCGGGTGCTGGCTGATGCCTCTCATAGGGTCTACTGAAATCAATTTTAGAAAGAAATTCTTTGCTCTCTAGTATAATACATGTACTTAACCACAGGAAACCTTTTAAATAAACAGGGTGCTTATGTGTCATTATTCACACTGTGTAGCCACAATCCAGCATCAGAGAAAAGCAAAGAGCTGACAAGACATACTTATATAAAAAGAATGATATCTTGTGATGGAAGACATGATATATTCTCAAAATACATATACACCAGCTTTAAATGGGAGGCCAAGATAACGGAAAGAAAGAATGAGGTTTCGATTGAGGATGCTTAGATAAGAAAAGCGCAGAGCCCCCTTTCCTGGGTCAAGTTGCTTTTCAGTGCCAGCTCACCTTTGTCAACTTCCTAGGTCAAATGTCATGGGAAAGGAAAATAATGATCCAAATCAGTAACTTTAAATGATAGAATAAATAGAGAAAACAATTGGCTGAGAGAAAGCTGACTCGATTGTAACGTTTAGCTACTAGAGAAGATGAAAGTTCAAAGAACTTAACATGAAGTGTAAGGAGATAATAAGTTTTGCTCATTGTTAATTTGTCTCATGATTCTGTCAATGCGTACTGGTCACGTGACTTTCACAAGGAAAATGCATTATTCACCACAGCAGATCATCTTCCTCATTAAAAACCAAAGGTACAATGTGGGTTACTGTGACTTTTAGAACTTCTAAGGGCCTATACTAGAGAACTTCATAGTCAAGTTTTCTAGATCAAGTAAATAAATACATATGCATATATATATATGTTCATATTGTATACACCAAGTAAAAAAATTCATACATATGTATTCACATTCTCCTTTATATAAATTAAATATGTTCATGTATATATACATATACATCTTTGCCTTTAAATATTATTTGTGTTATTATTTTAAATACCTTTGGCATAAACTTTTGTTCAACCTTACTATTTTAAAATGAAACTACACACCCCCATCCTGGTACTTACTTTGCATTATTTTTTTCTATATTTTCTCATTAAGAAAACATGGAGAAAGAGAAGAAGGAGTCTCCCTAACTTTCCATTTTCAGGCTAATTAAATTATAGACCAGTGGGATAGCATAGAGAGCCCAGAAATAAATCCACGTGCTATTCATTTTTGACAAAGGTGCTGAGGATATACAGTGGGGACAGGACAGTCTGTAATAAATGGTGCTGGGAAAACTGGATATTCATATGCAGAAAAGTGAAACTGGATTCCCATCTTTCACCATATACAAAAAATGATTCAAAATAGATGAAAGGCTTAAATGGAAGACCTGAAACTACGAAACTACTAGAAGAAAACACTGGGGAAATGTTATGGGACACTGGTTTTGGCAAGATTTTCTGGGATAAGACATCAACAGCACAGGCAACGATTGTAAAATACACAAATTGGATTACATCAATCCAAAAAGCTTCTGCATGGCAAAGGACACAACAAAGAGACAACTCACAGAATGGGAGAAAATGTTTGTGAACTGTTTTATTTAACAAGGGATTTATAAGCAGAATGCATAAGGAATTCAAAGTGCTCAGCAGCAAAAAACAATCTAATTACAAAGTGGGCAAAAGACCTGAATAGACATTTCTCAAAAGAAGACATACAAATGGCCAACAGCTAGATGAAAAATTGCTCATTATCACCGAGTCATGGAAATGCAAACCACAACCACAGTGAGATACCATCTCACGCCAGTTAGAATGACTAGTATCAAAAAGACAAAAAATGAATACTGGTGAGGATCCTAAGAAAGGGGAACCCTTTTACACAGTTGGTGGAAATGTGAAGTACTGCAGCCATCAGGAAAAGCAGTATGGAGGTTCCTCAAAAAAAACAAAAAATAAATCTAACATAATTCATCAATCCCACTGTTGTGTATAAATTCTGAAGAAAGGAAATTAGTATTTTGAAGAGATGTATGTACTCTCTTGCAGCATTGTTCACAACTGTCAAGATATGGAATCAACCTAACTGTTCATCAATGAATCAATGGATAAAGAAAATGTGTACATATACACAATGGAATATTATTCAGCCATGAAAAGAATAAAATTCTGTCATTTGTAGCAACATGGATGAAACTGTAGGTCACTGTGCTAAGTGAAATAAGCCAGGCACAGAAAGATGAGTATCACATGTTCTCATTCTCATGTGGGTGCTAAAAAAGTGGATTTCATTGTGTTAGTCCGTTTTCACACTTCTGATAAAGACATACCCAAGACTGGGCAGTTTACGAAAGAAAGAGGTCTAATGGACTCACAATTCCACGTGGCTGGGGAGGCCTCACAATCACGGCGGAAGGTGAAAGACACCTCTTACGTGGCGGCAGACAAGAGAAGAGTGACAGCCAAGCAAAAGGGGTTTCCCCTTATAAAACCGTCAGATCTCACGAGCCTTATTCACTACCGCTGGAACAGTATGGGGGAAACCACGCCCATGATTGAATTAGCTCCCACTGAGTCCCTCCAACAACACGAGGGGATTATGGTAACTATAATTCCACATAAGATTTGGGTGGGGACATAACCATATCGCTCAGGAAGGTAGAGAGTCAAATGGTGGTTAGCAAGGGCTGAGAAAGGAATGAGGAGGGGGAGACGAAGATAAGTTGGTTAAGGGGTACAAAAATACAGGAAGATAGAAGGAACAAGACTCAGTATTTGCTAGTAGGTAGGGAAATTATAGTTTACAATAATTTATTGTATATTTCAAAACTCCGAAAAGAATTAAAGAATTAAAATGTTCTTAGCACTAATAAAAATGTTTGAAGTGATGCATAGTCCAATTACCTTGATTTGATTGTTACACAGTGCATACAAATATCGAAATATCACATGTATCCTCAAAATATACACAACTATTGTATATCAATTTAAAAACACTGAAAAGTAAGTCTCTGTCTCAAAAAATAAATAAAATGAAATATATAATAGGTAGTATTGTAGCATGCAGTTCACTGAGTTATTTTGTCCAAAGACAGTAAGATTTTGTTTAGACCATATGAATGATACTCTCAATTTTATAAACTAGACTTTTAAAATATAAATCACAATGCTTAAAAAATGTATTTGTGGCTTTCTGAACAGCCTCTATAATACTTAGGCATATATGCTCTCTCTATGGAGGAAAATATTACATCAAATAGCATTTTTTTAAAGAGGGACAAGAAAGTGTGTTTTAGACATCTGTTTTTATAAGTTAAATCACTCACCTAACCTTGATGGATCCACTCTTAAGGATCAAACTCTTCTGATTTTAAAGAGAATTACTTTGCTTTCCTAATTCACGGCTGTTTCCTATCTAATTGCCAAGATTTTAAAAAGAAAGAATTGTGAAAATTTCCACACTGCTTTGGAAGAAGATGTAATCATGGATCTCCTCCAGCAGCTAAAAAGTGGCCTATAACCTAATTGGAAATTCTTGCATAGAGGAATTTCCTTTAAATAGTAATGAGTTAAATATCTTTGTGTGTGTGTGAACAGCTGTAGAGTGTTAGCAAGAGTAGTTGCACTTTATTTTCCCAAAATTTGTGCTAAGTGCTATTCCGATCACAAGTTTAGTTGATAAAATCAAGTTGAAGTGGAAACTAAGATAGATATACAAGCACAGTATAACTCATGAACCAATAGCCTTCACCTTAAAGTTATTATTTTTATAATGTGCGTATAGAGAATATTCACTTTTTCCATGACTCATAATTGACAGGGCCTTACCTTTCTAAGGGAGATTAGACAACACAGTCTAATTAGTTCCATAGCTGTTTGAGGCAAAAACTATCAGAGTATAGATACTGCACTAATTCTACTTTACTTTTAAGGGCATTAGGACACTTTTGAAGACAAAAGAGCATCTTGTGTGTTTGTGTTGTAGTTTATTGCACGGAGCATTTTCAGGTGGAAATGTTTTTGCTATTTTCAGCTTGTTATTAAGTGCTTCTTCCCTGGATGCCAAGGTAGGCACAGAGTCTACCTTTTAGTGATTGGGACAGTGCCATGTCCTATAAATGCAGCCACATGATGGTGTGAGGTCTAAAGGCTTGCTTCTTTTACATTCTGATGGCTTATATTACACCAGTAAGACTAAAAACAACAGAAAAGCAAAGAAAGGGAGGAGAATTTAGAAGCACCTTCTTTCCCCTCCTGAAGCAGAGCACCGGTGGCCTGGGTTTCCGACAACGGCATGAGCCCTAGCATCATCACCTATGAAGAATATTGTGGTTTGTTCAATAGAGATAAAGCACAGCGTATCCCCAAATGTTCACACTTTTTGTCTGCCTTCTCTGTATATTTTCCAAGATCTTTATTACTACCATGGCTTTCTCTTTTCTCGGCAGATCTGACAGAGGTTGGGCATTGTTACTTGGTGATGATGATGCTACTTCTTTAGGACTCACCAACTCCCATGAGAAAAGCCTGTACATCTGCTGAGGCTCAGTAAACACAGCCGGGCGGCAATAATAAGGGATGTCCGGGGGGCCCCGCCAGGCCTGCTTCTCTTTCATTCCACGAGATTAAGTACCCAGTGGTTCCCAATACTCACCATGCTTTATGTCTCAGTCATCTTTTTCCTTGAATATTCACCTGCAAAATACTTATTCCTTTTAAGGTCTCTTCTGGGAAATGGGTAATCTACCTTAAGTTTTCCAGTTACTTTTCTCATTTCACATTGAACGTGTGCATTGCTATGGATACCATCACTCAATAGTGTTACTCTTCTTAAATATGTTTTATTTACTTAACAGTACTCAAATATATAGTATTGCTAAATAAACTTACACTGTATATTTATCAGTCATAATACACCAGGTATTTTTTCAGGACCTCTCTTTGACACCTTGTCTTTTAATATTTGCATCCTCAGGATCTAGCACTGAGTGTGGCCCCTAAAAATTGTTCAGGAAATACTTGCAGAATCTGTTAAGATCACTTGCATCACCAGAGTCTCTGTTTGGCTTCTAGCAATGGTTTCTTCCACTCTACTGAAGATTTAGACCTCTTTGCCCTTTTCTTGGGGCCTTTGAGAGTTGGGATTTTTAAGATTGAATACATAATCATCCAATGAAACTGTTGTTTTATTTTTCTTTTATTTTGAGTTTTGCAGTTTACAAAAATGGAATTTCAAAGAGACTCTAGTGAACACAAAGAAAAAGAATTTCTCTACCGGCTTGTTTTTCAGATTCTTATTATTATTTTAGAGATGTCCTTCTGAGAGAAGGAAAAAGTGTGTTCTCAATAGGACTTAACACATCAAAGCAATAATCTACAACTCACCCATATTAATAGGAATGGACGAAATTAATTCAGATTCATTGACATTTGTATTTAAATATATTGTAGAATTCGATTGTCATACTCTTAACTGCTAAATTACATATTCCTTTAATACTAAAATACCTAAGACATTTTAGATAGATCAGAATTCAATGGTAGGTTATGTAACTACTCTAAAATTAAAGCCTTGCTCCAGATAACCTAAATGCTGATAAATGATAGCTAAATTGCTCTCACTCATCACCTTTAAAGACCCGGAATATTAAAATATCCCGAGAAGGCTGTGAATCTCAGTCCGAAATCACAGACGTGCAAGCATATTTCATTCTGAGTTTTCTATGGCATCAATTTAAGTTTGAGCTTAATACAATAATGTTTTGATTTCAGAGTCTTATGAAATGCCAAAGCATGTGTCTGTGTGTGTGTTTTGGGCTACGGACAAGGGAGGGCTGTCTCAGTCACTTCGGACTGCTAGAACACATTACCTAGACTGTGTGACTTAGACAACTGAAATTTATTTCTCACAGTTTTAATGACTAAGAAGTACAATATTATGATGCGGGCAGATTCACTGTCTTGTGAGGCCCTCTTCCTGGTTTGTAGGCAGCCTCTTCTCACTGTGTTCTCACAGAGTGGAGAGCGGCAACAGAGAGCAAGCTCTGACATTTCTTCTGAAGAGGGCACTAATGCCATTCATGAGGACTACACTGTCATGATCTAATGACCTCCTAATACCATCACATTGTGGGGTTAAGAGTTTAACACAGGAATTCTGGGAAGACACAGGCATTCAGTCTATAACAGAGGTCATTTGTTGTCTGTTCACTGCAATATCACAATAACATCCACTTATCCCTTGCCTTACAGGTCCTATGGAACTCCCAGCTTCTCTCTCTTTCTGCGCCATATTGGTGACCTTACATTTCTGTGAGGTCCTATCTACTTTGATTACCTACTCACTGCCTTCCTTGTCCACCAGTCAAAAGCTATACCTGGGTCTGCATTTCTCGGCCCTCTCTTCTCTTCCTCCTTTACCTAAATCATTCCTCTCTCTCCGATCTTCTTACATCAAGTGCACCTGCTTTTTCCCAGTGAACTGCTTTTTTTTCCATTGCACCTCTTTAAATATTGTACATTCACTTATACAGTCTTAGAGTTTGGAAAACATGTGAGAAACACTTTCAAATAACTTTGGCCTCTTTGGAAAAAGAAAATGAAAAGAATGCTAAATGAAAACAATGAATGTTTTAAGGCAGTATTCATCCACCGCTGAAATGGAAGTTAGACAGAGATTAGCTTTCTGGTCTAAATCTCAGCTTTTGTCCGGCTGGCTGGTGCTATTCATTTCCTGTTTGCCCCACACCAGTGCACTCCAGTTACCAGAACGGCAAGAGGGGATGTGTTCCAGAAACAGAGGGGGAAATAGTAAAACAAATGTGTGCTCCAATTACTTATTTTTATTTCTTGGATTCTAATACATCAAGTATATTAAACAATCAGATAGATTGGAGATGAAATTCAATAAATGTATCACAAAAATATGCCTGCTGCTTTGCATTTTCACTAATATAAAAATTAGTAATTTCTAAATAACTGTTGAACAATTTTTACCTCTTCCAACTTTGTTCTTTCAGTTTAGCACATGACTTCAACTATCTTAAACACAGCTAAACATTACAGAAACAATGTTTAAATTTTTTAGAAAAGTTAATTTTGCCCTGCAAATAAAAATATATTGTAGATGACTAAATCTAATTTAATTGTTTGAAGTCTCATCTTATTTAATCAAAATCAGGTACCAAATTCCTACAAGAGTGGAGTTTGTCCCATAATCTGGATGGATGGATGTATTCTAAATTTGTTCACAAGGGTATCTGAGAAGATATAAATAGATCAGTGGGTTAAAAAAAATAACCATCATTGTCTGGAAAATTGCTAAAAATACATTCAACAAAACAATGGGCAATAGCCCAGTAGTTTATTCTTAGAAGAACGGCACATTTATTTTTTGTGTAGGACATAAATGAAGGGCTCAAGTAACTTCCAGCTTTTTTAAGAAGTTATTGAGGAATCAAAATACCATAGAGTAGTAGTTAATAAGTCCATCTGTGCTCCAAACCTGGCCAGGTCACTTTATGTGACGCTATTTAGTTTCTTTGTGTATCAGTTTTCTCATTTTTAAAATGGTTAATAAAATGAATTTATCATATAGCTTGTAAGAGTAAAGGAGCTAATACAAGTAATGTGCTTAGAACAGTAAATTCCATGTAAAAGTCAGCTGTTAATAGTCTAACCAGCATTAAGAATCATCTGCAGAAAAAAAAAATGGGTCAGTGTTACTGAGCCTTCTGTAAATAAAGGAAGTGTCACTAAATGAAAACCTCAACTTGTCTGTGTGGACTGCGCAGCATTAAAATCCTTAAAAGTGACTACGGCTCCTTTGTTCTATAGTTAGAATTGCACGTAAGTCAAGACTTCTCTACATGTGTGTCTCACCTATGGCTCTGTTTCTCGTATATTACATTGTATATTTGTCAGTCATAATAGACCAGGTATTTTTTCAGGACCTCTCCTTGACACCTTGTCTTTTAGTATTTGCATCCCCAGGATCTAGCACTGAGTGTGGCCCCTAAAAATTGTTCAGGAAATACTTGGAGAATCTCCTAAGATCACTTGCGTCACCAGAGTCTCTGTTTGGCTTCTAGCAATGGTTTCTTCCATTCTACTGAGCATTTAGACCTCCTTGACCTTTTCTAGAGGCTCTTGAGAGCTGGGATTTTTAAGATTGAATACATAATCATCCAATGAAAATGTTGTTTTATTTTTCTTTTATTTTGAGATTTGCACTTTTTAAAAAATGCAGTTCTGAAGAGACTATAGAGAACATAAAGAAAAATAACTACTCTACCAGCTTGTTTTCCAGATTCTTCTTATTATTTTAGAGATGGCTTTCTGATACTTACATTATTTCTATCTAATACAATGTTGAGCTCTTGCTGGAGGGAAAAAAAAATGATTCCATTTTGGAAGTTACTATGGAGGAGGAAGTTAAAGAAAAATAGCTTTCTAATTCATCTCATTGTGAAAACATAATTCCTTTATTAGTTGAATGTCTTCCTTTCTCTCCCCTGTGAATGGGAACATGTATGAATTTGAAATTATGTTCTACATTCTCCTCCACAGTTGGAAAAGGAGGGAAAGACAGACACACCCCTGGACTCAGAGGGTTCTGCCTGCCTCACCAAGGTCTGGAAGGGTCACTTTCTGCCTTCTTTCCCTTCCATTCTTTCTTCAAATAATTGTCCATGAAACTATATGCAGTTGGAGCCTGATGGTCTTCCCCTTACCACCTCCCCAAGTGAAAATGGTTTCCTTGTTGAATTTGTGAGAAGCCTTTCCCCAAGTCTCTTGCTTTGCTTGAATCCCAGAGCTTAGATTTCCGAGAAAATAAACTATGCAGTAGGAATAGGATTGGTGTGGCTCCTGGGACGGGGCTACACAGACAACTTATATCTCAAACTCTGGAAGACGATCATTGTAAACCCTTGAATGTGGCAGGGGCATGGCAGGTCACTGTGAGATTAGCTTCTGTTAAACTGAGGGCTTGAAAATCTGTGTTTCTCACCTAATGAGTTTTAAAAGGAATTTCGTTATTTGCCATAAATGTCAGTGTGATCAGATGATGCTATGAACTTTTAAAAACGTTCACAAAATGGGAAGAACTATAAGAAGTAAACCATTTATGAGTCATAAATAAGGAAACATAAATGAAGTATTAGGCAAAGTTGTAGGTTTCACAGCCCAGTAATGATAACGGGAAACTGGCCAGCACATTCCCCACCTCTTTTGGGAGAATGTGCTTTGCCATGCCTGGAATTCTTTTTAAAATGTGCAGGCAAACATTCGAAGAATTTAGGGGTTATTTTTATTTTTGCCAAAATGCTACTTTTACTTCAAAAAAGAAAAGAAAAAAAAAACTCCAAAAACTTGTTCCAAAAGCAACACGGACTTTTACAGAACTCATCCATTTCTACTTAAAAAATGATATTTTAATTAAGTAAAGATATACATACATTAATTAAATTTAGGGTTTATATCATTTTAAAAATCCGTATTGTACTTTAGAAAAATTGAATGGAAATTGCATTAAATTTAATTGACATTAAATTTAATTAAAGTCAATTGACTGAAATAAATGTTTGCTGTTCAAAATAAATTTCATAATTCACCCATTGCATAGAATGTTGCAACACCACTTGTCAGTTGCCATGTGGCTGGTGCCCAACTCAGGTGAGGACTGCCTGGCCTCTGAGATCAACCTTGATTCTGGCTTTTCTTTTGAAGAAAGGAAAATAGTAGGAAAGGTACCGAAGACAGGAAATTTCAGGTATCAGATATCAAGCAGCCCACATGAGCTCACATAACAATTCTCCCTATGAAAAGCAATTATATTTTCTGAGATTTCTTTTTTAAAAATTCCTACCAATACCTAATGTTGGAGTCTAATATGACTTAAGCTTCACTTGCCTCTATTTATATATCTCTAGATATCAACATGTGTTACTTGCCCTTTTTTCAGTTTTCTACAATGACTTTTGCATACTTTCTTAAACCACATTACTGAATATTATTTTCAACTTAGCTGTAGAGCAAGCAATAGTCAACCAATCATCAACTGTTTATTTGTCTGCCAAATGTCCACCACTTTTGTGCCACAGAACTAGAAATTAGGAAAACACAATCAAGTCAAGCTTTTAGAGAAAAACGTGGCTTGAGCTGCATATGACTGGAAGTGAAAAGACAAAAGGAAAAGGGGGTGATCGTGAGGTGCTGTGCATGACTTTTAGCATACTACAAACATTAGCTCATTTAATCTGTCATAAAAGGAAAACATTGCTGTATCGGTTTTCCAATTGAAGACTTGAGGACCAGAATGATTAAATCACTGTCAAGTCCTTCATTGCAAATCCTAAATTCCAGATTCTCATCGTCTAGAACGTTATTTATCTCAATAGCCTTCTAACAATCTGTCAGTTCAATAGAGTAACCATTTCTTAGCACTTCATACAAAGTCCTTCATCTGATTCTGTCTGGTGATCTGTAATCCCCACTGTCATTCTTGCACGCATACTGTCATTCCAAACAGATCTCACAAATATGTAGTCACAAATATGCTTGTCTTCCTTACGTGTGTGATTCCTGCTGCTCTTAATGGACTTCACTGCTCAGGATTTTTCTAAAAACGTTTCTCCTTTATGAAGCCACTTTCTCCCTTGCACATCCAGCACAGATGTGTGCTTTCTCAACTGTTTCCACCTCCATCGCCAGTATCTGCCACGTCGAATCATAATCACTTCGTCTCTCCTAGGAGTGAGAGTGCCTCCCTTGAAGGCAATTTCTTCATTATATTCACCTTAATGTCCCTTGTGCCAAAGACAGCATCTGATTAGCATCTGGTACATGGTAGATACTCAGGAAATATTTAGTATAATAGTGAATGATCAAGGCATGAGCTAAGATAATTTTTAAATGATTTAAGCAAGACTAAATTAGAAGAGGAAACTGAGATTTCAAACATGAACAATTTAGTCTGTGCTCTAGGAGGATCAAACATAAAAACAGCTTTTGGTTTTGTCTTTTTCTCGTACTCATTAAGCAGGAAGTAACTGAAAATAGTCATGAATTCTTATATTTTTCCTAAAATCTTCTCCAAAGCTGACCAAAGGGGAACCTGAATAGTGTCTCTCAAGTGTGGAGACTTATATAAACTCTGTCCATATTTTTCACGTTCAATGAGAATTCTGTACATATTTAATATGCAGTGGCTTTGATGTACAGTGGGGGTAAGCTAAAGTCTTTTAAGTGGAGAAAATGACGAACATTTCTCTTTCACTTACTTAGATACAACTGTTGCAATAAATGACTTGGAGCCTCCTCATGCTGTGAAGTCTTAAAATTCCCTGCTCCCCACTCTAAGCATTTACACAGGTTTCATGGACTTAATGAAATTTTTTTAGGAGAAGCTTTGCTAGGTTTTCATCACAAGATGTTAGTTTTTTTTGATGTTGTGTGCCTGTATGAAGACTGGATTTATGTGCCTAGTAGGAAATTAAACAAGACATTCACCACTTTTGAGTTTCTCGGAACCACAGTTTGGTGCCTACGTTGCTCACATTTTTAAATGAGTTACATTCCCAACTGCTGAAAAGTGAGGAGTTCCCTGAGGACAAGAGGGGGAAATTGCAAGTTTCTTCATGAGCTCCCCAGGGATGATTTCCTTTACTATGGTCAGCCTGGAATAAACTGATCACAGAAAATAAGCTATTTCATTTTGTATATGGGTATTTTCACCCATTTCCCTGGGAGTCTTACCAATCTGGATAAGTCTCCTCTCTGGCAAGGTTAGCCAGGGACCAAAGAATCCAGATGCTGCTAAGAGGCTGCTAACTTTCTCTTAAGTCAAGGACCAATGCAGAAACTCCAGTTAGTTTTTCCTTAGGATCTCCTAGGCAGTCGTTTCTCATTTGCAAGCATGAATTAGAAGAAAGTCCTATTAAAGGGTAATCAACTCCACTGTACACTACTGTGTCTATGACATAGCATTCAGAATATATGGACAACAATCAAATCCTAGTCATTTCCAGTCTCATAATTCCTCACAGTCTCTCCCTGATACTTTTCTGCTGCTAATTCTAGTAGAGAATTAATGATATTTCCTGAAGATTAATCCTTCCCTTCTGAGTGTCATGGACCCTACAACACCTTCTCATTTTTGTCATCTACTCAGCATAAAACATGCAGTCAGTATTTTGTTGCAATAATTTTCCTCCAGCCACTCCCTTTCCTGATTATTTGTGAAAATCCATAGCTCCACAGTATTTTTATTTTAGCATGGGAAGCTCAGAGAGTTTCTCCTGAATGGATCAATGTATCTGACTCCTAAACAGACAGGCATTAGCATTAGAACAAAATTATGAGTATTAGAACAAAATTATCCCTAACACACTTGAAGACCCTAACTAGTTAATCTCATATGACATAATTCAGTCCGTAGAACCAGGTTTGAGCCTGTTTATGTCTCTCCCTGAGGCCCCCAGGGTGAAAACCTGTCTCTTCAGAGCTCAGCCTCTACACTGGGTAACAGGGTGACAGTCCTCCAGGTCTAGATAACACATCTCTTTATCCAGAGTTTGGCACCATACCCAGAAAGCCTTCCATTTACTATCCAGACATTCTGGAAGAGATTCTCAAAATAACTATGTCTCATGGTCAATGTCAATTAAGGGTGAAATCTGTCCAGACTACTCTTACCGAAGAATTCCTTCAGAGCAGACACACGGTGAAGATAAGACCACTGATCCCACTCTACCCTCCAGCCAGGCAGGGCTCATTTCTAAGCCAGCTCTCAGTCCAAGCATTGGCAGGCCTTCATTTTGCAGAGGACAATTATTCTTGCAGGAGAATAACTCATCTCATTTTTTAAAATTTATTTTGTTATTCTTTTATTAAATGTTCACCCTTTTAAAATACTTCATGTATCTCTAAATTGTATTCATTTAGACAAAGTCCTTGAAGACAAAGGCCTTGTCCTCTGTGTCCTGCCTGCAGTGCCCAGCACCACGGCAAATTGTAATATGGATTGATGGCAATGATATTCTCCTCAGGTAGAATTGAGACTGTTTTCAGGGTTTGTTTCTTAGAAGAATTTTTTTTTACAAACAATATATCATTCCTATGTTTAAAATAAACATTTCCAGGCCAACAGTGACAATCACAATTTCCATATCACTGTCAAACAACATTTATGTATATGCATTGCTTATTTTTCTCATAATTTACATCTGAATTACTAGAGGTTATTTTTGAGGCGGTAAAACATAAGTCTGTATGTACCCAAACTTGATGCCTATCGTTAATATTTAGTGATACTCTTTGAAAAGTTTCCAAGTTTGCATCGTGTTGTAATTAGGCTCAAGTTTAATCCCAGAATAACTTTCTGTTCACAGCAGAAGCAGAAAATGTCTCCTCTTTTATAGACTGACATCTGGGTTCACCAAAGGTTCCATCTGTAATCAAATATGCCTTCTCCCCAGTTCTGCCCCAGGAATCCATGCCTAGGTGACTGCGTGTGGAGTTTATAATATTAGTTTTCTGTAACTGCTGTAACAAATCAGTACAGACTTGGTGGCTTAAAACATGGACCAGAAAACTATCTTTTCTCAGTTTGGAGACTAGAAGTCCACAATCAGTGCCTCTGGGCTGACATAAAAGTACCCATAGGATGGCACGCCTTCCGGAGGCTCTCAGGGAGAATCCGTTCCTTGCCTCTTCCAGCTCTTGACAGCTGCTGGCAGGCTCTACCTCCTCTTCACATTGCCTCTTCTGTGTGTCAAGTGCCCCTCTGCCTCTCTCTTCTAAGGAGGCTAGAGAATAGCATTCATGCCCACCTGCATAATCCAAGATCATCTTCCTGTTTTAAGATCTTAACTTCATTACATTTGCAAAGACCATTTTTCCAAAGACAGTAACATTTACAGGCTCAAGGGATCAGGAACAGAAAACCTTGTGGAACATCACTCAACCTACCACAGAGGGACAAAAAAAGAGTAAAAACTGAAAGAGGTGACTTACAACAATATCCTTGGGACATTGCAACATTGGCTGCATTAGTGACAGATGTGTTTGTAATAATAGGAGACAATGCCTGTGATTTGAGCAGCAACCTTTCTGGCATTGGCAGGAGATATCTGGATATCAAACAAGAGAAGACTCAGAACAACTCTTAGCTGGCATCAGCAACTCCATCTGGACAGCAGCAGCCATTATCAGACTGGGCATTGGCAATTGTACCTCTTTTATCGGGCAGTGGTGAAGGCATAATTGGCAGATATTAGTGGCCTAGCTTCTGATTCTGACTTCAAAATCAAAAGCAGACATTACAATGATGATTCAGAGATAACGATGAAAAATGATAAATTCAAAGTAGAAAATGAAAGGGGTAACTTTAAGAGTACTAAAGAGACCTTCTGCAGTCACATGCCCTGAAGATGTTCCCAAATCATTTGAAAAGGTTTTGCAGAAACCTAGAATTCCAGCAGAACAGAGAGAAGAGCCCCCAAACCACTCTTTGATGCCATGTTTACCCCACAGGCTGGTTCACATTGAGAAATACAAGTTACATAACGACCGTCCTGCTCCTTGGTTTTCATATAGTTCATTTTCAACTCTCCATGGAACCTCGTTGTTAGGATTTCTTTGTGGACCATTCATATCCATGAGGTCTTTAGAATAAATAACTTAGATGAATTCGCTGTGCTGTCATGCTTAGAATCGGAATGTTCCCCCATGAGCAACCCATTGGCCTGGGGCCCACAACCCTACATGAGAGGATGTTTTAGATCTATTCAATTTTCACAGAAGGAATTTTGAGAGAATGCTCCATGCACTGTCAGTCTGTCACTCCATTCAGCTGGTGTTCTCATGACAGTGTGCTGCGGATGGCGTGCCTGCCCTCAGATGTGAGCTGGTTTCTCATGACAGTGTGCTGCGGATGGCGTGCCTGCCCTCAGATGTGAGCTTCTGCAAGTTAGAGGTTCTATCCTTTCTTACTCATCCCAGATATCCATGACTCTGATCATTGACAGAGTACCCCTCGTAACTTAGTCATTAATTCTGTATTCTTGAAGAGTTTATATACGCTCTGTAATAAAAGGTTATTTCTTCTTTACATTTTAAGGCCTTTCATATGGCATGATATCCTCTGACAAAAAGAAATCCAATCCAAGGGTAAGATCATTGCATTTAAGTTTTGTCCACAGTGCCTTGCATATCTAAGGTGCTCAATAAGGATTTTTGAAATAAGCAATTGGATATATATATAGTTATGCATATTACCAATAAATAGGTAAGGCTCTGGAATCAGAAAACCTTAAATTCAGTTTTTAGTGCCTCCCAAGATAGAAATATTTGACACCTTGAGCAAAATTTTAGAAAAGTTTTCTCTCAACCCTCACCACAACTAATCTTAGATAATAACATAAACTTCCTTTACATAAATTGCTAAACTCTTCTTTGTAAATCTTATTTTCTTAATGGAGAAATGCCTCTCTATTTTATTTTATTTTTTTCTCACTGGAACTGATGCCAAGAGAAACAGATCAAATGTGACTGGTCAGGAATGAAGCAGGGTAGCCAAGCGTAGAATACTAAAACCAAGTCGAGAACTAATTTGGAGAGGTATGGCAAGGGGCCAGCTACTCAAAGAAGAGAAATAAAAGTATAAGTGAGCTAATGTGAAAGGCAGAACTCAGGTCAAGATTAATAAAAGAGAACAATACAGTTGGGATCACTGTGGGACTGAGATTTGAAGTTAAGGAATTCTAGTGTCAAGACTTTAACTGACATTTGGGTGTCTCATCTTCACCAAAGAAGCAGGACTGCCTTGATAAGTACAGTATTCCTGGTTTTAAAATGTAGGTACTCACAGCCAGCTGGTGGTATTACCCACTTCCTGCTTATGTATGACTGCATACTTTGACAGCAATAAATGTAAGCTTTACTACTGACATTTAGCAAAGAGGACCAACTGACGACATTTTCTCGAGAGGATGTTGAATCCATAGAAAAACACATCCAATCATTTCACTTTCATCCTATAATTTTATAGAAGATAGATAGATAGATAAGCTGAATGAAATCAAATGTTTTGGTCCCCCCACTGCCTGAAAAGCCAGGATGTCAAGGTCTTGTGTGCTTCTGTGGGAGGAATTTGGGTTAATGATGTAAGAAATGGAGTGATGTCCTTTCAGTCCCTGTATCATGTGTCCCCTCAAAACCAAACAACTGACTTTTGTGGAAGAGCCTCCAAGAAGCCACAGGCTTATGTCTATAAAGTACAACATGTCTCTAAAGGGTGTCCTAAGGTTCTCAGTAGAAAGAGTTATTTGGCTTTCAAGCTTGTAGGGACAACTAGGCTGAATGTTGCTGTTGCTTAAAGAATAATACAGAAATGTAGACAGAGAGCTGATGATTCTGGAATTTCTACAGGTAATAATCCATTGGGTTTCAAAAGAGAGTAGCTGAAAGACATGTTGTAACATAGAAGGTCTTAACACATACGAAGATAAGAAACGCATATGGCATGTGGCAAAATGCAAATTCCACATGCAAATTATGCTATAAAACTCACAGCCTTCCTAGGGGTCTATTGTAGTGAAGAAAAGGAGTATGATGTTATTTGTCCTATAACTCTTGATGTGGGCAAGCCATATTCACTTGGTTGGGTTAAATTTTAGCAGCTATGATATACAGTAAATCTCTTGGTTTATTTCGAAAGAGTATTATGTTAATAAATACAATAGTAAATGCTTTGAATTCTTTAGAAAAAAGGACATACTTAACTAAATTCAAGTTAATAATAATACTTGTTACAAAACAGAATGCCCTGAATTGAGTATATAGTTCCTGATCTCAGAGACTTAAACACTAGTGTGGCATGACGTAGTCACTTGCTTACCCATTTATATAGTACTTTCTAGTGGAAAACAGAAACCCTTAATGTATGTATTTTATATTTCTACAAAATTATTCAATCCCAGAATTTACCTGTAAGTTAGGCAGAACATTGCAAGCAGAAGCTTCATTTTGCCTCAAGGAAACAAGTTTGGTGAGGATTGAAGAACCAGATTTTATTAGCATCACCACATGAAATTTTATATTTTGTTTGTGCTATAGATAGATAAATAATTATTTTAAAGCATCATGATCTATTTTCTCAATGAAATTCCTATGGACATAAATAAAGGTTCTTCTTAAATATTTTAATTTTGTAAAGATACATGCTGTTATATATTTGCATACAAATTACATGCCATATTATTTATGCTTTGAAACTACTCACATTACCTTAAGAAACCCTTTTCTTCAAAATATTTACACTTGACCATTGTTTCAAAATGGCCATGATATTAGCATGTTCAATTAAAATCACAGTTGTCTGTTAGTTGTTGTTTTTACAACAGCTAGGTTTGAATTTGAAGCCACTCAGTACCAGCAAAACTGACATAGCTTTCTACAGTGCACATATTATATTTCCTACGGAGCAACTTGGACTGCCACGGCCATTCAACATGAAATATACCAAGATTAAGGCAGCCAAGCATACCAGCAGAGGGTCATGGCAGGGTGTTAAGTGGAATCCCCAGCTATGCAAAGCAATCAGGCACCAAGCCAGGGAATTCCTTATAGTCCACCTGTGGGGCACACATCACCCTAATGGATGGAAAATTAATGTGTTTTTAATTCCAGTATTCTTTAATGTCTGCAGATATCATTTTGCCCAGTCTGGAAAGCTAGGAAGTCACAGGAAAAACAAAAACAAAAAAACTCGTGAATTAGCAGCTGACTATAGGCTTGATCAATTGTACTTCTGCCCTGACATTGAGTAATGATTTGAGATAAGACACCATACATTTTTCACGTACTCTACAATAAAGTAGAATCAAATTACTTGCTTTATGTGTTTAATTGCTATAGGTTTTCTGTGGCCAAAATTTAGACTATTGAACTTAGTTGATTTCTCTTCAAGAACTCAAGTCTTTTCCACTTAGCTTGGCACCCAAGACTTTCCACCAACCTGGTCTCTCTATATTGACTTTCCACTACAACGCCAAGTGGACTTGAACTTCCTGGAAAAGCATGTCCTTGTGCAAAGTCCTCCTTTATTCAAAAAGCTTTCATCAGCCCAGGATGGCTTTCTATCTCTCCCTAACAAATCTTAATTCAATTAGACACACATGTATTGATCCTCAGACCCATTACGGGCTGTGACTCATAGGTAATACACATTTGTGTTTGTAAATAAATGATGAAATGGTCATGTACAAATGTTTTCTTAAGTGCTGTGGGACATAGATACAAAGATATGATCTTTAACCTTAAGGAAATCAAAAGCTAGATAGGGAGACAATAGTGTAAACAGCCAACCATTAAAAACACATAAAATAAGTTTCATAAAGATGAAGGTGACACAGGAGTCCAGACTAAAAAGTATGAGTATGAGTTCAGGAAAGGCTTTCTAAGAAGGTATTATTTAACTTCTGGGCATTCATATTTAAGTATAGGAAAAGTCATGTCAGTATTCAGGAAAAATCTGAGTCATGCTTGATGGTATGAAAGTGTGAGGCATGTATTGAGAATGTTCAAGAGTCGGTTGACTGCCACTCCTTCCTCCAAGCTCATAGCAAATCCCACTTCAGCACGGAACTGTTCTTAAAGTCCACACTTACCGCTCTTGTTCCCTCATTCCCCATGTGCCTTGTTTATTTAGAGGTAGATATATTGGTCAGGTCAGGCAAGCTAAGCTTCAGTAACACATCAACCCTTACATTTCAGTGGCTTCACCCAGTGAAGATTTGTTTCTCACTTAGGCTCCAAGGGTATCTTAGGCTGGCAGGAGATCAGCTGCACATCATCTTCACTGACTCTCAAGGGCATTGTGGTGTCCTCTCACAGGTCCTCTGTATTTACCCAGCTGCAAACAAAAAGAGGATGAAGGGAAGAAGCTTGGAAGTGATGACCTCGCTTCTCCCCAAGCTTTATGACTGCAACTAGCCACGCAGCCCCTGGAGATGTACAGGGCCTGGGAAAGGGAGTATTCCTATGGACATAGGAAGAACCTGGAAACATTTTATGAACATACAATATTTTGTCTGCCATATCCAGTAAATACTTAATTAACAGGGAACTAGTGACATACCCAGCATATTTGACACCAACGTAGATCACTCCTTAACACCTCTTGCTCAATATCTCATAATTTCAGTAGTCATCAAGACGTAATTTATATTATAAAATAATGGTCATCAAAGAAATACAGTAAGTGTTTTTTTATAATATTCCATATAGATGTTATTAATTATACATTAAAAATAGCAAATGTATTTTATTTAATTATAGTACAAAAAAGGGAAAAAAGCCACAGCTATTATTTTAATAGTTTTTTTATCTTCCTAATAGGTTGAAGTTTGATTATTTGGATAAAGTAATAATACGTAATACTCTTGGGCAAATAATTACCCCGTAACTAGTAAATGGATTTAAATAAAACTAAGACATCAGCAAAGGGTACAATTTTGACAGCTGCTAAATCACATGATGAATGAAGCCTTTCATTTTCTTAACTGATTCTTTAGTTTCAAAATGAAATAATAATAATTTAAAAAGGAAACATTTCGCTGCACAAGATACCCAATTTTATGAAAATATTTCAGGCATGAACTAAAATTTGTACTTTCCAACATGTGCACCATGGAATACTATGCAACCATAAAAAAGAATGAGATCATGTCCTTTCAAGGACATGGGTGAAGCTGGAACCCATCGTCCTCAGCAAACTAACACAGAAACAGAAAACCAAACACCGCATGCTCTCACTCATAAGTGAGAGTAGAACAATGAGGACACATGGACACAGGGAGGGGAATATCACGCACTGTGGCCTGTTAGGGGATGGGAGGCAACGGGAGGGAGAGCATTAGGAGAAATACCTAATGAATGCGGGGCTTAAAACATAGATGACGGGTTGATACGTAAAGCAAACCACCATGCATATGTATACCTCTATAACAATCCTGCACATGTATCCCAGAACTTAAAGTAAAATAAAAATAAAAATAATAAAATTTTGTACTTTCCAAACAAAAATATTTTAGAAAGTACCTTGCATTATGCATTCTGTTTCACCATAAGCTTTAAAAACACATATAAAAACTGAGTGGTTGCATAGAATAGAAGAACTGAAGCAACTCAAGTCCTATTTTTTTAGCCATTATAGTCATTGTGCTAGCATTGTTTATTTCAAATATATCATATAAATGTAGAAATCCGTAGTGCTATTTGGAGACTTCAACTGTGCCCAATTTCAAACTATTATGAACTACTCTCCTAAAACACAAGCACATAGCTGAGTCCCGTCGAGACAGGAACTACGCAATAGTGAATTCTCTAAATTAATTTTCAAGTAAGAAACAGGTTTTATTAAAGCATAATGAGTAATTCTTCTAATTTAAAGGATACACTTGTAGTATAAAAACTCAACTCTGATTATAGTAAGTTTAGAACTGAAACCAAAAGTTCTCTCCCTTCCCCTAGAGGAGTATTTAAATCATTGGCACTGTTTAAAATTGCCAGGCAATGGTAATAATAAAAAGCGGATCAACTTTTAGTTGGTTTTATCACTAGCTTGAAATTTTCTACAGACAATTACTGCTTCTAAATTCTCTGAAGTCTCTGGGTTGTATTGCTCCCACCGCCTTGCCTCTGGAACCTCACTGCTTTTCACTGTGGCAGTGACCTTACCTAGCTAGACTGGAAATCCAATATGATGTCAAGGGGTTATTCTTTTACTTGTTTTGAATCTGGAAGAAAAAAAATCCAAGGCATCAAGTACAAGTCCAAAGAAAATAATTAATTCCAGCTGCGTGTGAATATGTGTACCGTGTGGTTGTGGTCAGATCCAATCTCTAGCAGTCAATGGACAGAAATGACTGTCCAGAAAAACAAATATTCAAAGGACACTAATCGATGTAGCTGTTTAAAAAGCCAATTTACACATTCACTCACTAAATTTTTATTTTACCTATGCATATGATGATCTTACATACCAGGGCTGTAACAGCCAATCAGGAGCCCAGGTCTCTTGTCCTCACTGACCCTCGATCTCATGGCGGAGATAGATACTCAACATGTGGTGCGGCAATTAACATGCAGTTGCAGATGAGAAGTGCAGCTACAGAAACGAGAGTCTGACCTGATTTGAATTAAGCTCTAATGGAAGCCTTTTCCTGAAGGTAAATTTAACCTTTAGTTTCAAGAATAAAGTTAGCCAGTCAAGGAGGTGGGAAAACCATTCCAGGCATTTAGGAAGACCACAGTTATGAAAAGGGTTCAGTCCCCTAGGGAGCTAAAGCAAATTCAATATGGATTTAGCATCGTATGTGAGCAGGGATGCGCTGGAGGGAGAGATGGGGCTGTCCATTCAGCAGAGGACTGAGTTCAGAGTGTCTTCCTGAACAGTAAGGTCCTTGGATTTTTATCCTAAGTATAACAGATGTCACTGAGGAGTCTTACACAAACAAGTGACATGACAAATGTACATTTTCTCTATTTGGACTGTTACACAGAGCCTGGATTGAAAAGGACGAAGAGAAGAAGCAGGCACAAGAGAACAGCTGGGCTATTACTATAATTGGAGGTGTGAGAAAGAGAAGGTCAAGAACTCCTCCCAGTTTTCTGGCAAAAACAAGTTAAAAACATAAAAAAATAAAAAAATAAATTAAAAGCAAATAAATGTGCCAACGACAAAGTCAGAGAGTCCTAGAAGGACAAGCTCGTGAGGGATAGGAAGGTCAAGGGTTTTATTTCATTGTATTAAGAATGGAGATTTTGCTGAGCCATACCGCACAGATATCTAGTCAGTTGGAAACATAAATCTAAGTGAAGAACAAAGTTCTGTGCTAGAGATAATTATTCAAGAACCATTCTTAAACAAAATGATTATACTAGAAAAGATATATCAATTACTTTTCATACAAAACAAAAAATGCGTATTTTGGCATTCTGATTGTATTTTTTGCATCAAAAATACAGTATATGGCAATTCATTTTTACAACGAGAACAATTTATCTAAGAGTTAGTAAGCCCTTTAAAGCAAATAAAAAGCATTAATGTTAGAACATTTCAAGTATATTTTTAAATAAAAGAAATCTATAAACTTGTACTTTACATATACCACTTAAAACAACAGTATATCTATATTTGAATACAACTATGTCCACGTAAAATTTAAGAAGAAATACCACGCAAATTAGAGAAGAAACCAATGGAAGCTATCAAGGATACACAAAATAATAGTAATGACTGCAAAGGAAAATTATTTACTAATAAAATAACATTTTTAATGTCAAAAAGCTAAAATACTTTGCAATCTTGATTTTTGCACCAGCCTTTTCCACTTAATAACTTTATGAAAATACATATTTTAAAAAACAAGAACCAGATTTTTGAATTATAACAAAATGTTTATTCTTCGTTAAAGATAATATAATTTTATATTATTTTAAAAATCAAGACAAAAAAGACATATGTAGGCTATACATATTATTAATATTACATAATTTATATGATTAAACTATATATTAAATAATAAAAGAATTAGGTCAGAATAGAAATTATCCTTCACAAAGTGAATAACTGAAAATATCATGAGCTATAGTTTGACATTCAAGCTATAATATCATTTACTATTTCTGTCTGATAGTTTAATCATGTTCATTCATGAGCCATTTTTAACTATTTAAAATATCAGTATGGTGAATATTGACAAATCCCTCTTTAAAGTTTTGCAAGGAGGTCATAAAGTCTAGAGTAAAATAAATTAACTTAGTGAATGGTCATTTATATTGTAATATATGATTCATTCAGTATGTTATCTCATTAGAAAATGCATAGTTTGATGTTCTGTGCAAAACTTTAATGAACATGGTACACTAATAGAACATTTCTATTAATACCTGAAAATGTATCTGGTGTGTTGCTTCAGATAATTTTTCTCTCTGATATTCAGTGCATAAATGTGTGCTTTTGGCATATTTTAGTAGATGTAAGCAAAGAGATTCTAGTCTACAAAATCAAACTGTAAATAAACAGAAAAAAAAATACAATACAGATTTCAAGAGTCTATGGCCATGCTGTATCTACATTAATCACCAGTGCAAAATTTCTAAGATTATTATTGTCAATTACTAAAATAAAATCCATACTATTTAAGTGTTTGGATCAGTTTTGAGAAGCTCTGGGGAGTACACAACATATTTTCAGTGGCACCCAGGTATGGCGAGGTTAACAGGTTCATTCCACATTCTTAATTATCATGTCTGTTTTTCTTACAATTATATCGTCTGAGAGCTTTTGTATTATAGGTGCCGTTCTGGTTTTTCTTTTGGACTTCTCCTTTTCTCACTGTACTTTTTCAGTTTACAGAGAAACTGGGTAGTTTCACCCATATCATGTGTGCATACATGCGTTTCTGAGTGTCTGTCCATTACCATGAGAAGAGGATGGCCAGGCCACTGATGTAAGGGGATGGGTAGAGACAAAGGAAGCAGAGCGTCCAAGTTGTCCTAACCTTTGGTGGAGTAAAGAAACTATCTACAAAACTTAGGTGACTTAGGACCCTGAACCAATGCACATCAAAACTAAATGCCCATTATTTAACTTAGGGCTCTGCCCCTTGTTTAAGAGTCTCATGTGTTGGTCCCAAGCAAATAGAAGTGAGCAATTTCTTTCGTGTTAAATCTTAGTTAAATGAAAGGTATTGAAAAGAAAATAAAAGTTGAAGTAGTTTTGTAGCTGTTAGATTCATATAAATACAATGAAAAACAAGCTACAAGATAAATAAAAGCAAGTAGTCCCATATATAATTAAAAATGGACTGGCTGAGTGCCTGTAATCCCAACACTTTGAGAGATCAAAACAGAGGATCACTTGAGCCCAGGAGTTTGAGACCAGCCTAGGCCATATAGTGAGACTTTGTCTCTAAAAAAAACTTTAAAATTAGCTGGGTATGGTGGCATGCACCTGTAGTCCTAGCTACTCAGGAGGTTGGCATGGATCTCTGGAGTCCAGGTGGTTGAGGCTGCAGTGAGACGTGATCACACCACTGCACTACAGCTTGGGTGACAGAGCAAGGCCCTGTCTCAAAAATAAATAAATAAATAAATAAATAAATAAAAAGGAAGACGAGACAAAAGAAAACAAAAATAGACAAATGACCATTTTGCTGAGATTGCTTTAGTATGATTGCATGCCACTCTTTGGTGCCTGTGTGTCTCTTCCTCACCGCTGAGACATGACACTAATGTGACTGCGGAGCACCTGTACATACCTCCTTCTGGAGGAGGAAAAATGGTTCAGAATCACTGTAAAATCACAGGTCATACAAGGCTCATGGCTAGGTTTTAAATAGACAACTCATAGCAGCTGGGAGAGTGTGAATACTTACATGAAACCCCCACTGAGGAAATTTGTTTATGCCTTCCCCATCCAGAGGGTTCCAAAAAACATAAGAGATGCTCTTGGGATGTATTTATAATATACTAAACCAGGTGTTCACAAACTATGAATAGAACCTATGGGCCAAGCTCTGCCCACTGCCTATTTGTAAATACAATGTGGCTGGAGCATAGACATGCCCGTTTATGTAGGACCTGTGGCTTCTTTTGTGCTATGATGACAGTGTGGGATAGTTGCAACAGAAATGTACAACCAATTAATTCTAAATTATTTACTATTTGCCCTTTTCATAAAAAGTTTTCCAACCCTTATATTAAACTGTAACCATTCCTTTCTAATACATATATATTTAAGTGCTTTGCAGAAAATATAAACTTTGTCCAATGTCCCTCTATATATACTTAAGAGTAACTAGGAAGTTAGTGACTCCTTCTTTTACACATTTCTGGTTTCAAAGCAGATTATCAAGTAAAATTTTAAACTGCCACCAGGAGATTTAGCTAAGGAGTACCAGCTGATTTTGTTCTAATGCAGTCTTTAAAATAATGTACACTGTGACATATTCAAGTCAAGTACAGCATTTATATGCTACACAGTCAAGTAAACTGTGTAGCATATAAATCCTACCACATTCTCCAAACCAGACAGAGGGAGAATCACAGATGCCCCATGAATCACCTAGAAATCCTGTCAACATATAACAAATTATATGTGGTAGACCCATAAAGTCAATATCAAGTTAAAAGCATTTTTTTTGTCCTCATGTAAAATAAACTCTGGAAGGAGAGAATGATCTTCACATGTCAATGAAAATCTGAGAAAAGGGAGGGGTACAGAACAGAGCAAAATCAGAGTTCAATTCAGAAGCCATAAGGAAGCAGGGGAGGGAGCCATGCTTACCAACAGCAAAGAGTGAAGTCAGGAGTGCAGAAAAGCAAACACCGTAGCAAGAGAAGGGCACCAAAACCAAAGGCTCTCCGAGTGTTGTTTTTTTATTTTTAGGACAGCTGCTCTGGTACAGAGTTCTTTCAAAATGAGTTTAAAAAAATTTTTAATGCCACTGTCTTGACAGGCAATAGATGCCATATAATACTAGGCATAGAAAATAAGTATTTTACAAGAATACTATTTTAATTTTTAAAAAGTTAAATATTAAATCAAAATATTTAAGAATACAATTAAAATGAGAGAAAATATAAATCCCTGAATTATGTTTATGGAAATATGTTTATGAAAATATGATTATGAAAAAAGACTTTTTCTTCCCTTCTATATTAGCACTATTCTAGACGTTTCCGGTAGCATGATATGAGAAAAATACACATACACACTTTTAGGCTGGTGCGTTTTTGTTTAAAATGTGAGCCTATCTCCAAATACATGTGTATGCAGGACCATGACATTGAGGACCACATCTGACCCTCCAATCCAGCCCAGTGCTCAGTGGAATGCCAGCATGTGGTAGATGCTAATGAAATATTTTTGGATGATTCAGTACGCAATTTATTTGACCAAGTGTTAGTTATGAGTAAATTTCAGAGCCAATATTCAAACACAGTTTAGTGTTTATCCAATGTCAAAGTTTAAACAACTACCCGATCTTACTTCTCTGTGATAGAAAACAGAATCACTCATGATGCCTGGCTAACCTGATTTATGGGGTTGTTAGGAAGACTAAAGAGTATTTTATTCCATATGAATGTGTTTTGAAAACTATGAAACACTGGACAGATGTAAATAATTGAATTATTGAGATACAATAAATCTATAGCACTCCTTTCAAACTTAAAAAAAAAATCAGTGTCATCTAGCAAAAGAGAATTGGAAAAGAGACTTGTCTTAAAATAGGTTTTCCGGTTGGGCGCAGTGGCTCACGCCTGTAATCCTAACACTTTGGGAGGCCGAGGCAGGTGCATCACAAGGTCAGGAATTCAAGATCAGCGTGACCAACATGGTGAAATCCCATCTCTATTAAAAATACAAAAATTAGCTGAGTGTGGTGGCACATTCCTGTAGTCCCAGCTACTCAGGAGGCTGAGCAGGAGAGTTGCTTGAACCCGGGAGGTGGAGTAGTTGCAGTGAGTCCAAGATTGTGCCACTACACTCCAGCCTGGGCAACAGAGCAAGACTCTTAAAAAACAAAAACAGAAAAAAAGGGGGTTTTCTTTACCTTTATGTAGGCAGATCTTAACTTTCTAGCATATTATCTCTTAAAAGTTCACTTTTTGTATTATAAGTTCTTAGCTAATGGATTTTTAAAATTTAGTGTAAACGCAGGAGATCATCACATTTTATTCAGCTCAAGTCTTAACCAACTCTTCTCAAATTACTTTTTCCCCACAGATTGAAGCACTCACACAAAAAAAGAACATATGCATTTTCAAAACCTTAAAATCATGGTTTTTGTCTTTGCCACAAGATAAAAACTTTCACCAATTTCCTGGGGTCATTCTTGATCGATGGACATCTGGCCTCTGAAAGCACCACAATTTCCCTGAAGTCATCCTCTATATTTTCACTAAAAGCCTCTCTGCTTGAAGTTCTTGTTAGTAGGAAGCGAATAATAGTGATGTGCTAAAAGAAAGGTTTGATCAAACGTAGCGGAAATGTCTCAACTTCCTCATGTAGGAAAAAAATACTATGTTTCCCCCGTTATCCTTTCTAGATGCATAATTCTTACATAGAAAACGTGTGGATTTGAGATTTTAAAGAATGTGAAACACACCTATGTAGCCAAGAATAAAACGACTCCATAGATTTAATTTTTAATTTCAGTGTTCTCTTCAGACTGAGTTACACCTTTTCTTGCACAGGCTAGCCTTGGGGACCACAGTTCAGATAATACAGACTATATTTCATTTCTGCTGCCTGATTCACATCATCATTTCAAACTTGAATGTACATGCACATCCAGTGGGTATCATGTGAAGCCGCAGTAACTGATTCTGCAGATCTGGGTTAGGGACCAAGATTCTGTGATTCTACGAAGATCCCAGGTAATACTGATGATGCCCGCAATCCATGGACAACACTTTAAAGAAGCAAAGATCCACAGCAACTCAGCAAGTTCCCAACTCATGGACCTGAACCTACTTCTTGGGAACTCCTGTCTGGGCCGTTGCTCAGCAATTAATTCTTCTCTGGCGTTGGTGCCACACGACAACAATATATTGAATAATAATACTGTTGTGTAAATTTCCTAGGGTTCATAGACTATCTGGATGTTTCTATTTTTACTATTTCTCTATGCTTCCATTATGCTCCTCTTTGGTAATTTTTACTAATGGATAGCACAAATACTCTCAAAATGCACTTTGAAAAAAAAGGTGAAGCTTCAGGCTGATCCACGGGTAGTCAATCCTGTCACTGCATTGTCTCCGATTACTGTAGTGTCTCTTGATGTTTGGCGTTTGTTTCATTAGCTTAAGAAGCAAACTCCTAGTACTGAACATCTGAATGTCAGGGTTTAGGTCAAGTGACTGTCCTCCCTCTCCAACCAGAATTAGTTAAAACACTTGGCCCCATAGTGGAAGCCACAGTGGGCAACTGATGCAGGAAATTGACTTCCTGTGGAGACTGCACAACATGGGGACCTCCCCCACAAGAAAGAGATGCTACCAGGTAAGGGTGGATAAGTTTGCAGCAGCCAGAAAGTAACAAGTGTCTGCCATACCCAGGTAATCAAATATTCTATTAAAGTGGCCAGGTGTGGTGGCTCACGCCTGTAATCCCAGCACTTTGGGAGGCTGAGGTAGGCAGATCACGTGAGGTCAGGAGTTTGAGACCAGCCTGGCCAGCATGCGAAAAACCCGTCTCTATTAAAAATACAAACATTAGATGGGCGTGGTAGCGGGCACCTGTAATCCCAGCTACTTGGGAGGCTGAGGCAGGAGAATCACTTGAACCCAGGAGGCAGAGGTTGCAGTGAGCTGAGATTGTGTCACTGCACTGCAAACATAAACAAACAAACAAAAACATAACAATAACAAAAAACAAATATCCTATTAAAGTGTACACTTTAGTTATACAATTGTCTTTAAACAAATACTTCAGAAAACACATAATTTTATCAAAAGAAGAAAGTCAACTGTAGAACCTGCTTGAATGTAACAGGCAGTAGTTTTTATGTTTAGAGAAAGCCATTGCATTTAAGACCTTTTGTGAGTTTTATTTTAATTTTGTAAAAATTACGGAACAAACACATGCTACATTTTCTTTTGAGACTATTTCTCCTTCACAGACAATTATAGGCACACTCCTTTTTACTGTAGTTTGCTTTATTCTCCTTTGGAGATACTGTGTTTTTTTACAAATCGAAGATTTGTGGAAAGCCTGTGGCCAGCAAGTCTATTAGTGTCTTTACATTTTGTCTCTGTGTCACATTTTGGTCATTCTCACAATATTTTAAATCTTTTTCATTATTATTATATCTGTTATAGCGATGCGTGAACAGTGATCTTTGATGTTACTATTGTAATTGTTTAAGGGCACCATGAACCATGACCTTAGAAGATGGCAGACTTAATAAGTGTTGTGTGTATTCTGACTGCTCCACGAGCTGTGCATTCCCCTGTCTCCCTTACTTTCCTGGAACTTCACTATTCCCTGAGACATAATAACATGAACATTAGACATAATAACATTAATATCAAATATTACTAATTTGATATTAGTAATATCAAATACTCTTTAAGTATTTGAGTGAAAGTAAAAGTCACACTTCATTTCTCTTATGTTGAAACAAAAACCCAGAAATGATTAAGTTTAGTGTGGAAGGCATGTTTACGGAAAGAAGCCATAACATAAAAGTGCAAGGTGAAGCAGGAAATGTTGATGTAGACGCTGCAGCAAGTTATCCAAAATTTCTAGCTAAGACCATTGAAGAAAGTGGCCACACTAAACAACAGATTTTCAATGTAGACAAAACAGTCCTATGTTGGAAGAAGATGCCATTTAGGACTTTTATAGCTAGAGAGGAGAAGTCAATGCCTTGCTTCAAAGCTTTGAAGGACAGACTGACTCTCTTGTCTGAGGCTAACGTAGTTGCTGACTTCTGTTTGACGCCAATGCTTATTTACCATTCTGAAAATCCTAGGGCCACTAATAATTGTGTTAACTCCATTCTACCTATGGCCTATAAATGAAACAAAGCCTGATGACAGCACACCTGTTTACAGCAGGGTTACTAAATATGTTAAACTCACTATTGAGACCTACTGCTTGGAAATTTTTTTTCAAAATATTGTTGCTCGTTGACAATGTACCTGGTCATCCATGATCTCTCAAGGAGATGTACAAGGAAATTCATATTATTGATATGTCTGCTAACACAAAATCCATTCCATAGCCCATAGATCAAGGAGTTATTTCAACTTTCAAGACTTATTATTTAAGGAATACATTACATAAGCCTACAGCTGCCATAGATGGTGATTCCTCTGATGGATCTGGGCAAAGAAAACTAAAAACCTTCTAGAATGAATTCTCCATTCTAGATGTCATTAGGAATTCATGATTCACAGGAGGAGGTCAAAATATCAGCACAAACAGTTTGGAAGGAGTTGATTCCAATCCTCATGGATGACTTTGAGGCACTGAAGACTTCGGTGAAGGAAGTAACTGCAGATGTGGTGGAAATAGCAAGAGAACTAGAATTAGAAGTGGAACCTGAAGAAGTGACTGCATTGCTGCAATCTCATGATCAAACTCAAAAGGATGAGGAGTTACTTCTTATGAATGCATAAAAAGTGTGGTTTCTTGAGATGGAATCTACTCCTGTTGAAGATGCTTTGAACATTGCTGAAATGACAAAGAAAGATTTATAATATTACATAAACTTCATTGATGGAACAGCCAGAAGATTTGAAAGAAGTGATTCCAATTGTGAAAAAAAGTTCTACTGTGAGTAAAATGCTACCAAATAAAATCACATAGTACAGAGAAAACTTTTGTAAAAGGAAGAGTCAGTTGATGTAGCAAACTTCACTGGTGTCTTAAGAAATCACCACAGCCACCCTGATCAGTCGGCGGCCATAAACATCAAACAAGGCTATCCAATATCACAAAGGTTGTGACGTTGAAGCCTCAGATGTTCATTAGCATTTTGTAGCAGTATCTTAAAATTAAGGTATGTACATTGCTTTTTTAGACAAAATGCTATTGCACACTTACTATTCTACAGTATTATGTAAACATTACTTTCATGTGCACTGGGAAGCCAACAAATTTGTGTGACTTGCTGGATTTTGAATTCCCTGTATTGCAGTGGTCTGGAGCCGAACCTGCAATATTTTCCAGATACGTCTGTATCCTGTTGTGTGAGGTATGGACCCCAGTGCATGGTGTGATCTGCCTGCTTTTATAGCACTTTCTACTTATTTCAGATTTATTTAATGGACATTGCTGGTTTTTAGTGTCTATGGTTTGGCTCTGTGTCCCCACCCAATCTCATCCTGAATTGTAGCTCCCGTAATTCCCAAGTGTTGTGGGAGGGACCCAGTAAGAGATAATTGAATCATGGGGCAGTTTCCCCCATACTGTTCTCACAGCAGTGAGTAAGTCTCATGAGATTTGATGGTTTTATTAGGGGGTTTTGCTTTCACTTCTTTCTCGTTCTCTATTGCCGCCACCATGTAAGAAGTGCCTTTCGCCTTCCACCATGATTCTGAGGCCTCCCCAGCCATGTGGAACTGTGAGTCCATTAAACCTATTTTTCTCTCCAGTCTCGGGAAGGTCTTTATTAGCAGCGTGAAAATGGACTAGTATATTATCAAAGGAAAAAGTGGTTAATTTAGAAAATCTTAGTCTGTAGGACATTTGTAAATGAACACCATTTGTAACACCAATCATAGTCTCTAGGATGTTTGTAAATGAACACCAAACAGAATGTGTGTGTGTGTGTGTGTGTGTGTGTGTGTGTGTGTATTTGCATTGTTGGTAGTTTCCTCCTTAAACAGAAACATTTCAATAGTCTTTACTGTGCCTAGTTATTTAAATTATTTTTTAATGTAGCAAAGGCCTTGGAATTAATCAGCCCCATCTGCATACACAAAAGACATGACACAGGGAACAAAAAACGTCTGAGGACAAAACTAGGCTTCCTTTCACAGGCAATAAGGGAAATTAGTGTCATCACTAGGTTGAAGACATAAAGAGATTCAAAACTAAAAATCCTTTGAACGCTTGCAACAAGATTCCTATAATCAGCTGAAAGATAAGCAATGATCAAAGCCCTTTAAAACAGTATTGTTTGCTCCATTAGAACTGTTTAAATGTACCCTACTATTCACCAGAAATTATACAAGATTACTGGAGAAAATATGCTATTGTTTCAGCAAAGAACCCAGATGTTTCAAGGATGGTTTTCTCCACCAACGTAAGGTTAAAAGCCAAGATACAAAAACAGCTGCAGTTATAAACCTTAATTATCAGGAACATCCCACCACATAGGTGCTCAGTTGCTCTGACAAATTGATTTATCTTAAAGAGAGTGGGCTGGATTTGGTGTTTGGAGGCTGGGGAAGGCAGATGGGTAAGATGGAAAGTTTGTCCCTGCATGGGATCAAATTGTGGATAGTTCCTCAGACAAACCCTTTCAAAGTGCTCACAAGTTTGTTAATCTCTTAAATATTTCTTTTTTCATTTTGTCCATCTTATCCTGGGTCTAGTATGATGGGAGAAGAGAGGAGAGCAAGTGTCTGCACACTTCATTACACTGTTGTTTTGTGCAATCTCTCGCAGGACATGACACACAGCAGGGTCACAGTGAGATCTGAGAACGTTCCTTAGCAGGAGTCTGCTGTTGCTTTTGCTGATAGGAATTTGAAGGGGACATCTTCTGTCTCCATCGTTAAACCTTTTAAAAATTTCATGCCCGTTGCTTATTGTCACTAACTGAAGACGGGGACAGTATAAGGAGGATTTTAGAAACTGATTTCTGCCAGCCATTTTGAAAAAAAATAGCAATTTTAACTTTATATTCTAGGTCATAACAGTTTAAATGTCACAGTCAGCACCACGTCTGATGCACATATAGAAAAAGGGAAATGTTATAAGTTAAGTGTAATCTCTAAAGATGTGTGAATCAGATCAAAAAGTAAGCATGGCTTCATGCTTGTGTGTTGTGTCATATTTAAAACTTCTAGCACAGATCTGAATATGTTTATCTCTAGAATTTTTGGAAAATGTAAACCTAAAACCTAGTTTTTCAGTATTCTAAAATGTCCCAGGTAGTCCTTGAAGATGGGTCAATTCCATGACAACTTTTTTTACCGTTAACTAACTTTCATAAATGACATCAGTCCCAATTCCATTTAAAGAGTTACAATACAGAATAACCACAACAAGGAGCGTAGTGTTGCTATGTTAATCAATGCTAGTCCTTTTTTTTCAGGTAGTGCAGTGTTTTGTATTTAAGAAATGTATGATTATTTTAGGAGACAAATATCATGCTGAGAACAACAATGCTAGGTGGATACCTGTGAAACAAAGACAAGGTGTGGTCTCTGAACTTTGGCAGCACATGGATCATGTTGTATTAGAAATTCTGCTCACAACTAGGATTCACTCTCCCATCTTATCTTCAAATCCCCATGTTACACTATAGGTGCAGTAAGTATAAAACAAACCTAATTAGTATTCTTAGATAATGCAGACATTTAAAAAGCACAAGTCATTTTTGGAAAACGAAGAAGTGCAATGCCACTGAGTTTACCCTGAAATCATGAAAATGGCTTGATGGAGTGCTAATGTACATATGCTTAACAATAAAAGGTAAAATCTCTCACCATCACTTTTGGTAGTCATTTCTCTCCGACCCCCACATGTAAACTAATTCCAGGGTAATTGCAGGGTGATAGTTTTGATTTTCTGTATTCCAAGACAGTAATTCTTGAGAGCTATTTGCATCACAACTACTATCAGTGGCTACTAACTCAAATAACAGCGATAATTATAATAATCATTACGTATTTACTGAGTATTCACTATGGACTTTGCTAACCATACTCAAGCATACTGTCTTTCCAAGATACAAATGTTTTAGAAAATGAAATTTCTAGAGGTAAGGCCCTGGCCTCATTCAGATTATTTCAGTTCATATTGGGATTTGAAAACAACTGTGAAAACGAAATATTACTTTCCATCTAAGTTTAAAGCCATGAGGATTAGAGCTCATTGATGAATGAGGGACTTTAGAAAGCTTAGAAAAAACTTGGCCTATTCTCCCCTAGATGAACAGGAATCTTAGAAGAGATTCCAAGAATCTCTTCCGAAGGCTTTGATTTGTTTTCTGCTATGACCCTGAACTCATAGTACTATGCTTTCACTCTTTTCTGCTGTTAATCCATATTTCCAAGTTTCTTGAAAACTTTTGAAAGACCATGGTCCAACATTATATCTGGGACCATGTAGATACAAAGCAGGCATTGTGAATTAGCATCTTCATTTTGTGTGAAAAAGATTAAAAAGAGTTTATCTTTGGTGTTTGGAGTTCTTTGTACTGAGGAAGGTGTGAGGTTTCAAGGGAAGTCTATATACTCTAGGTACCTGAGAAAATACTTCGTAAAATTATTTTAAGAAATCTTGACCTTCCAGGCTTTCACATATGCTGGCCTTTCCATTTGGGACAATTCTCTGTCACTCCAATCCCTTTTAATTGGTAAAATCCAACTCATTCGTCCTGAATCACGAATTACTATATTTTATAAATGAAATGCAAACTATCTGGAGGAGACAGTGTGGACTGGAAGTTCCTCAAGGGCAGGCAATGACTTTTTTTTTTTTTTTCTTGTATTACAGTATCTAGTACCTAAAAAATGTATACCAAGTAGACTTGTAAAATATGCTTTTTGAATGAAAGGAAAGAACTTTCATGGGTAACATATCATTTTGATACTATAGAAAAATACAAAATTTACTTTTATAGGTAAGTTTTATTGAAAAAATTTGGATTCTTCTAAATCCAATTATTTTTCAGCTATCAAAATCTAATTTTTAAACATAGCTTATGGAACATCATTATCTTTAAATTATTTAATATCCAACTAGAAAAAGATAGTTAATGCATATACTCTGGAGGTGGTTTAAGTCTCATCTTAGACTGTGATAAGCTGTACAGAAAGTACATGGCAGGGAACATACTTTCTCCATGAATATCTTCATTAGCTAGACTTTAAAATAATACTTAAAATGAGCAGATTTGTTCAGTTGCCTTGCTCTTTCCATGAGAATCACAATTCCTTTCCAGTCTTCTATTTCATAGAAAGGCATCAATTTTGAACAACAGTTAAATGATTGACTTTGATATAAACCCTAAGTAATTTTGAAAGAACTATTCAGAGACATTTTATATAACATACTAAATAATCTTGCAGAAACACTATCATAAAAGATGAAATTCTTTGGAGTGAAAGGCTATTGCATGAAATCGATATAAAATGTAAAGGGTTAACCAAGGCTGACTTTTTTAAAACCAATTTTCGGTGGTTAATATTTGCCAAGACCTAAAGGAATTGCTATTTTGCATGAAGTAATACATTTCACTGGAAGTGAGTTAAAGTGTTTTTGGTATTTGCTCTACATGAAAGGTTATATAGGCAGTGGGGAGGAGGCTGAGTTTTATGATATGCTCTTCACATCAGGTCCTAATATTTGGATTTTGAGTCTTTAAATATACACTTATGAAATATTTTATCTTCCTGATAGAAGAAATAGGCTTGTTAAAACCTGTTTAAAACATACCCTATCAAAATGCTTACTACTGACTGGGCATTTTCCCCATGATTCCATTTTAACTTACCCGTGTCAAACTCCTGCCTCCTAGCCATTTTGGCACGGTTAGCTTAATGAAATAAAAAAGAATTAAAAAAACAAAAAGGAAAAAAGAAAGAAGGAAAAAAAAAAAAAAGCTATAATGGGCTAGACTGAGCTGGTAGCCCTAAATGCTTTTTTTCCACTTGGATTTGTTTTAATGAATACCATTTCAACCTGCCCTTATTCACCTTTATGTGGAACTGGTATTTGAATATATCAAATGTCAGCATTAGCAGCACAATTTGCATGCCTCATTTTGAAAGCCAAACTCTTCTGTTCAGAGGGACAACATTCAAATCACCATGCAACATTGTTTTCATAGTTACAGATAACGTAATTTGAGTTTTTCCCCTATAATGCTTTTGGGGAAAAAATAAAGAGGATAATAAGAGTTTTATCCCAGAATGAGGTCACCACTGATTACTTGGGCCCAATCTCACCACATCTAGATAGAGCAAACTCCATCATACCTAATGCCTGCATGCAATTTTTTTCCTCAATTTTCTAAAGAACAAGAAACATCTGCCTTTTTCAGTCTCTTCACAGTATCCAACCCCATGCACAGATGTTTTCAAAACCACGTTGTCTGTGAACATTTAAAGGAATACTATATTTGCATAAACTCTGGGAATTCCAAGCTCTGTGCTTTCCAAACTGTTTTAGTTTTTTAAATCAACATTTTTTTGTTCTGTACCCATCATTTTGTTTTACTCCTCATAAAGCAGACATTGTGTGCACACATCTGTTAAATGTGGGCTGCATTTATTGCAGTTCTGTTCTTCCAGAAACAGGAAGGATTAATTACCACAGACCGGCTCTAGAAGCACCCCCGTGTTTCTTAACACACAAAATTAATTCAGAGTTGACAAAACTCTTTCAGACACAGCCTGCTTCCTGCTGATGGCGCTTTATTAGCATATTCTTCCCAGAAAAAAAAATGCCTGATGGACCCTTTTTACCTCTCCTCTGAGTTCAATTTGTACAGCAGTGAGTGACAGGCAGCAAAATGGCTTGAATATATCTAAGGCAAGTTGCCAAAATCCTCCCGATAGAAGCACTTTGGAGCCTTTGTTCAGAGTACATTAAAGTCACAGAAGGTCCATGTACTGTAGACGGGACGGGGCAAGCAGGATGTTCTCAGTAAGACAAAACAGCAGGTGATAAATGACATTAAATAACAGTGAGAATTTACCACAGACTAAATTAACTACTGGAGTGAAATGTTCTCAGCTCTAAGGCTATATTAACAGTGAATTTATAATTAGGCGATTATCATTCTTTTTAGTGTTTGAGGAAGTCTATATGTAAAAATGATGAAGACAGCTCTATTTGACTCTGGAGACACACTGCTGGAAGTGGTTCTAAAAACGCTGGAGAATAATTCTTCTTTCAGGACTTACAAAGTCATTTATAAAAATAAGTGTTGGAAGAGAATTAGATGGTTGGATATCTTATACACACACACACACACACACACACACACGGAGTTTATTAATAATTGCAACCTCAGAGAACTGACTGCCAGAAAATTTAAATCCTCCAAAGTAAAAACTTGTAGATGTCCTCAAAATTCATCAGTAGTTGATTATTGGAATAAAATGTTTTTCGGATAAACGTTGATTTTGTCTTTGTCTTTCCATGACAGGCTGTATCCTTAAAAAACAGATATTTATTTTCTAAATCTTAAGAAATTCATTTATGATGTTGCTTGTACTTATAACTTTAAAAGAGTCCTTTCATTTAGATTTTACCCTAAAACCTCTGAGAATCAAAAGAACTGCAATATAATCTTTCAAAAACTGTCAAGAAAAAGAATGAGCTGCTAAATTTGTCATTGACTAGGTTGTCCTAAAATCAGCACATAGCAATCGTTTCTGTCAAACACCCTTAAACAAAATAATAATTTAAAAACCTACAATAATCTTCAAATAATTTTTCTTTACTCATTATTTTTCTATGCTTATGCCCAGTGATTAGTGCTTCACTGTTTTCTGAATATTCATACGAACCCTTCCCTTCCTAAAAGGGGAACAAGTTCCAAACGGTGTCAGAAGCACATTTGGGTCTTTGGTAGAATTCTCACCATGTAACATCTTGAGCATTTTCCATGAGGATGTCTTGTAAAGCTAGAACACTTCACTTTGGGAACCAAGCCCTGAATGTCTAGACACATTATAATGCTTGGTTACAATTGCATTTCCATTGTAAACTAGTATGCATTCATTCATAACTTTCTCCAAAATTCTCCTTTAGGGCTTTAAACTCTCCAGGCTTAGCCTCAGCCAAAAGTGAATATTTGGAAAGTTTCTGCTAACTCCATTTTTATCAGATATTGACTTATATGACTCAAAAAATCATTTTCCATATGTCCGTAAGAACGATTACCCAAAAATGTAACCCAGGAGGAGCTGACTTTTATAATTTAAAGTTTTGAATAAGACTAGTCCTTTGAGAGACAAACTGAAAAGCTGGAGTAAGAGTTTCAAATTTAAAGCCAAAATTTGTCTATATACATGCATATTCCACTGAAGCATCAATACATCAACACACAATTTTATTTTTTCTCAATTCTTTTGGGGATATCCCTCTATGTGCTTACATATTATGTCTTGAAAAAAATTATCAGTGAAGTCTCAAATAATCTATTAGAAGTTCAAGGCTAGTGGAAGAATCTCTTTATATGGAGAGGAGGATAAATTTTTCTAACATGGCTATACTTCCTAATAACACGTTCAGTCCCCTGACACTTGGTTCTGTGCATTACATTGCATATGGTGCTTCCAGACATCCTTTAGAAGTGTATGAGATTGGCTCTGATGTGGTACATTGAGAAAGTAAAATAATAATAATAAAAAGAAGTGTGTGAGCTGTTGGTGTAGGTAGAATGGAGGATTTTACAATCTGTATTATTTTGAGTTTTTTTCTTTTCTTTTTTTTTTTTTTTTTTTTGCATAACCTAAAATGATTCTAAGTACACCACGTGTATGAGATGATTACATGTAGCCTTTAGGCAGATTTGCTCACTGCAACCCACTTCCTCTCTTCCTCACTCTTACAATCCTCTCTGCCTATCTTGGTCACCCAGAGTTCTGAGCTTCCCTGGGGACTTGCTTCTCTAAGACATTAACTAATGAACACTGAGTTAATGACTTAATGTATTAGCCTTTCCAAAATTATTTTTATTTAACAGGATAGTAATAAAAGCAAGAATAATTCAAAGTAAAAAATAAAGCTAGTATTCCAATTTAAGATATTTGGCACTTTGTCAATGGGAATATTTTATTCAAAGTCACTTCACAGCAAGACATTAGTAAATTACTTATTTAACTTCTATGCACCTCAATTTCTTCACCCAGAGAAAAGGAAAAATCACAGTGCCTACTGATTTGGCTACTTATGAAGTTTAAACAGTGTTGTGAATATACGTCACTTAGAAGAGGTCTGCTTCAAAATGTCCTCAGTAAATATTAGTTATCATTAGTGTCACCACTATTATTTTTATTGTGGTTATCAGAGATAACTACAAAGAGATCCCTGAAAATTTAAACTCTAGAGCTAAACCCAGTATTAACTATAATAAAAGTTTTTCCCACTTTTAAATTAATAATTATAATTAATATATAATATAGTAAAATTATATATGTTATATATTTTATATATGAATATAATGTATAATGTAAAATTATATACATTATTAAACTATAAAATTATATAGTAAAATTATATAATGTATATTTAATATTTTATTTATATATAATGTATAAATATACATATTTATATGTAATGTATATATATTATTTATACACATATATACACATATATAATATATACATATATTCCATTTTATATATATACACACAAATATGATCTGGGGAAAAGGTTTCGTGCATACACACACACAAAATTCCTTTTCAAGCTTTCTGAAACAGATATTAACTGCCAACAAATATAAATTACTAAGAATATCCACATATTGTAAGTTAATGGCCAGTCTATGGTGATTTCACCACAGTTGCCCACAAAGTATGTGTGCATGAACTCATGTGGTGTCAGCAATCCATTCAACACCATCCCACATGTGATCCACTACCCCAAACCATTTTTCAATCTTTTCAACATTGTACATTCTTAATTCGAGGACCATAAAATATTCATTAAAAATTAGTCAATGTACGGTCTTATTATTTACATTATGATATCAATAATTTGTATATTTTGGTGTGGATAAAAAAACATGAAATATTTCTATCCCCAATTTTTTTTATTTAAAAAGAAAAGCCTTTGCCAAAATGAACTTAGAGACTTTTCAGCAATGTGGCACTTGTTGCCAGAAACAAAAAGAACACCCATGAAAGTTAAAGAAATTGTAATGTGATAATATTGGGAAAAATCAGCTTGTATTTTTTTAATGTTTATCACAATATGACAAAGGCATTACACTGATTTTTTTGCAGTAACAGAATAGAGAAGAAACACCTTCTATGAATATTTCACAGTGAGTTTAAAAATCATAAGCCTTTTTATAATGACTCATAGATCATAAAATAAGTTAGACAATTATAACTTCACTGAAGTATAGTAATTTAGAAAATTACCCATATCACAAGTCAATGGTAGCAAAATATCAAAAAAATGAAAGCCTTTCTTCTAAAATCAATAACCCCTTGTCAGTATGTGTGCTTTCCTTTCTTTACGTTTATTATTAGGGACAATTTCTACTAATTGTGACTAAACTTAAAGGATAATTGAGTAAAAATTACATGTAAAATGCATTTGCTTGTTTTTTTATAAGGTTAGTAATGACTCCATATTTCAATAATTAACATTTATGTAACACATACCCGTTTATGAAGCACTTTTCTACCCAGGAGCTCATTTCATTGGTACAGGGACCCTGTGATGCATTCATTAATACTTTCATTTTACAAGTGAAGTTAAGTGGTTTACCCAAAGCCCTGCTTCTCTAAATTATAAGAAACAAGAGTCGGATTAAGGTCTTCCAGATCACGAATTCTACCATATCACACTACCTCTCTCTACTATTATTTCTACTACAAATAATAATTACATTTTTATTTTATTTTATTTTATTTTATTTTATTATACTTTAAGTTTTAGGGTACATGTGCACAATGTGCAGGTTTGTTACATACGTATACATGTGCCATGTTGGTGTGCTGCACCCATTAACTCTTCATTTAACATTAGGTATATCTCCTAATGCTAGCCCTCCCCCCTCCCCCCACCCCACAACAGGGCCCGGTGTGTGATGTTCCCCTTCCTGTGTCCATGTGTTCTCATTGTTCAGTTCTCAATGACCAACAATGATAGACTGGACTAAGAAAATGTGGCACATATACACCATGGAATACTATGCAGCCATAATTACATTTTAAATGACTCTTAAACAAGAGACATTGAGAATTTATAATATGCCAGGCAGTGTTACGTGGTTGATATTCGTTATTATATTCAAAACAACAATGTGAGATACAAACTTCATATGAAGCATTTTACAGATAAGGAAACTGAGGTTCAGGATATTTAAGAAATGTTTTAAGATTACAAAGCTATTACATAACAAAACTGGGAACAAAACTTCAATCTCCCTGCACCTGGAGTCTGTGTACTTAGGCAGGATGAATTACTTGAAATTATTTTCAGCAAGGCCTCTTTGTGGGCCTTCGTGGAAATTGCTGAATCTCTTAAAGCAAAGGTGATATAATGAACCTGTTCTCTGGTGACTGCTGAGCACATGGTGTTGGTGGGTACTATGACATTTATCTCACAGATTCCTATCATCAAGGATCCAAGTGAAGTGAGAATTTAGATACAAGGTTAAGGAACCCCAAGATGGAATACAATGGTCATGTAGATTTCAGAAAATGCATGAATTTAACTCTACAGGAAGTGTGAAGCCATAGAGATAGAACCTGTGAGAAGACGTTACTGTAGCTAAGTGGTTGTGAATGATACCACATTAACCCATTAAATTCTCCTCAGTGAAGAACACCCCCACGCCCCATCATGCCTGTTTGGAGGTGATTGTGTTAGGACATGTAATATGCAAAACACAGGTCAGGCTATGGGTATAATTCTATGTGTGGGGATCACGTGTGTTAAGACACAGATTACACAAAACATAGGGCAGGCTGCGGGTATAATACTGTGTGTGAGGATCACGTGTGTTAGGACACGGATTACACAAAACATAGGGCAGGCTATGGGTATAGTTCTCTGTGTGAGGATCACGTAAAATGGAATCACGCAGAAAAAATGAGGAATAAATGAATGAGTTTTGTTTGTTTGTTTTTTTAATGGGATGTCTTGGCCAGAAAAAAGGTAAGGGTATGGATGTTCTTGGAGTCAAATGATATTAAGTCAAAAGGAACAAAATAGAACCTTTTGTGATCACTTAAAACTCCTGGAGTAGGTCACTCACAAGAGTAGGATTAGCTAAAGTCAGAAAGGTTTGAAGCTAGAAATCAGAGAACTACCAGAAGGACATTTCATTAATCTAAATGTATTAGTTAGCCAGGGTCTAGACAAGGACTTTACAGAAAACAAAGTAAAGAAAGGGCTAAATGTAATGAAATAGGACTTGAAATGGACATAAGAGATTTAAGATAAGAAGCATTGAATTTAAACCCCATTTACATCTGTGAGAACAATGTAATAAATTTTCATAATAAGTAAAAACAATGGCAGCTCATTCAAAGTATTTGCCAGCCCATCTTCTCCATGGAGATTATATAAAAATTAAGATGAATGAAATTCATTATTATTTCTATTGCTGGGGCATAAAGATATTCTATTTGCTGTGTAGATGATCAACTTAGTTTCCCAAAAAAGTCAGGAGATAAAAATAAAAAAGCGATTTTATCAAATCTTTTCAACATGTTGATGGATTAAAATATTAAAATATTGATTTTTAATTTGCCTATTAACACTGTGATCTACAAGCTATATCTACAACATGCTGTCAGCTTGGATAAATATTATTTAGTATTTAAATTATTTCTAAAAACTGTTTTTAGTGTTTTAGGCTAATGATTCCAAGGCACTTCAGATTGCATTAAAATTATGAATTTCACAGACACTCCTTTTATTTTTTTTTAACCATTCTTATTAGCATTTTCAGGTTTTAGAGGCTTTTAATACCTTGTTGCAGACCCAGAGAACTCCGGCTCCTGGCACCTAGTCAAGAGGTGAGGTTACATAACATGTGGTCTTTCATCAGCTGTGTTGTGTGTGTAAAATCTCTTTCCAATTTCTCTTCATGATGTTGGTTTTCTGAACTTAAATCTTTCAACTTATTAGATGAGTGTAGGAGAATGTGTTAAATCTGCATATGTCACAGTCTTCTGCTGAACACAGATCTGATCTTCACGGTCTTTGGTGAAGCTGAGACATGCAAATATGTACCAGAAGTTGCAGGGCATCTCTACTGAACATACCAGACTAGCTGCCAGGAATGCTGGCTGCTGTCTCTGGGGTCTGAAAGACACTGGGGAATTCCTCATAACTTGTTACACTTTTCTCTAAGCATGCTCCTAAAATTACAGGGGAAGTAACTCAGTCATCTAAGTTAAAGATATTAAAACCAGTGTCAAAAGAAATAGGCAATCACTCTCACCCCTTCTATTCAACATAGTACAGGGAGTCCTAGCCAGAATAATTAGGCAAGAACGAGAGAAAAATAGGCTGGGCGCTGTGGCTCACGCCTGTAATCCCAGCACTTTGGGAGGCCAAGGTGGGCAGATCACGAAGTCAAGAGATCCAGGCCATCCTGGCCAACATGGTGAAACCCTGTCTCTACTAAAAATACAAAAAATAGCTGGGTGTGGCGGTGTGCGCCTGTAGTCCCAGCTACTCAGGAGGCTGAGGCAGGAGAATCGCTTGAACTTGGGGGGTAGAGTTCGCAGTGAACTGAGATTGTGTCACTGCACTCCTGCCTGGGAGGCTGAGGGAGGCTCCGATTCAATTTTTATATATTTTTATATATATCTGACATGATTTTTATATATAGAAAACTCTAAGGAATCCACTAAAAATGTGTCAGAAATAATAAATGAACTCAGTAAAATTTCAAGATATAAATTCAACATAAAAAAATCAGAAGAGTTACTCTACACTAACAGTGAACTACCTGAAGAAGAAATCAAGAGCTATTTACAAGAGCTAAAAAATAATAAAATACTTAGGAATAAATTCAACAAAGGAGGTGAAAAAACAGTATGCCAAAAACTCATAAACATTGATGAAAAAATAGAATAAATAAATGAAAAGATATCTGTATTTACAGATTGGAAGAAATAAATTGTTAAAATGTCCATACTGTCCTAAGAGATCTCGATATTCAAGCATACATTTTTCATAGAAATAGAAAAAAAATCCCAAAATGTGTATGGAAATCAGCAGACCCAGAATAGCTAAACAAACAAACAAAAAAAACTTGAGAGAAAAGAGCAAAGCTGAAGGCATCACATTTCCTGATTTTAAACTATATTACAAAGCTGTAACAATCAAAAGAGAATGGTAATGGCATAAAAACTGAAAAATAGACTAATAGGAAAGAATAGAGAACCCAGAAATAAATCCACACATTCACAGCCAACTGATTTTTAACACAAGCGCCAAGAATACACAACTAGGAAATGATAGTCTCTTCAATAAATGATATTGAAGTAACTAGATAACCATGTGCATACAAATAAAATTAGACCTTCTCTCACACTATATACAAAAATCAACTCAAAATAGATTAAAGACAGGCTGGATGCAGTGGCTCATGCCTGTAATCTCACCACTTTGGGAGGCTGAGACGGGCAGATCACTTGAGGTCAGGAGTTCAAGACCAGCCTGGCCAACATGGTGAAACCCCATCTCTACTAAAAATACAAAAATTAGCCAGACCTGGTGGCAGGCACCTGTAATCTCAGCTACTTGGGAGGCTGAGGCAGGAGAATTGCTTGTACCTGGGAGGTGGAGGAGATTGCAGTGAGCTGAGATTTTGCCTCTGCACTCCAGCCTGGGCAGCAAGAGCGAGACTCCGTTAAAAAAAAAAAAAAAAAAAAAAAAAAAAAAAAAAAAAAACTATAAAACCACTATCAGTAAACATAGAGGAAAAACTTCATGACATTGGTCTGAGCAATAATTTTTGAAATATGACACCAGAAGCACTGGCAACAAAAACAAAAATAAGCAAATGGGATTGCATCAAACTAAAAGCTTTGTAGGGCAAAGGGAATGACAGAGTGAAGAGACAACCTAGACAATGGGAGAAAAAAACTGCAAATCATACATCTTATACAGGACAACTATTCAAAATATATCAGGAACTCAAACTACCTAATAGCATGAAAACAAATAACCTGATTAAAAATTTGGCAAAGGACCCGAATAGACATTTCTTAAAGGAAGACATACAAATGGCCAACAGATACATTAAAAATGCTCAATATCGGTAATCATGAGAGAAAAACTAATTGAAACCACCGTGAGGTATCACCTCACACCTGTTAGAATAGCTTTTACCAAAAAGTCAACCGATAACAAGTGCTGGAGCAGATATGGAGAAAAGGAGCCCCTTGAACACTGTTGGTGGGAATGTAAATTCATACAACCATTATGGAAAACAGCATGGAGTTTCCTCAAAAAGTTAAAAATAGAACTACCACATGATCTAGCAATCCTACAACTGTATATGTATCCAAAGAAAATGAAATTGGTGTGTTGAAGAGATACCCCACTCCCATGTTCATTACAGCATTATTTAAAATAGGTAAGGTACAAAATTAACCTAACTGTCTATCAATGGATGAATAAATAACGAAACTATGGTAAGTATACATAATGGAATACTAGTCAATCATTAAAAAAGAAAATTCTGTTATGTGAGAAAATGTAAATATACCCTAGGACATTATGTTAAGTGAAATAAGCCAGGCACTGAAAAACAAATACAGCATCATCTCTCTTGTGTGTAAAATCTATAAAATCTAAAAAAGTTGAACTCAGAAATAGAAAGTGGACTGATGGGTACTAAGAGATAGGGTGGTTTGTTAGGAACACAGGGAATGAGGGAAATATTTGTCATGTGAAACAAAATTTTAATTACACAGGAGGAGTAAGTTGAAAAGATCAATTGCACAACATAATGACTATAGTTACTAGCAATATATTGTATCCTGGAAAAATACCAAGAGAGTGGATTTTAAATGTTCTCATCACAAAAATGATAACTATGTGAGGTAATACGTATGTTGATTAGCTCCATTTAGCCATTTCACAACGTATACATATTTCAAAACATTATATTGTGGAGAATAAATATACATCACTTTATCAATTTTAAAAAGTAAAAATAAGTGAATAAATGGATATATATATATATACACATACTAAAAAGTTTTGGTGAGGATGTAGAAGATATGGCACCATCTTATGTTGCTAGTGGGGTTGTAAAGTAGTTCAGCTGCTTAGGAAAAGAGTTTAGCAGTTCCTTAAAATGTTAAACATAGACCTATTGACATTATATTGAATTGAAAACACACACATACAAAAGCCTGCACAGTTTCTAGCAGCGTTATTCATAATTGCCAAAGAGCAGAATCAACCCAATGCCCATCAACTGTTACATGGATAAACAAATTGTGGTCTATCCATATAATGGAATATCATTCAGAAATAAAAAAGGATGAAATATTGATACATACTACAACATTGAAAAATTTGAAAACATTATGCAAAGTGAAAGAATCCAGTCAAAAAGACAACATATTCTATAGTTACATTTATATAAAATGTCCAGAAAGGGCAAATAATATAGACCCAGAAAGTAGATTATTTTTTGCTTACAATTGAGGTTGGGGGATATGGGGAATGACTGCTAATGGGTACTGGGCTTATCTCTTGGTTTTCCTTTATCCTTGTTGATAAAAATGTTCTAAAACTAGTTGTGACAGTGGTTGCACAACTCTGCAAATACACTAAAACCACTAAATTTGAAACATCTTAAATGGGTAAATTGTATGGCATGTGACTTATATCTCAATAAAATTGTTTTATTTTTTAAAATGAGCAATCATAGCTTCTTTTCTAATTTTAACAAGAGTATGAAGGTTTTTGCATTAATCAAAGACACACACACATACCATAAAATGTCATTAACACCTATCTAGTTTCTATTTGCAAAGAAAGAGGACAAGAGGTCAATAATATTATTAATGTCAAACAAGAATGGGAGAACTATCAAAATTAAATGTTTTTCTTGAAAATGAAAGCAAACAGAAATGCTTATCCTCAAAAGTATAATCACTGAAAAACACATTGAAATATTTTTTGATTTGCAAAAAAAAATCAAGTTAGTCAAACTGTTTATGTATAAAATTTTGTCATAATCTTAAAATTGCTATAACTCTGTACAAATGCTAATAATTATTATTCAATGTATATACTGGAAAAAGTACCCAAATACTATTTCTGTTGATATTGTCCTTTAATTGTGTGTGTAACATTAAAAACAATTGGCATGCTTGCTCTAATGCATGGATCAGAAAATCCAGAAGTAGTTTTTGGATCCATTTTGTTCATTGTGCTATTAAGTCTTTACAAATATACTGTATGGTCAATATTATTTTTAGTGTACCCTGAAGAAGGTAAATATAAAGGAGGCCAGGAGGCTTGGTGAGGTTGCACAGCTAGATCTCTGTTCACACTGGGGAGAATACTGGGCTCCTGCCACCAAATGAAGGCTGGGCTGCCTTGCACCTGTCACTCCAGAGATTGACAGATGGAGGCGGGGACCAGCAATCTCCATGAAGGTGCAGTCAAGTCTCAGCTTTATGGTGGGATGGATTCAGCGGGTCATGGGTCAGCTGTTGTCCAAAACTGTCTGGAATGAAATAAGGAAGGCTGAGTAGTTCGAGGGACGCATATTAGGGGCTGATATGACCACAGAGCCAAAGCCTTTTCTCCAGTATAACTTTTATTAGAAATAACTGAGCTATTTTAATTCCAGATTCCTGACATCCTGTGTGAACCTCTCAGTTGGCTACAATCTTGGGAGCAAAGATGGATAATATTTATTGGGCACTTTTTCCAACGTTTCACAAACCTGAATAATAGAGGTAAGACTAAACCGAGACATTGTAATTCTAAGTACAGGGACCTTTTAGTAATCAAATATGCTTTTTGAGAGTTGAATGTTCTATCAGGTCCTTGAGGAGACATCTCTGGTCTCAAATTATGTTCTGCATCTACTCATAGTGACATAGGGAACACTTGCTGTCATTCTATAATTAGTGATAAAATTCAAGATGGAAATATTAAGGTAATTTGTGAGAAATACTCTGATTTAAACACAGGAGTCCAGTTTATTTTTAACTGTGTCAATTTTTCCTAGAAATAAAACTCACATTGGGGTTGGGGTGGACTGATCACTGCAAGAATGTTTTGATGATCTACACAAAGAGATTTGAGGGGCTTGGATATTGGCCTCTGAAGATTAAAAGAGGTAGGTGGATCTGACAACTGAGTAGGAAGTAGAATAAAATGCAAAGAACATGAAGAAGTCATTTGCAGGAACAAAGAGTGAATTGTCCTCTATAGACAAAAGTTACAATCCCTTTTTGTGTATAAATAAATTACAATTAATATAATATTAAGACACTACTTCCTCTGCCTATCAAATAGCAAAGATTTTAAAGAGAATTGGAGAGTGAAGAAATAGCATAAATTGGTGCAATCTTTTGTAATGATATTTTAATTGTGTATTAAAAGTTTTAAAATGTGCATAGTCTGTGATTGATTTTTCTCTTTCAAAATTCATCCTACAGAAACAACCTGAGATATATATAAAGTATACATATTTATGGAAATTAAAAATTATCAACAGAAAATATGGAAACAATTTCTTTTATGCTGAGTTAAGGATACAAAGTATGCACAGATCATAGAACCTTGGTAGCATTTCTCCCTTGTAGAATAGCAGCTGTTATTGTCAGAAAATATTTATATTAAACTAAGTTCAAAAATCAAACCATGGTATAATACACCCTTTAATGTTGTTTTTTACAAAAACGTACACGGAAAACAATAGAACAAATGTAAGAGAGGAAGAAAGAGAAGAAAAGGACACGTCATTATTAACCATCTTTCAGGAAGTAGAGTTTCAGTTATGTTTTTATGAATTATTGTTTTTCTTTCACTTTTCTGGGTTTCCTAAATACTCTGTATTGATTATTTAGTGTTAGGATAATTAGGAATATAATTTTCCTTTTAAAGTTTAATAACTTTGTGGAAGTCACTTCCAGTTGTCTAGCCAGTTCTTATTCATTCACATTTCCTCCTTTCTAATAGATCCTCATTTTTGTATGAAGTTGCAATATGCCCAATTTAAAGTACTCACCTGCTCCAAATGCCTTGCAGATAGGGTTTGCTATAAAGTGTGAGCAATTATGTGTTAATGTAAGTGACTTTGGTTGTATGTACCTTTTGGACTTTCACATTTTACCCTTTACTCTACTATATCTTCTTTCTGCCTATAACACAAATGTGATGCCTAGAGATGGAGCAGCCGTGTTATTAATGTAAGAATGAAAAGTCCCAAGCTAGACAAAAACTTAGAAGAAACTCTGGTCCTGAATAACTTCATCAAGCTGTTGCTCAAGCCTTGTACTACCATCTACATGAGTTTCTTTCTACCTAAATGAAAATCAGTCTTCATGTGTGCAAATCACTCTGGACTAATTTCCTTTGCATATAACGAAATTCAGTCTTAACTGACACAAAGGAGAAGAAAATCATTAATTTACACTCTACTCTGAATTGTAAATGATGATGGATAGAATGAATCTAGTAAACATTTGAATTGGGGGAACTAAAAGATGAAAAGATACAGAAAACATTTTCGGAGTAGGGAATTTTTCTTACATCTTTACTGTATTTGAAAATGTGGGGCACCAAGGAATACCTGATGGGGGTGTGTTAGTGTGATTTCTATCTCAACTTCAGAACACTGGGGAATAGTTACTACCTCAGTTTCCCTTGATAGCCAACTGGCTACTGTTATGTGATTAGATATGTTGATCTCTTAGTAGAAAAGATTAAAATAATAATTCTTATATAGTTGAACATTTTATGTAAAAAGATTTCAATGGCCACATTACATATGATCAAATAGAATTCTCACATTTAAAAATAGGATGATAAATAAAATACTTTTAAAAGGAAAGATAATTTTGACCATTGAACACGAATCAGCCCTGGAAAAACCAAGAGCACATAATGTTCATGCTTTTGGCCTTTCTTAAGACTTCATCTACCTGTATACAGGATTCTTACCCTACGTTATTTCAAAGGTAATCCCTGTTCCAAAATCCTCATCTTTTTTCCTTCTTTGCTAGAGTATGAAAATGCTTTCCACATTGTCCACAGCTAGTAGCCCCTTCTAGACATGGGTTAAAATCACCCAGCACTAGAAGCTGTGCCATTACAACACGTGCATTTTTCTTAATGACGGCCAATGAACCATAACAAAATTGAAACTTCCCTCTCTGGTAGTGATCAGACAGGTTCAAAAAGAATATTTGATGAGATGCCAAGCCAGCACATTGCTGCCATTATAAAAGCAACGCCCACACCCAAATCAGCCAGGCTTTTCTTCTCTGTTATAGAACAGCTGCCTCCCATAGTGAGCCGGATTTAGCGCAAGATCAAAAATCTCGACGCCTTCTATGTGGGTTCTGTGACATTTCACAGTTGCATGGGACCCAGGTAAAACCATTAAAAAATACTTTGGGACTATTTCAAGGAGAAAATAGAAACACAAGGCCCTGTTATCCAGTGTCATTAGACTTTTTCTTATACTACGTGGAGCTGTCCCCTTAGAAACCTCAGTGAAGTGTTGGGAGCAAGCAGCCTGATCCTTAATTCATTCCTGCATTCATGTATTGAGTACATATCTATTGAGAAAATATTATAACTAAAACATTAGGATTAAAGTGCTGTACTAAGCTGCTTCTGCTTCTGGTTCAAACATTTTGCTTTTTTTTTAATAAAAAAAATATTTCTTTGAAACAAGGTTTTACTCTGTTGCCCAGGCTGGAGTGCAGTGGAGTGATCGTGACTCACTGCAGGCTTGACCTCCTTGGCTCAAGCAATCCTCCTACTTCAACCTCCCGAGTAGCTGGGACTATCTAGGTTTTTGTTTTCTTTTGTTTTGTTTCGTAGAGATGAGGTTTTACTATATTGTCCAGGCTGGTCTTGAACTCCTGGGCTCAAGCTATCCTCCCACCTGGGCCTCAGAAAGTGCTGGGATTACAAATGTCAGCCACCAACCAGGCCTTAGTTTGCTGTTTTTATTGTTACTTCAAAGCACTATTGTTATTCCAAACACCTTCATTGTATCTATTATAAGAAATGTTCTAATCAAGTTGAAGCAAGCTATGATTCTACTCCATTCAATTTCACATTTCACAATCTCAATGCTATAAGCACCAAAAATGTGCTTTCTGTTATTTAATCTATTTTAGAGTGAGGTCTTCACTCTTATTTTATGTGCTAATCAACCTGTAGCATCTTATCTATTCTATTGTGCAGGTATATAACATATAATTGGTGAAATAACAGAATCTCAGTCAGAATGGACTGAACACTATTCTGCAGCACATCAAAAGCAAGGCTTTCAAATGCTACTTGGATAACGTAATTCTTAGAAAGGTAGCTTTTGTACTGCATTGACATCTACTTTTGTTGGTTCTTGTTCTACATTCAAGAGACACAGAAACGTCTAAACGTTCTCTCATATAACAGCCCTACAAGGTTTTGATTTTACTCCACAAATGCTGATTCTTCCCCATCCCAGTCTTAACAAATTTACCTCTTTTTCTAGATAAACTTCCTCAGGTTTGTCAAATAATCCTCCTAGACACACCTGCAAACCCATCCTTATTCGTCTTCTCTGGATGAATTTTAGTTTGTCAATGTCCCTTTTAAAGTGTGAACATAAGTGGTAGGTGTGGTCTGTTAAGTTCATAGAATAGCAAGAATGCTGTCTTCCTCCTGACTGGCACTATAACCTGACAAAGTCGGCTTTGTTCACATTTGCATTTTGGGCCACTTCACTGTCTAATGTTGAGCTTTTCGTCAATTAAGACCCCTAGATCTTTTTCATGCACAATGCTATCAACCCTATTTATAACTACAGATTTTGTATTTGAAGGCAGTCTATAGGACTTAATCCTCTCTAAAGCTCTCATCTTTTGGACTTAGTGTAGCATTTCATAATGATATCTATTATATTTCACATCCTCAGTTTGATTCTTTTCTACACCTTTTCAGGGTTGTGTCTGTTTCTGACAATTTTAAATGTGAGGCTGATAATTTCATGACTTTATTCAAAAAACTTCAAAAATACCTAAAAATCCATCTAATTAGGTAAAAATTCCTAGCTTAGGATTTAATTCTCTCCTATTACCTCACCTGATACTTCTAGTCTCAATTCCAGATGAGAAGTCGCAGATATGACTTGCACCCTTGTGCCCTGGCATAACCCCCTCCCCCAAACAACCTAAGCCACATTTTTTTTTGTAGTTTATAAGGAGCCACATTATCAACTAGCACAGCTTCAGAGATGGTCTGAGTGTTACAGGAGCTACTATTTATGGAAACTCACTGAAAATATCTAAGCTTTAAGCAATTGCAGGTTAATTATCTTTAGAAAAATAATCTGCTTCCTGCAAGATGTTTCCCAGCCTTTATGCTTTGAGATAATATTAATTTTAATTAATAACATATGCTACAAATTATCACTATATTTAAAGTTTCATTGCAGCTCAAATTTTTGAAATGCCATTGACCTTAAAAGATCCACCACTATACTGTTTCTCCTGATGCATCCATCTAATGCATCCTCTTCCTTCATTAAAATTTCATCACATTCTGCTTGCTTTATCAAAAATGTTGTACTCTAACTTACTGTATAATAGGCTCTATACTTTGCTTTCACCCTTCATCTTATACCTCAACCCTAAAACTATAAGATTCTTGAAAATTATGTTTGTTTTTCAATCATTCTCAACATCAATATCTGCTAATACAAAGCAGGTGCTGCATTACTATTAATTAAATGGAATTAAATTAGTATTTCTCTCTATATTAAGCCATTTTGCATTGATACAAAGAAATGCCTGAGACTGGGTAATTTATAAAGGAAAGGGGCTTAACTGGCTCATGGTTCTGCAGGCTGTACAGGAAGCATGGTGCTGACATCTGCTCAGCTTCTGCTGAAGTCTCAGGGAACTTTCAATCATGGCAGAAGCTGAAGCAGGAGCAGGTACATCACGTGGAGAAAGCAGGAGCAAGAGATAGAGAGAGTAAGAGAGAGGTGCCCACACTTATAATGACTTGATCTCATGAGAACTCACTCACTATTGCCAAGACAGCACCAAGCCCCACCTCCAGCACTGAGGATTACAATTCATTATGAAATTTGGGTGGGGACAAATACCCAAACTACATCTTATGATTTTTCATGCACAAATTCCATCAGAAACCCAGAAATTGATGTTTAAAAAATGTGTATGGAGTGCTTTTCTGTTTTGTACATTATTTTAGAAATAGTTGAGTTCTCATCTAAAATCTTTCTTTGACGTTTGAAATAGAGGAAAAGAAGAGAGTCAGGCTGTAAGATGGGTCTTCCAGGAGGATGGTAGGACCAGCAGGGTGATAAAGGAGGACATGCCATCCCAGAGAATAGCAGTGCTGTATGTGCACTCTAGGATTTGAGAAACAGAAGCAACACAACCTGCATCTCGGCTCTCTGCTTCCATCTTAGAACTGAATTTAAGTCATGACATGGTACCATGTATGATGGCCATCTTTTTACTAGTAGTTGGCCAGATCAACCAACACATTGCTATCAAAACCATTTCCATGGTCTGGGAAGATGGGAAGCAGAATTGATGAACGTTAAGTTTCATTCATCTGGCTCAATATTGCATGAAAATGTGGGTAAAGTCTGTGTCGAGTCTGTGGATCTAAGAAACATATGAACCCTTCTTTTCATCTTCTGTAATAACCTCTTGATATAATCCATTTCCTATAATGTTTATATGTTAATATACATAAAGTATAAATGCATGAACTTCAGTTTATGTGTTTACATCTGCAGCTCGCTTGTACCAAGTTTGTAATGTGAAAAAAGTCTTATTAGAGCCTATGTCTCTTTGAGAATATCAGGAAATCAGGTCAATGCATCAAGAAGTTTATTTATCTGATAGACTTAAGGTAATAGGAATTAAACAATGAGAAGCAAAATAGAAGAAAGATGTTAGAAGGTTTGAGACAAGTGACAGACTGACATAAAAGAATAGGAAAAAGGAAAAGTAGTTTGATTTTATATGATCTGAAATGTTTCCCATTTATTTACATTACCTGAAACCACAGTAGCATAGACATGCATACTCTAACTTCATGCCACTGACATTCTTTGCAGCAGCAAGAATAAATTGCCTAAATAATAGATAACAGTTGATCAGGAAGAGCAATGTCCTAGCAGAGCTGAGACAACAGTGAGGAAATTAATGGACTAATATACCTATCATATTCATATCTTCAGTGACAAGTTATGTTTCCTATTTCTGAAATGTGTTTTGCATTATTAGTCAGAGCAGTATCTCTTATGTATTATTTTCCTACAAAATAATCTTTAGGTTTAATTCAAAAGTATTATGAACAGGTGTTAGATATGTCTTGATTACATCATTATGCAGTTTACAGAAATGCATTAACAAAAAGAAAGTGTTAATGTAACTGAAGCTCGATTCTAAGCAGGATGTTCATATTTTCTTTAAGTGGATACATGAAAATAAATAATGCAACATATACATAATGTACACTAGAAAGTTATTCTACTATTCAATATCTGTTTTGTCTGTCAATGTTCAATCAAACGTGATTAAAATGTAAGAGAAGACATTTTCTCAAGACATTGTTAAAAGTCAAAAAGTTTTTCTCGTCTGTTTTTTTCCCCATCTTTGTGGTTTTATCTACTTTTGGTCTTTGATGATGGTGATGTACAGATGGGTTTTTGGTGTGGATGTCCTTTCTGTTTGTTAGTTTTCCTTCTAACAGACAGGACCCTCAGCTGCAGGTCTGTTGGAATACCCTGCTGTGTGAGGTGTCAGTGTGCCCCTGCTGGGGGGTGCCTCCCAGTTAGGCTGCTCGGGGGTCAGGGGTCAGGGACCCACTTGAGGAGGCAGTCTGCCCATTCTCAGATCTCCAGCTGCGTGCTGGGAGAACCACTGCTCTCTTCAAAGCTGTCAGACAGGGACATTTAAGTCTGCAGAGGTTACTGCTGTCTTTTTTTTTTTTTTTTTTTTGAGACGGAGTTTCGCTCTGTCGCCCAGGCTGGAGTGCAGTGGCGCGATCTCGACTCACTGCAAGCTCCGCCTCCCGGGTTCACGCCATTCTCCTGCCTCAGCCTCCTGTGTAGCTGGGACTACAGGCACGCGCCACCATGCCCGGCTAATTTTTGTATTTTTAGTAGAGACGGGGTTTCACCGTGTTAGCCAGGATGGTCTCGATCTCCTGACCTCGTGATCCGCCCGTCTCGGCCTCCCAAAGTGCTGGTATTACAGGCGTGAGCCACCGCGCCCGGCCACTGCTGTCTTTTTGTTTGTCTGTGCCCTGCCCCGAGAGGTGGAACCTACAGAGGCAGGCAGGCCTCCTTGAGCTGTGGTGGGCTCCACCCAGTTCCAGCTTCCTGGCTGCTTTGTTTACCTAAGCAAGCCTGGGCAATGGCGGGCGCCCCTCCCCCAGCCTCACTGCCGCCTTGCAGTTTGATCTCAGACTGCTGTGCTAGCAATCAGCGAGACTCCATGGGCGTAGGACCCTCCGAGCCATGTGCGGGATATAATCTCGTGCTGTGCCGTTTTTTAAGCCCAATGGAAAAGCGCAGTATTTGGGTGGGAGTGACCCGATTTTCCAGGTGCCGTCAGTCACCCCTTTCTTTGACTAGGAAAGGGAACTCCCTGACCCCTTGCACTTCCCGAGTGAGGCAATGCCTCGCCCTGCTTCGGCTCGCGCATGGTGCATGCACCCACTGACCTGCGCCCACTGTCTGGCACTCCCTAGTGAGATGAGCCCGGTACCTCAGATGGAAATGCAGAAATCACCCATCTTCTGCGTCGCTTTCGCTGGGAGCTGTAGACAGGAGCTGTTCCTATTCGGCCATCTTGGCTCCTCCGAAAAACTGGAAACTCTAAAAAGCAGAGCGCCTCTCCTCCTCCAAAGGAACGCAGTTCTTCACCAGCAACGGAACAAAGCTGGAGGGAGAATGACTTTGACGAGCTGAGAGAAGAAGGCTTCAGATGATCAAATTACTCTGAGCTACGGGAGGACATTCAAACCAAGGGCAAAGAAGTTGAAAACTTTGAAAAAAATTTAGAAGAATGTATAACTAGAATAACCAATACAGAGAAGTGCTTAAAGGAGCTGATGAAGCTGAAAACCAAGGCTCGAGAACTACGTGAAGAATGCAGAAGCCTCAGGAGCCGATGTGATCAACTGGAAGAAAGGGTATCAGCAATGGAAGATGAAATGAATGAAATGAAGCGAGAAGGGAAGTTTAGAGAAAAAAGAATAAAAAGAAATGAGCAAACCCTCCAAGAAATATGGGACTATGTGAAAAGACCAAATCTACATCTGATTGGTGTACCTGAAAGTGATGGGGAGAATGGAACCAAGTTGGAAAACACTCTGCAGGATATTATCCATGAGAACTTCCCCAATCTAGCAAGGCAGGCCAACGTTCAGATTCAGGAAATACAGAGAACGCCACAAAGATACTCCTCGAGAAGAGCAACTCCAAGACAGATAATTGCCAGATTCACCAAAGTTGAAATGAAGGAAAAAATGTTAAGGGCAGCAAGAGAGAAAGATCGGGTTACCCTCAAAGGGAAGCCCATCAGACTAACAGCAGATCTCTCGGCAGAAACCCTACAAGCCAGAAGAGAGTGGGGGCCAATATTCAACATTCTTAAAGAAAAGGATTTTCAACCCAGAATTTCATATCCAGCCAAACTAAGCTTCATAAGTGAAGGAGAAATAAAATACTTTACAGACAAGCAAATGCTGAGAGATTTTGTCACCAGCAGGCCTGACCTAAAAGAGCTCCTGAAGGAAGCGCTAAACATGGAAAGGAACAACCAGTACCAGCCGCTGCAAAATCATGCCAAAATGTAAAGACCATCGAGACTAGGAAGAAACTGAATCAACTAACGAAGAAAATAACCAGCTAACATCATCATGACAGGATCAAATTCATACATAATAATATTAACTTTAAATGTAAATGGACTAAATGCTCCAATTAAAAGACAGACTGGCAAATTGGATAAAGAGTCAAGACCCATTAGTGTGCTGTATTCAGGAAACCCATCTCACGTGCAGAGACACACATAGGCTCAAAATAAAAGGATGGAGGAAGATCTACCAAGCAAATGGAAAACAAAAAAAGGCAGCAGTTGCAATCCTAGTCTCTGATAAAACAGACTTTAAACCAACAAAGATCAAAAGAGACAAGGCCATTACATAATGGTAAAGGGATCAATTCAACAAGAAGAGCTAACTATCCTAAATATATATGCACCCAATACAGGAGCACCCAGATTTATAAAGCAAGTCCTGAGTGACCTACAAAGAGACTTAGACTCCCACACATTAATAATGGGAGACTTTAACACCCCACTGTCAACATTAGACAGATCAACGCGACAGAAAGTCAACAAGGATACCCAGGAATTGAACTCAGCTCTGCACCAAGTGGACCTAATAGACATCTACAGAACTCTCCACCCCAAATCAACAGAATATACATTTTTTTCAGCACCACACCACACCTATTCCAAAATTGACCACATAGTTGGAAGTAAAGCTCTCCTCAGCAAATGTAAAAGAACAGAAATTATAACAAACTATCTCTCAGACCACAGTGCAATCAAACTAGAACTCAGGATTAAGAAACTCACTCAAAACCGCTCAACTACATGGAAACTGAACAACCTGCTCCTGAATGACTACTGGGTACATAACAAAATGAAGGCAGAAATAAAGATGTTCTTTGAAACCAACGAGAACAAAGACACAACATACCAGAATCTCTGGGAAGCATTCAAAGCAGTGTGTAGAGGGAAATTTATAGCACTAAATGCCCACAAGAGAAAGCAGGAAAGATCCAAAATTGACACCCTAACATCACAATTAAAAGAACTAGAAAAGCAAGAGCAAACACATTCAAAAGCTAGCAGAAGGCAAGAAATAACTAAAATCAGAGCAGAACTGAAGGAAATAGAGACACAAAAAACCCTTCAAAAAATTAATGAATCCAGGAGCTGGTTTTTTGAAAGGATCAACAAAATAGATAGACGGCTAGCAAGACTAATAAAGAAAAAAAGAGAGAAGAATCAAATAGATGCAATAAAAAATGATAAAGGGGATATCACCACTGATCCCACAGAAATACAAACTACCATCAGAGAATACTACAAACACCTCTATGCAAATAAACTAGAAAATCTAGAAGAAATGGATAAATTCCTCGACACATACACTCTCCCAAGACTAAACCAGGAAGAAGTTGAATCTCTGAATAGACCAATAACAGGATCTGAAATTGTGGCAATAATCAATAGCCTACCAATCAAAAACAGTCCAGGACCAGATGGATTCACAGCCGAATTCTACCAGAGGTACAAGGAGGAACTGGTACCATTCCTTCTGAAACCATTCCAATCAATAGAAAAAGAGGGAATCCTCCCTAACTCATTTTATGAGGCCAGCATCATGCTGATACCAAAGCCGGGCAGAGACGCAACCAAAAAAGAGAATTTTAGACCAATATCCTTGATGAACATTGATGCAAAAATCCTCAATAAAATACTGGCAAAACGAATCCAGCAGCACATCAAAAAGCTTATCCACCATGATCAAGTGGGCTTCATCCCTGGGATGCAAGGCTGGTTCAATATACGCAAATCAATAAATGTAATCCAGCATATAAACAGAGCCAAAGACAAAAACCACATGATTATCTCAATAGATGCAGAAAAGGCCTTTGACAAAATTCAACAACCCTTCTTGCTAAAAACTCTCAATAAATTAGGTATTGATGGGATGTATTTCAAAATAATAAGAGCTATCTATGACAAATCCACAGCCATACTGAATGGGCAAAAACTGGAAGCATTCCCTTTGAAAACTGGAACAAGACATGGATGCCCTCTCTCACCACTCCTATTCAACATAGTGTTGGAAGTTCTGGCCAGGGCAATTAGGCAGGAGAAGGAAATAAAGGGTATTCATTTAGGAAAAGAGGAAGTCAAATTGTCCCTCTTTGCAGACGACATGATTGTATGTCTAGAAAACCCCATTGTCTCAGCCCAAAATCTCCTTAAGCTGATAAGCAACTTCAGCAAAGTCTCAGGATACAAAATCAATGTGCAAAAATCACAAGCATTCTTATACACCAACAACAGACAAACAGAGAGCCAAATCATGAGTGAACTCCCATTCACAATTGCTTCAAAGAGAATAAAATACCTAGGAATCCAACTTACAAGGGATGTGAAGGACCTCTTCAAGGAGAACTACAAACCACTGCTCAAGGAAATAAAAGAGGATACAAACAAATGGAAGAACATTCCATGCTCATGGGTAGGAAGAATCAATATCGTGAAAATGGCCATACTGCCCAAGGTAATTTACAGATTCAATGCCATCCCCATAAAGCTACCAATGCCTTTCTTCACAGAATTGGAAAAAACTACTTTAAAGTTCATATGGAACCAAAAAAGAGCCCGCATCGCCAAGTCAATCCTAAGCCAAAAGAACAAAGCTGGAGGCATCACACTACCTGACTTCAAACTATACTACAAGGCTACAGTAACCAAAACAGCATGGTACTGGTACCAAAACAGAGATATAGATCAATGGAACAGAACAGAGCCCTCAGAAATAATGCCGCATATCTACAACCATCTGATCTTTGACAAACCTGAGAAAAACAAGCAATGGGGAAAGGATTCCCTATTTAATAAATGGTGCTGGGAAAACTGGCTAGCTGTATGTAGAAAGCTGAAACTGGATCCCTTCCTTACACCTTATACAAAAATCAATTCAAGATGGATTAAAGACTTAAATGTTAGACCTAAAACCATAAAAACCCTAGAAGAAAACCTAGGCAATACCATTCAGGACATAGGCATGGGCAAGGACTTCACGTCTAAAACACCAAAAGCAATGGCAACAAAAGACAAAATTGACAAATGGGATCTAACTAAATTAAAGAGCTTCTGCACAGCAAAAGAAACTACCATCAGAGTGAACATGGAACCTACAAAATGGGAGAAAATTTTCGCAACCTACTCATCTGACAAAGGGCTAATATCCAGAATCTACAATGAACTCAAACAAATTTACAAGAAAAAAACAGACAACCCCATGAAAAAGTGGGCAAAGGATATGAACAGACACTTCTCAAAAGAAGACATTTATGCAGCCAAAAGACACATGAAAAAATGCTCATCATCACTGGCCATCAGAGAAATGCAAATCAAAACCACAATGAGATACCATCTCACACCAGTTAGAATGGCAATCATTAAAAAGTCAGGAAACAACAGGTGCTGGAGAGGATGTGGAGAAATAGGAACACTTTTACACTGTTGGTGGGACTGTAAACTAGTTCAACCATTGTGGAAGTCAGTGTGGCGATTCCTCAGGGATCTAGAACTAGAAATACCATTTGACCCAGCCATCCCATTACTGGGTATATACCCAAAGGACTATAAATCATGTTGTTGTAAAGACACATGCACACGTATGTTTATTGTGGCATTATTCACAATAGCAAAGACTTGGAACCAACCCAAATGTCCAACAATGATAGACTGGATTAAGAAAATGTGGCACATATACACTATGGAATACTATGCAGCCATAAAAAATGATGAGTTCATGTCCTTTGTAGGGACATGGATGAAATTGGAAATCATCATTCTCAGTAAACTATCACAAGAACAAAAAACCAAACACCGCATATTCTCACTCATAGGTGGGAATTGAACAATGAGATCACGTGGACACAGGAAGGGGAACATCACACTCTGGGGACTGTTGTGGGGTGGGGGGAGGGGGGAGGGATAGCATTGGGAGATATACCTAATGCTAAATGACAAGTTAATGGGTGCAGGACACCAGCATGGCACATGTATACATATGTAAATAACCTGCACAATGTGCACATGTACCCTAAAACTTAAAGTATAATAATAAAAGAAAAGAAAAAAAAAGTCAAAAATATTTTTTTGTTTTATCTTAACCTTGACAATTTTTCAAACTATGGCATTTCCATATAATATTGTTTAACTGAGTTAGAATTTTTTTAATAACTACATAAAAATTTTTCATAATAAATTATTTCCCCAAAGACTTCATTTCCCCAACATGATTCAGTTCTAAAAGTTTAAATATTGAGAAATATTTGTAAACTAAGAGAGAGAGAGAGAAAGCAGTATTAAAAATTGGAAAGAGATATGCAGTTTTTGGCATATAGAATATTTTAAGTGCCTTGAGTGAATATACAGTTGATTTGTATTCTAAGGATATTCATTTAAGTTATTTTTATGTTAAAATATTCATTCTATAACTTTTCAAGTCTGACAAATCATGAGATTGACTACTTTAAACTCTGATTTGGAAAAAAACCATGAAAATCTCTATCTTCAAAAAGATTTTATTCTGACATCACATTACAATATTTTACATTGACTTAGAAATGTTTCACGAGTGTATAGTGCTTTTGAACTAAGGCCATATCTATAAGACTATAACTAAAAAGGATCAGAATAAAGAAAAACTATTCTAGACAATATTATGAAATTTTTACATACAGTTAGCCTATCAAATTGCAACTGGAAATATTTATTAAAGCCAAGTAAATATTATAATTAGCATTTATCACATATGCATAAGCAATTAAATTCATAAATAATTTTTAAGGTCAGCCTAAAATATCATAAATGTGAATAAATCTTATGTAAGTATACCTTAATATCTCTAGGAAATTATTTATAGCAACATAATACCATCAAAACAATTTAATCATTATAATTTAGAAAGGAATATTTTTTTCTGCCACTATATTCTGAATGCAAACAGAAATTTATCAGTCTTTAAAGTTATCAGGATTTTAACTTTATAAAATATCCTCTTTCAAATTATGTGGTTCAACCAAGCTCAAAGTAGGAGAGTACCAAATATGTTGTTGACCCTACAGTTATTCAGAAACTTAAATTAATAGAGATTTATATAGAAAATTATTAAGTGAAATGAATCTTAACAGAAAGTTATAGAATATACTTGGTGCATGCTATTCTTAAGTAGTTGAATTTTTCATGTTGTGTCATCCATTCAGCTTGAAACCATTACTAACTGGAAGGAAAGCCTAACAAGGTTGAAATCAAAACTTCCTCTTCCTGTAATCAGTTCCTCTAGGTGGAGGCCCCACTGCATGGCTCGCTGTGTTAGCTGTGTATCTAGAGCAAACTGCACCAAGTATCCTTTTTTGCTTGCTGTAGATTTGTACACTGGAAATAAGCTTCATTATGCAGAGTGCATATTCGTGCTTTCCACCTGGTCTGATCCCTCTGAGTTAACAGTATTATTAATTTTTTTAAATTGTGGACTTTGCTCTCTCACAGAAGGAACGAGTCATCATATAGGTTTTTTTTGTATTCAATATTATCTATACCAGTGAATATGTTGTAGTTGTATATTAAAATAACTTAGGAAGATTTTTGTTTTAAATACCAGCACCATGACCTTGCCATTGAAGAATGTGTTTCAGTTGGTTTGGGAATGGTACTAGTGCATCAGCATATTTTAAAATACCTTCAAGGGAACCAAATTGCAGCCACACTTGAAAACCATCAGTAGGCACAAGTCCCAGCGCAAATGGATGACACAGAAAAATGATGAGACTGATGAAAATACAGTCAAAAGAAACGCACCTAAAAGAAATCAGAGGAAATAGTAGTCATTACAGTGTGTCTCCTGTGTGATAGAGGAGAAATTTTGAAAACTGCTTTTAAAAGTATTGCAAACAAGTTTCCAGGATTTATTGCATCTATGAAACAATAGTTTACCCTTCCAAAATTAGTGAAAAAATCTATACAATTACAATAAAACATTAGGATCAGATAAATACTAATGTTTTAAAACTCCAACAATAATGCATGTGGTGTTCAGATTACTTTAGAGTAAGATGGTAAACACTTCAGAATAAGATGGCAAATATTGAGGGATTTTTAAATTTACATATTGAGGAAGTTGTTACAAATGCAGAATTTTTGAACAGCTGAAAATAATGGAAAAAGACAAAGAAGTGTGAGATAAATAAACCTATACTAAATACACAATAAATAATGATAATCCATCTTAAATAATTCATCTATATTTTCTAAAAAAAGAGAATTTTATAAGATACTTGCTGTTGCCTAAATTGCCTTGGAGATGGGAGATTTAAAAAATCTAGAGTATTGACTTATAACAAAATTATCTGGCTGTATATAAATATTTGTCACTTTTCATTTTTTGGTCTGCCAATCCTCCTACACTGCTTCCTACTTTTGCATAAGACTTCGTGCTACACGGAGTTCTACTTCTCCCTACAAAAGCCAGAGTGTTCAGTTTACTTTTTTCTAAGCCTGTTGGTGTCAAAATAGAATCATACATCTCAAAGTCAGTTGAACATAGCATACTGCCAAGGATACTGAAACTGGGGTAGAGAGTGAAAAGAAGAAAGTATTAAATTGGCACCCGATGTTGTAGTGGTCCAGCAAGTGCAACTGCATCTGGTTGCAGTGATGTACAAGGAGGTTGGATTCAGTGGTTAGATTGGCACCCGATGTTGTAGTGGTCCAGCAAGTGCAACTGTATCTGGCTGCAGGGATGTACTAGCAAGGCTGGATTCACTGGTTAGAGTCTCCGAATTTTTGGAATCCTCCTATATATACCCATTTCATTGATTAGTTTCCGATTGTTTTCTGTTCAATGCTTTACATTTTAAATAACTTTTCTTTATATCTTACAGTCTTTGAGTGAAAGCAACTTTAATGATTTTTACTAATGTAAGCAGCCAAATATTATTAGGATATTCGGAAATGCATATATAAACCCATTTCCAAACCTGCCTTAGTAGCCTTTACATATGAGGAAGTTACCTCAGACTGAGAAGATAATTCTCATCCTAACCCCTACTTACCCAGTCTTCATTGCCTGCAGTCCTAGAACTTGAGCAAGAGCTAAGCATTAAATAGGGGTCAAATATACTCAGAAAAAAAATGATATAACAACAGAATTGCAAGACATTTATGCCAACAATATATGCAAGAATTTCTTAGGAATAGGTTCTGAAGGTGTGCATCCAACCAAGATAAAAGATTGCATTGGGGTGAATTTCAAAGTGGACACTTACCCGAAGAGCATGGATAGAGTAGGTAAGCTTGAAGAGTTTAATGTGTTTCTAGCTGTTTGACAAGCTTATTGGCTAAAATTTAGGCCCAGTAAAAGCCTATAAGAGACACAGTCCCAGGAATCCATTGGATTTAACGTAGAAAGAGGGAAAGCCTTTGGAGTGTGCATATGCTACAGTGTTTGTTAAGATTGTTATCTTGATAAAATTCACTAAATGAATCTCCCAAATCCTTAATCATTATAGGTAGGTGATGCCACGGGGAGATCGTACATTGAATTGGGCTCCATAAAAACACTGGGACTGGGGAGTATTTATGTTGTTAGAACCCAAAACACAGCACTTCTCCAGGGAAGGCAAAGGGCTGTTGTGTCCCTAATGAACATCAAAGCCACTGGAGCCATTTGAATTATAAGACTCATGGATTAATGTAGCTGTAAATAGGCCATGGAGTACCAAGGACCATAATTGGTGCTAGCTCACGTAGGCACTGTTCTATTTCTGTTTTTGAAAAGTATTCACGTTCTATTGCATATAGACCTAATTGAAGCCACCAAAATAGTTTTGTTCCTCACACAATTCCCAAATTTGAGTCAAATCACATATTCAAAATTCTTTAAATAAAAACATGGTAGGTAGGTACTTCCATATACAGACTCTGAAAATACCAAATGTTATTTCTATAATTTCTAGCCTTCTGGAAAGGCATCTGCATCCATAAACAAGAGGAGCTGTGCACTGGTGAAACGAAAATACGTTAGATAACAGGCTTATGGGTTTTGAAAACCCAGAGTCCTTCTGCCATTTAAGAGTCAAAGTGGACTTACCTGGGATTCAGAGGACAACGACGTTGTCCTGAATCTGGTTCATGGTTTGCCCGTGGATATTCCCCCCAGTTCGTGATTACAAGTCCTCCCTCCAAAAATATTTTATTAAATATTTTATTGGTCTCAGTCCTAAACAATCACTTGGTTTCTCTTGAATTTAATTATATATATATATATATATATATATATATATATATGTAATTGTATATATACATATATATGTAACATCAAATTAACATACATTTATTACAAGTTGTTTTATAAATATTGTATTTTACATGGATGTTAAATTAGAGAACTTCCAGTTTTACAAATGGCCTTGACAAACACGGACTCAGTTACATGCATTCATTTCAAGAAAAGGTTCATAGAGATTTGGGATCATTTAGGCTTGCCCTCAGTGAAGTTTCTGTATCAAAAATTTTTGGTGCTATGGATTCCTGTGTTTGAGCGGTTGATTTGAAATAAACAATTATAACACCGTGATTATAAAGATGAAGAAACAGAACTTGAATATCATTAATTTAGCCACTCTATGTGATCATTCTGAGTTTTTATTCTTTTAATTTTGTTTCAACTGTAGCAATATTTGAAAACCAGTGGAATCAGTCTCAAAGAAACAAAATTATGGACAGCACTATAATTTCTGGCATTTGTTGTACAATGTGATCTTTATGACATTCTGCCAAACTTAGCCATGTGTTTAAGATTTTCTTTACTATATTATTTCTTACTATATAAATGTATACACACTATTACATAAGATGTAAATTTTTGAAACTAAAATTCATGAAAAGCTTTATGGTAAACTTTGACCCAAGATAGATTGACAAATTAAGCTATTTTCTATTGATAATACACAGGTGAAGAAGATGAATTTGGATAAAAATTAATGACACCATATATCGGATAGTTAGTTTAGAGCATTTACAGCCATCTAGAGACCCTCGCCCCCGCCCTGTGAAGTTACCTAGCTGGGGCTAGAGCTGTCTTCAAAAGGTCATTTTACCATTCTATCAAGCCAGCTGCTTCAGGACGGTGGGGAACATGATAAAACCGGTGAATCCCATGAGCATGGCCCATTGACACTCTTCTTTTTCTGTGAAGTGAGTTCCTTGATCAGAAGCCATGCTGTGAGGAATACTGCAACAGTGCATAAGGCAGTCTGTAAGTCCGTGTTTGGCAGAAGCATTGTGTTCAGGACAGACACATCCACATCCAAAATCTTATCCAGTAGAAACAAAATACTTCCCTTTCCATGATGGAGGCTGTCCACTGTGATCTGCCTGCCACCAGGTAGATGCCTGATCCCCTGGGGAATAGTGTCACATTGGGTGCACAGTGTTGGTCTCTACAGCTGGTAGACTGATAGTAGGAAGGCAGCCTTGGTGAGTGTAAGTCCATGTAGCTGAGCCCATGCGTAGCCTCCATCCCTGACACAATGGCTATTTTAGTCATGAGCCCAATGGGAGGTGACAGGGAGGACTGAGTAAAGAGGCTGACTGGCACCCACAAAACAAGTCATCCTATTCTTTTAATTGTTAAAATCCTCCTATTCTGAGGTCATCCTTTTTTAAACATCCAAAAATATCTTCAAGTTTTGGTTCATTCTGAGAGTTACAGCCACATGTCTCTTCCCCAAATTTTCTTGTCATCAATATTTCAATTGTCTGCCTTCCAAGTTCCTGACCATCAAGACAACCCAAGTGCCAGGGCTCAAGAATGGACACATAGTCACATATCTAGCTCCTTCTCCTTCTAAGCAACATGGCAGCAGGTTCTGTGATGAAATATCTCTTCTCCTGGCCACTGTGTGTCTCCTTATTAAGTCAAGTGACAAAGGTCTTATGGATAGAAACATGCCTAGGACATGGTAAAATGGACAGGTTGCCAAGCTAATGGCACCCCTGAGTGTCTAATTCATTCATACTGAGCACAACCTAGAGGCCCTGATAGAGGAGCAAGACTGATGCTAGCAAATAGTACTGCGTGTGTGTGTGGTGAGGGGGGGGTTGGGGGGGTGGTAGTTGATTTCTTGAATCATGGAGAGTGCAGTGATTTGCCTTCAGTAGAACAGCTGCTGTTAAAAAATTGATATATTTTTCTTCTGTGTCTGCCTTTGCTGTCTGTACCTTCTTCAGATATTTTCAACAAACTCTATAACCACAACTTTTATATATCATTGCTACTAAACAAAGAATATAATGCAAACGATGTTAGGCATTGGGCTTATTCCCATAGGATTCAAGGTTCTTACTGTGTAGCCCTTGTGGAATACTGGATGATTCATGGAAAACTCACTATAGTGCCAGATGGGAAACAACATCTTGAAAGATCAGCGTTCTGGGTGGTAGATGGTGTACAGAACCAGCATGTTCATTAATTGGAAGTTAATGAAAGACTCTTTTCATTCTATATGTAAAAAGAAAAACCCTTAGAATCTTTAGGCATGAAAATTCTAGCATATTACAGAAGTGTTCCCCGAAAGTAGAGGGAGTATGTACTGGGTCATGAAGGAGGCAAGTCATAAATACTCAATTTGGCCTCATAATCAAGTATGGAAATGAGGAAACTAGAATCCACATGTCTTCTCTTCCTTTCCTGTATGTGTATATGTGTGTGAAAGAGAGACTACTTATACATATGCATGTAGACACACAGAGTAGTTTCTCCTTATTCAAAGTTTTGCTTTTTCAGGTTTCAATGACCTGCAGTAAACCATGGTCCAAAAATATTAAGTGGAAAATTCCAGGAATAAACAATTCATAAGTTTTAAATTGTGTGCTGTTCTGAGTATGGTGATGAAGTTTTGTGCTCTTTCTCCATCAAACTCGGGATGAATCATTCCTTTGTTCAGGGTCTCCAGGCTGTCTCTGCTCCCCACCCATTAGTCACTCACTAGCCACCTCAGCTATCAGATTGACTATTTCAGTGCTTGTGTCCAAGTCATCCTTATTTGACTTAATAATGGCCTCAAAGCACAAAAGCAGTGATACTGGCCATTTGGCTATGCCAAACAGAAGCTGTAAAGTGCTTCCATTAAGGAAAATGATGCAAGTTCTTGACTTAATAAAGAAAGGGAAAAAAATCATATGCTGAGGTTGCTAAGATATACAGCAAAATGAATCTTTTATCTGTGAAATGGTGACAAAGAAAAAAATTATACATAGTATATATAGGGTTCGGCACTATCCACGTTTTCAGGCATCCACTGAGGGTCTTGAGATGTGTCTCTGAGGTAATGGAGGCCTACTGTATATAGATATACCTTTCATATATCTACATCTATCTATATACATATAGATATGTATATATGCATATATATATTTATGTATATATTTGTATACATGTATATAAATAGATATAGATACCGTATGTAGGGTATTGTTGTGGGGACGATGCTAATTTACTCTGTAGGTGATGAAATACTGAGATAGGATTAGAAAAAATTAGAGTCAAAAAATAGTCCACAGATATCCAAGACTTAGAGATAGCAGAATAATAGTATTTTGGACTTTCTGGTTTTTTGTTGTTGTTGTTGTTGTGTTTTTGTTTTGTTTGCTGAAAAGAATAAATGCATTATTGTTTTTATAAATGAAAATTTAATTTTGTTATTAAGGTCTTTTTTCACTGGACCAGTAAGTATAAGAAGAAGAATATATGCACATTTTAGCAGCAAAAGGGAGTGAATGACAATCACAGTGACCATAATTTATCATCCAAATTGTGACACTTCTGCCACGAAGGTGTGTTTAACCATGTGGGATATCAGTTGTAAACTGGGACTTTCTCAAGGTAGCTAGGATATATGGTTATTCTAACTGTAGTGGACATTTTCAAAATGTGTGGCTGTTTAACATCCAAATCCCTCCTCTTCTTAGTTTCAGGGAATTATACCTTTCACTTAGAGAAAAAGTAAAGAAATTTCATCCCTTCTGTTCTCCTCTCAACCAAGGCAAAATCCAATATAGGTCAGGAACTTTGTGGAGGTATGCAAATTCAAAAGGACAGCGAGATTAGTTTTCCATAACCACGTCCAGTGGAGTCCATGGTGTATAATGTGATGGCCATTGTTCTGGCCACATTTATTTTTTTCTGGACATTTTTGAAGATCTATTATGTGTCTTTCACGTGTTAACTCAGTTAGCTGTAAGGGTAGTCTAATTTTGAAGATCTGAATACTGGGACATACAAAGGTTAAGTCACTTGCCCGAAGTCACAAAGTTCTATTAAGTGGTGGAGCGAAGATTTGGAACTTCAGCTCCAGAGCCCACGTTCAGAAGCACTGCAGGTTAATGCCTTTGAGGTCTTTCCTTCCTTGCTTATTGCCCAATTTCAGAACCTTAACATTTGTCTCTGACATCTATTCCATAGCCTTCTAATAGATTATTTTCCTGCTTTAAATTTTTATCACTTGCAACCAAGAACCTTAACTGAAATCTTGCTATTGTGCATGATCATTTCTGTTCTCTTTACCACAGTTGCATTGACCAAGGCGTTCAGTAACTTTCTTTATCCAAAGCAGCATTGTCAATAAAAATAAAAAATTGGTCCGGGCGCAGTGACTCACGCCTGTAATCCCAGCACTTTGGGAGGCCGAGGTGGGCAGATCATGAGGTCAAGAGATGGAGACCATCCTGGCTAACATAGTGAAACCTCATCTCTACTAAAAATACAAAAAAGTAGCTGGGCGTGTTGGCACGTGCCTGTAATCCCGGATACTCAGGAGACTGAAGCAGAAGGATCACTTGAACCTGGGAGGCAGAGGTTGCAGTGAGCTGAGATCGGGCCACTGCACTCCACTCTGGGCAGCAGAGTGGGACTCCATCTCAAAAATAAATAAATAAATAATAAATTATCATCTAAGTATAAAAGGAAGTTCAATAACTTTACAAACTGCAATTAGTGCAAAACATTTATAAATTCCCCTTATTACAGACACTCATTAAATTGGTCAACATTATTCAATTTTAGAATTTGATACCTATTATTTACATTAAAAACAGAAGTATAAGCTATCAAGATAATCTTTCTGTCAATAAAATGAAAGAGCAATATTTTCTACTTATTCAAAGAATGTTCAAGCATGCCAACTTATTCACAGTGCTTATCTTTTCCCCAAAGTTCATACAGATTAAGCTTGAGGGAGCTGGATTAGAATGAGGTATAATGATCCACAAAGTATATTTCTGTTAGAAACGTTTTTTAAAAAAACTAGATGAGGAGGCTTAAATTTCAACCTCAAGGTCAAGGAGCTGAAGCAAAAATTCTTGACTTCCAATCACTAATCTTCACCCATGTGTACAGTTATTATCATTTCATCCAATAAGACACTCTGAAACAATGTTTCAAATTTAATATATTTTTAAAGACATCTGTTAAGGGACAATGACCATTTATTGAATCCTCTCCTTTTATTGGTCATTGTGACAGTGCTTTCATACATCTTCCTTAATAGACATCACAAATCTATGACATGGATATGTACATTTACATGAAAAAGAAAGAGACTGAAAATGTTGAGTGGCTTGCTCAAGATAGGACAGGAAACAAGTAGAATAGAATTCCAGCTCATTGTGTCTGTCTGCAAATTCTATGTTTTTAATCTTAAGCTACATGGCCTTCCAATGTTATAATTCAATTTTATGAAATCCTAATTCCATGATCACATTTTAGCAAAGGGCTATGTGTGTGTACATGGAAAAGTAGTCTGTAAATGGTAAAGATGTATCTGTATTTGTGTCCATATTCATAGTTGCAGTATGATAATACAGAAATTGGATATTACACTCCCTCACACAAAGTGCACATGGAAATAAATGCTATGTCCCATAGTCAGGGACTAGCCTAGTCATTTTTACATATTCATATACTTTACTGCTCATTACAACTTTGAATGATAGGATTTATTGCCCCTTTTTCCACATCAATACATTGAGTTTAAAGAATTAAGGCAATTTGCCCTAACTGACATAGCTAATAATTGGAGAATCTGAAATCTAAGCCAAGGTCTGTGAATTCCAAAGTTCATGCACTACTCATCACCACATACTGCCTGTCTGGGTATTCATTATCCTGCTATCCAAATACCAAAAGTTTATTTTAATTAAGGAAAAGTTACTTTTCTATGTCTTAAATTGCCAGATACAATGAGATTGTAAAACTAAATTAAATAGAATAGTCTTATACATGCTCCTGAACTCCCTGCAGCAAGACAGTGAAAATGTCAAGGTTGCAGCTAGGCAATCCCCACTGAAAAATACTTCTCTTTCTGAACCCAGTAAGAAAACCAAAACCGCATGATCGTATAAAATCTGTAAGCTCATTACTAAAATGTTTACTTAATCTGTATATTACTATAAAGTAGTTTTAAAATGAATAAATAAATAAACACATTTTTGTGGTTCGGGGGAAAATGTGTTATACTAAGCTGCCAGCACTAACATATTGCAATCAATTTTATGAATGGATAATACAACTACACTATAAGCACTGGTTATTTATTTAAAATTTTGAGATTAGTTGCATTCTCTAAACAATGATTTTTTTATAATTTTAGGAGACTAAATGTTTTTTTCAAAATATATATCGTCTTTCAATTAAGAAAAATATAACAAATATACATCTTTGTACAGGCTAAATGTTTTCCAGGCCCCGAGTTTACTCAGAATACTGAGAATAAGGTTCTTATCAAATACATCTAGAACATTAAAGTGGTTAGCATAATGTTGTTACGTATTATTACCAGATTCACCTTCACTGTAAAGATTTCTAAAAAGTAATTTAATACGCAAATGCCTCAATAATAGTTGGAATTTCTAGAACAACTTGAAGCAAGATACAAAGCCAATAGAGTGGGTTCTCAATGAACAAACATGATCAAGCCACGTTTCCTATGAAAAAGAATTACTGAGATATTTTGATATTCTACAATGTACCTTTCTTTCCTTGAGGCTTTCTTTGTCTATTAGTCCGTTTTCACACTGCTATAAAGAAATACCCTCAAGACTGGTTATTTTATAAAGAAAAGAGGTTTAATTGACTCACAGTTCCACGTGGCTGGGGAGGCCACAAGAAACTTATAATCATGGCAAAAGATAAAGGGGAAGCAAGAACCTTCTTAACACAGCGACAGGAGAGAGAAGTGCAAGCAGGGGAAATGACAGATGCTTATAAAACCATCAGATCAGATCAGCCGGGCATGGTGGCTCACACCTGTCATCTCAGCACTTTGAGAGGCTGAGGTGGGCGGATCACGAGGACAGGAGATCGACACCGCCTTGGCTAACACGGTGAAACCCGATCTCTATTAAGAATACATAAAATTAGCTGGGCGTGGTGGCACACACCTGTAGTCTCAGCTACTCGGGAGGCTGAGACAGGAGAATCGCTTGAACTCGGGAGGCAGAGGTTGCAGTGAGCCGAGATCACACCACTGCCCTCCAACCTGGGTGACAGAGCAAGACTGTGTCTCAAAACAAACTAACAAATAACAAACAAAACCATCAGATCTTGTAAGAACTCACTATCACGAGAACGGCATGGGGGAAACTGCCCTCATTATTCAGTTACCCATTAGGTCCCTTCTTCCACATGTGGGGAAAAATACTTCTCTTTCTGAACCCAGTAAGAAAACTGGGGATTACAATTCAAGATGAGATTTGGGTGAGGACATAGCCAAACCATATCTGTATTATGCTCTTTGGGGTCTAAAGGTACTTGCGGTGATGCAGTGGGAGGATCACAGCGGTTCATTTACTCAACACATACTTATTGTCAGGCACTGTGTTCCATCGTTGGGCTATAATGGGTGAGTAAAAAGGAGGTGTGGTCCCCATCCTAACATGCTGTACAACATATTAGCAGGAATTTCACATGAAGAGGAATTTTCTACTATTACTTCATTGCTTCGTTCTCCGATTTTTTTTTAAAAAATTCTCAGCTAATACTAATGCAAGTGCTAGCTTTGAGTACCACTTGTGTAGAGACTTGTGCTAGACCCTGGGATACAATCTCCAGAGATGAGTAACTTCTAAATCCCATCTCTAAGATATGGTGGATAGTGATCATCAGTGAGGCTTGTACTATGCAAATCACGTGGTATGGGCTGGTTTGGAGCTTCAACTCATTTTCATAGGTCATGCTTTCTCAAGGCAGCACCTCTCAAAAGAAGTTTGGCAAGAATTGCTCTGAGGATTGGAACAGAGTCAACAATACTTGATTCTGGGAAGAGCTATTTTTCCAGTGAGTGAAGGGAATAACAGTCAAATCAGTTCATTTACTTCTTGACAGCTATGTAGGAACTCAGGGATTCTTCATATGTTCTGTATCTGTTAGTAAGATAGAAATGCCAGTCTTCACAGATGGAATCCCAAGCTAATAAAACACACTTTCCTTGGGCAATATTGGATGAGCCACCGACAAACACATTTGAGAATTCTAGTTGGGAGGGGCAGGAGAAGGTGGAATCCTTATTCTTATATCAAGGAGCGGGAACTCTACCTTACTGGTTTTAAGAACAGGTAGAATAGAGAGCCAATACTACACTGATGGATTTAGCCAGTACTGCTTCACTTGCTTAGAACCCACCACAATGAGTTATTATGTGTAATGATATGTCATTTTGCTTATATACGAACATGAGTTTCTTCTTCTGTAGGATGGTGTGCAGAAGTCAGTTGCATCACTAATGAGTGAAAAGGCTCCATCATACAGCTCAAAAAACTGGCTTTCTTGCTAAAAATACACACATATCAATAGTGGTTTTTTCTGTGTGAAAATATTCTTAATTGCCAATTTTGGTGATGGAAGTTAAGGAAAGGTAAAGTGTTCTATTAAAGGATTGTTTCTGGGGCAGAAAATAGATATTTAGGGTAAGCAAACTAGCACCTCACCTATATTTATAAAATCATCAAGGTCTAAAGGGATCACTTTAAATATTTAATTATAATTTATTCTATTATTTATTCTATTCTATTAAGCAAAATAAATCCAATAATGTTATTCACAAATTTGGTGACTTACAAAGTAAATATGCATTTTATAAATACCCACAATCTTCTGTACAGATTCTTCCTAGATATTTTTTTAATTGACAGATAACATTGTATGTTTTTTATCATGAACAACATGATGTTATAAAGTGTATATTCATTGTTGACTTGTTAAATCTAGCTAATTCACAAATGCATTACCTTGCACTGTTACAATTTCTGTGGTGATGGCATATTACATTCATTCTACATTTTTCAAGAAAAGAATCATATTTTCATTAATTAGAGTCACCTTGCTATATAATAGATCTCTTGAAATTCATTTCTTCTATCAAATGTAAATGTATGCTCTGACCGACATCTCTCCATCCCATTTCTCCCCTAAACACCCAGCCTCTGACAGCTACCATTGTACTCTACCTTCATGTGACCAATGTATTTGAATTCCACATGAGTGAAACATGCGGTGTTTGTTTTCCTATGTTTGGTTTCTTTTACTTAACATAATGCTTTCCAGGTTCATTGGTGTTGTCGCATGATTTCATTCTTTTTATGGTTGAATAGTATTGCATTGTGTATACATACCACATTTTCTTTATCCATTTTTCCATTGATGTCCACTTAGGTTGATTTCATACCTTGGCTATTGTGAATAATGCTGTCATAAACATGGAAGCGCAGACACTTCTTTGACATACCGATTTCATTTTCTTTGGATATCTACCCAGTAGTAGGACTGTTGGATCAAATGATACTTCTATTTTTGTTTTCATGAGGAATCTCCATACTGTTTTTCGTAAAGGCTATACTAATTCACATTCCCACCAACAATGTTCAATGATTCTCTTTTCTCCACGTCCTCGCAAACACGTTATCTTTTGTCTTTTGGAGAATTGCCATTCTAACTGGGGTGAGCTGTTATCTCACTGTGGTTTTGATTTTTGATTAGTGATGTTGAACATTTTTTCATATACTTGCTCTTCATTTGTATGTCTTCTTTTGAGGAATATCAACCCTGATATTTTACTCATTATTTTTATTGGGTTATTTGTTTTTTGGGATTTTTTATTTCCTTTTTTTTTGTTAACGAGAAAAATAATTAGTTGACTAAAGACATATGCCATAGTACAACAGGTACGAAGTCAGTGTGATGTTCAAAATTTCTAGGACTCTTTGTGACTTTAAATATTAACTTGACTTTCATAAATAGTCTTTAAAATTTTGTGGCCAGATGATGTAGCAAAAAAATGCAAAGAGTGATGTTATTCACTAAGCCCGGAAAGCTCAATATACCAAATTTGTAATCCGTGTAAGTCAATCAACAAATTATATTTGTGACTTTATATTACAATTCCATTTTTTTTTCTGTTTGCATGGGCATTTACTACTTAATCTCACAATGGCTGCCCACCACTGTATTCACAGCAGACTTTTTCAGTGTCCTATTCACTTAACATATTCTTCCCTGATCTCTAACCATATGTTTCTCTCTTACCACTTGATTGCTAAGACAGGATAGATTTCCTTGCATAATTAGAACATATAAAAACCTATTAGTTTACAAAAAGTCTATCCTTTGACAGATTCATAAATATGAGAGAGAACCAACATTCTGACAAAGTTTACCATCAATTTCTTCCCATTTGGTTTATTTGGCTTCAGCAATTTGAAACTATACCTTGCTGTGTGTAAGAAATGGACTCTGTATAGCAAATACATTCACGTGTTTGTATACCTGAACATAATGTGCAAGTGATTTCTCATAGGAGAACCAACACAATCCTCCCTAAAACAAACTAGAGAAATGACTACTTCCATAGATTCTTTTGTCTGGGCAGAAAAATGTCTGGAGATAAAACTACTGTGAGATAATTGTTTCTACAATAAGTCTATGGGTGACAGCTTAACAGTGGTTTGAGAAAGAACAGATATGCATCTCCTTTAAGCAGATATACAACATTGATACTTTTATCAGCCATTTCCTGCAGTATTTTACTAAAAATGCACTCAGCTGTTAACTCTCTAGCCAGAAAACTTTCACATGAATAAAGATAAACCTTAGGTACTTAAAGCCCACTTTAGCCACTGAACTACTGGGGGCTTACTACCTGCCTAAGGTTCTGGTGTCTAATCTGTGGGACTTTGTACACCGATAGTTATTTTTTGCTAGTGGAAAATATTAATTAAAGTAGAGCCCTTGGACCATGATGTATAATTAATAAATTATATTATTAAAGTATAAACCTCTACCATGCTTCATTGTTCAGTAATTAAAGTTAGACATTTCACCTTATTGAATATATCTTATTACCACCCAATAGGAAGAATTTATTAAGACTTTATTTAAAACAAATAGGAACAAGTATGGGCAATGAAGACTAACCCTGAGTGATCAAAGCTGTGGGAAGGAAAGCTGGAAGGATGAGGATAACGTAGTGCCTTGTTGAAGAAGGAAGAGATTTGGATTAAATTGAAATTGATTGGGTTTCTAAAATGGATGAGGATCATTTCTGACTTTTTCTATATCTATTATATTTTGTCTATTATCTTATTTAGTTACAAAATCTAGTAACCTATTATCCACAGATTTTTAGGGGTAGATGTTTTCTACATTACAAAACAATAATAATAATAAAATATAAACTTGTCTGTAGAGTACGTCATATAACTTTCTATTATATTTCAATCTTAAGCTGTCCGAATAACTGCAATGGGAACGGCACAACTTCCTGCCATCTTCTCGTGATTGATGGGCTCTCTTGTCTCTCTGTTTGCCTTTGCATGTTCCTCTTGGCCTTTGGGTGTGTAGTTCCCATTGCAGGGCTAATAATCCATTAAGTCACAGAAGCAAGTCTCCCATCAAGAGTTTAGAAGTCATCATGGTGCCATTGTTGCCACAATCTATGGAATCTTATAACAGAGAAAAATAGCTGTCCCCATTGGGCCCAATACTCAAAAACGTAAGAGCACATTACTCCCCTTAATCATGATGACAGAGAAGTGTGTGTAAAGATTTGGGAACTGATAACAGGTATACACAAATCTGCCATATGTTACCATGATGAGTAGGCTAAGATCAGCTTACAGATATAAATATAGATATCGGTATAGATATGAGTATGGAGATATAAGTATGGATAAAGACATATGCAGAGATGATGGATAGATAAATAGAGCCTTATGGAGAGAGGGACAGGGGAAGGCAGGGGGAGAGAGAGAGAGAGAGAAAATATCTCCAAAGAAGTAATATGTTTTCTTTCTTGACATGTTTGCACTAATGACTATTTCTCTTCATTCTCCTCATCACCAGTTTCTTTCAAAATATCCCTAGATAAATATAGTCCTTATTGGAATGACATTACCTCATTCCAAAAATCTGTCCTCTATTATCACACTTCTTTGTAGAACCCCCTTTCAGCTCTCATTCCACATAAAATGTAAGGTCCCCAACAGTTTCATTCATATCACTTAATCCTCCTCTAGAAATACTTTAACGTGTCCACATTTGAAATTCTTACACTACTATGGAGAATAGAAGCATGTGTGGAAAGCTTAGATCCCTCCCTAAAAATCAGATGCTTCATTAAAAAATAACTTTTGACAAAACTATTGTAAAAATTCTAAATACACACACACATAGAAATATCATTTATAATGAACTTTCATACACTCATTACCCAGATAAGTTAATTATCAGGATGTTGCACACTTGAAAGAGGTTTCTTTTTTGTTGTTATTGAAATATTTTAAAGGCACTGATAGGCATTATGTCATCTCAATCCTTTTACTTCAGTAATAATGACACAATTTACAGTAAATAGAAATAAAATTAACTCTTGTTTATTCCAGCATATTTTGCAAATAGCAAAATATGAGAATATTAATGATATAAACAAACTAAAATTTTATTAATAAAAAAGATAATTAGGCCCATCCATACATCGGAATTCAATATAGCTACTAATAATATATGGTAGATCAGTTCATCCATTCATATTAAGAGAAAGGTTTATCACTGTATATCTTATTTTATAATGATGAAGATATATATCTATATAGAGATATAGATAGAAATAATGAGTGTAAAATATAATATTTTAAGATAAATAAAATAAGCTATTAATATAAATATTGGTTGGGGAGAAGGAACTCGAGGGGTGGAAAAGGGGGCTCCGTATTCTGCCATTTTTATCATTCTGTATTATTTGAATTCATATACATACATGTATTACTCTTATTTAAAAATAATGGAAATCATTCTGTATCAAGATTACCTGTGCTAAAATCCTCACTTTTCTACTTGTACGTTGTATGAGCTTGAATTAGTGACTTTCTCTTTCTAGGCATCAGTTTACTCCTATACAAATGGGTTATTCATTTGTACCTACCTTCCGTAACTATTCTGGTGGTTAAATTATTCATATGAAGACTGCCACAAAGATTCAATAAATTAGTTACTATTAGTACTTTTTAAGTACTTTCATCATTCAGATTTTATATAAATCCCCTACTTATATAAATGTTTGCTCAGTATTTTAAATAGTGTATGTTTACTTTAAAATATAAATATTTTATTTTAATAATGTTTCTTATTGTTTATGCACGTGCAAAGAGCACACTGCATTAGTCATTGTATGGTTAACATTTTAAAAAGTCAGTTTTCGTGTTTCAAATTTTGAAACTTTAACTATGGTTTTACACAGGGTTATGCTTTGAGAATTTTGGAATGCTGGAATGTGTTTCTTTATTTAAAATATAATGTCATGCCTCATGCCAGAGCTGCCTAAGTAGCATACATTATAGGTTCAACCAATAAGTATTTTTTGATCTAGTACTACAATGTAGGAAGAAAATTGGAGCTAAATTGGAGCTATATGCAGAAACATTAAAAATATACTAGACCCTGCCCGCAAGGGGTTTGCAATACAGCAGGAGTTATTCAGGACATGCTGCTAGTGAATCAATGTAACCATGGAAATGCTATCTGACCCCTGTAGAATTACATTAGCACTCATTTCGTCCCTTTATCTCATAGTGAGAAGGATATTTCTAATAAAACATAGTGACAATAACTCATGATTGAAAACATCTAAAATATTATTAATGCAAGTACAATAATATAAAGAAGAGAGAATTCCACTGAATTGTAAAACCATATAAAAGTTTAAAAATTGTTTTAAACAATTAAATTAAAATTAAAATTTGACATTTTTAAAAATGTCAAAAGCAATAAAATCCCTTCCAGGATAAAGATAATAAATACTTACTATACCATTAAACTTTGATTTAGAATGAAAAAAAACCTTCATTTTACACCTCCAGTAACATCAAAGGACACTATGCGCCTGCATCATCCATTGCCCTTATGAGTCCCACATTCTTGGTGATCACCCAAGTGTAAGAACTAACTCATCCCTAGCAGGAATATTGACCTGGTGGCATGAGAGTCATCTGAAAGTGTTGTAGACAATGACACTAATTTTTACAAGTAGATCTCATTTATTACCAACTGCAGAAGAAAGATTATGCTTCTTCGAGCAATATTTGAGTGTTTTCCTGTAATCTGTACAAACGCAATGATTTGTGGCTAAAAAAAAAAGAGGCGGTAGGGAGAAAGGAAATAAGATTGAGGAAACATGTAAAGCAGAATTACATATGAAGAGAAATCTCCTCTAATATCTCGATGGCCCGTCTTTGTGCTCTTTAGCTCTGATACCTCCCTCCCAATTCAATAGCGCCTTATTGCATGGTGTTCTACTCAGATACGTTCATAATAGATAATATGTACTATAACTTGCCTCTTCTCTGGAAACAACTGAGAATTCCACTTTAAGGAGGTTTTGGAACTCAAGGCTTCTCTTGGTATTTAATGCAGCTAAATGCATTTTGCAGCACAATTCTTCAACACTAGTGTGTGTCTAGGCTTGCTTGTATAATTATTTATGAGAAAGGATTATGACATGGGGAGAGATGAAGGGATTATTCAAGAAATCACTCTGCTTTTGTTAATAGGTTTATTTCATGACCTTCACTTTAATTCTTTACTCCTATCCCCTTTCCCAGTGGCATTTGCACAAACTTTAAGAGCAGTAATTACCATGTCTATCATACCAAAAATATACAAGCTAAATGAAAGACATAGAGGCATACTCCCTCCAATAATGTTGCAAAGAAACCATTAAATTTATGACAAAGCACAATGTATAATCAAATCCCCAGGCCACGCTTTCCATGACACTAAGGTGGCTGAATATTAACATACATATTCTCATATGTGCACACACACACCCCATGGCAAATTTTTAAGCCATTCAACAGTCCTGTTCAACAGACTTAAAAATTGTGTTGAACAAAAGCCATTCTGTTGCACTCATTTGCAAAAGGATATAATTAGTTGTTCTCTCAGTTTTCTAGATAAAGATGGCACATATGAAAAATAATAGGCTGTCAATACCCTAAAGGGTTAGCAGGATGAATTCAACAAAGGAATGTATTTTAAGACAACAACAGTTTATTTTTTCCCCTAATATCTTTGGTATTTTGGGATCCATTATGACATGAAAGCATGTGTTTAAAATGAAAAATGAGTGTATTTACATTTTACATATTTTTATATTTAAGTCCTAAACTGCTTCTATTATAATTCAAAAATTAAAAATATATAAATAACCAACAGTAAGCTTACGAAGTTGAATAATGTGGAATAGCTCTAAAAAATAATTCCCAGGGCCGGTTTTGACCTACAAAGTGTATATTAACCAATTCAATTTATTTTTGTGCTTCAAAATAACTCAATCAATAGCATCTATTGAGAAACTCATACATTTCAGTCACAGTTCTAACATAATTTTGCAAGAAAAAAATAAAAGGAAAATGAATAGTAACATAGGCTAATTATAAATTATTCATTGCATGTAAGTCAATGAAGAATTTTTTTTTATTATTATACTTAAAGTTTTAGGGTACATGTGCACAATGTGCAGGTTAGTTACATATGTATACATGTGCCATGCTGGTGTGCTGCACCCATTAACTCGTCATTTAGCATTAGGTATATCGCCTAATGCTATCCCTCCCCCCTCCCCCTACCCCACAACAGTCCCCAGAGTGTGATGTTCCCCTTCCTGTGTCCATGTGTTCTCATTGTTCAATTCCCACCTATGAGTGAGAACATGCGGTGTTTGTTTTTTTCTCCTTGCGATAGTTTACTGAGAATGATGACTTCCAATTTCATCCATGTCCCTACAAAGGACATGAACTCATCATTTTTTTATGGCTGCATAGTATTCCATGGTGTATATGTGACACATTTTCTTAATCCAGTCTATCATTGTTGGACATTTGGATTGGTTCCAAGTCTTTGCTATTGTGAATAGTGCCGCAATAAACATAAGTGTGCAGGTGTCTTTATAGCAGCATGATTTATAATATAGAATATGTTAAATGTGCGTATTTTAAATTACATTTCACTTGTCTTTGCTGTCCGTAGCCAACTTTAAAAGAGAAAAACAAACTGGAATTGAGGGAGGGGAAGGAGATGGATCAGAAGAAAAAAGAGGGAATGAGAAGAAAAGTTGATATAAGAGGAAAAAACTATGGTACTGCTTCTGTCCATAGTGCACACTGATGCTCTATTTTACCAAGTGAAATGACCAAAACATACATATAAAAATATATATATTTTACCATCCAATAACTAAATACCTATACCTATGTATATAAGAAATATTTGGATATTTAATATTTGAATGAATAAAACAAATGTACCTTTTGATATTCTTTCCCCAGTGTATATATGTCTATATATCATGCAGGGAAAAAAAAAAAAAACTCACAAAATCTTACATTCAGTTTTAGGTAGCTTGCAGTCCTGCGAGGTCACTGAAGAATAACAGGTTAAGAACAATGGACTTAATTCTGAGAGAAATAATGTATTAGGATTCCATTCCAATCCAATCCTTTCCATTACAAAAGTTAGGTTATAGATACGTTTACTTTTCCTTTTTAAATTCCATTAACTGTCACAAAAGCATAGCGTTCAGGAGGACAATCACAATTGGTAGCACTAGTCTATATTCTAAAATGCAATTGTAGTCTTTAACTTTCAAGTAGGGTTTCTTTTAACATGTTTGCTTCCCAAAACAGGTCACTCATTGGATTGGGCCCTGTAAAGGAGAGAAATTGATAAGCACTATAACCTAACAAGGACAGTGGAGGGTTCTTCTAATGGTGCTCTGTCAGGAAGCTGGGCTCTTCTCACTTAGAAAGCAGTGTGTTCTTATAAGCAAAGAAATGACCTCTCCCATCACTCAGTTACTAAGAGGCCACAACACCTATTCGACCTAGCATCTATTTAAAGGAAATAACTGAAGCAAGACTAAGGCATTTCAGCTACCGATGTGAGCAGCAAGCTAGGGAGTGCAGGCACTGCCACTGACTCTGGGGTTCACAAGTCTCCTGTACCCTGAGGAGCGAAAGCTCTCCCAGAGTGAACATAATAAAAACTCCTCAAAATATGTACGTAGAATACTGTCATGATCTATAGGCAAGAAGAGGGCATGTTAGAGAAGATTCGGAAGAAAATATATATAAGGATGTGTGTGTGCATCATGAAGCCATATAAAATAACCATAAGAAACATGAGGATTTTCAGAGACAATGAGGAAGAATCTCCCATGTGTAAGAAAACAAGAAAAGGACAATTGATAAAGCAACTCAGAGAAAGTTTTAGAATCTAGAGCAGCAGTTATCCAGTTATGGTGCTCAGGCAGGTCTCTGGGTGTCCCAATACACTTTTAGGGGGACTCTGGAGCCAAAACTATATTTATTGCCATAATATTAAGAAACGTTTACGCCTGTAATCCCAACACTTTGAGAGGCCGAATTGGGCGGATCACGAGGTAAAGAGATGCAGACCATCCTGTCCAACATGGTGAAACCCTGTCTCTACTAAAAATACAAAAATTAGCCGGGCGTGGCGGCGGGCGCCTGTAGTCCCAGCTACACTACTCGGGAGGGAGGCTGAAGCAGGAGAATGGCGGGAACCCGGGAGGCGGAGCTTGTGGTGAGCCGAGATCACGCCACTGCACTCCAGCCTTGGCGCCAGAGAGAGACTCCATCTCAAAAAAAACAAAACAAAACGAAATGTATTTGTCTTTTTCACTGTGCTAACATTGCATAAGGGGAGCAAAACTAGTGGCGCATCAATGGCGAAAGTGCAGATGAAGAATCGAGGAGCTACCGCACTAGGTGCCACTGAAGTCTTCACTGCTACACACCCAGTGTAAACAAACAACCAAAAACGATGCTGCTTTTAGTTAAGCACGTCCTTGATGAAGCAGCGAAAAGTGTTCATTATGTGGAATTTCCATCCTGAGTACATGCCTTTTTCACATCCTCAGATGAAATCCAGCACTTCTGCTGCACGGCAGCGTGACAGTTGACGGCAGGGGGCGCTCATGCGGTCGTTGGAGTGAGAGTTCGCTGCCTACTTTTTGGTAGCTCTTCGCTTCTAATTGAGAGAATGACTGACAAACCATGGTAATTCATAAGTAGGCATTTGGCAGACTTTTCTTTTTCAAACATGAACAAAGTGACCCTAAGGGAAACATCTGACAGTACTTGTTATTCATTATAAAATTCTAGCTTTCAAGTGAAAAGCAGAATTTCGGAAAACGTGTGTGTGCCACCATTAGCTTGGCAGCTTACGGCTTCCACACTTAAAACTCCTTTTGAGAACAGTGGTGGTATTAACAAGTGTTATTTGTATCATAAAATGTATCAACAATTGGAAAATCTGCAAAGCTTCATGAACAAACCTTTTCCAAATGACCAATGCAAAATTCTGCAAAATCACTTTTGATTAAAAGATCTCTTCAAAGTGAAAGAACGACCAATCAATTTTAATGTAACAGGTTATAAGAATTTCACTGATACAGTTCCGGATTACACATTGCAACAAACATGTAAGAAATTACCACTTGTTTAGTGCTGATGTAGTTATCTATCTATCATCTATCTATCTATCTGTACACATATATATACACACACATATATATACATATATATTCACAATTTTCTGAAAAGGTAATTGAAATACTCCTCTCTTTTCCATATCCGTGCAAGGCAAAATTTCCTTCATACATTTTAACCAAAACAAGAGCCTGCAATAGACTAAATGCTGGAGCAGATGTAAAAATCTGAAAATCTTCTCTTCAGTCAGATGTCAAAATATTTGCAAAAATATGAAATAATTTTACTCTTCTCTAAAATGTTTCTAATAGAAAATATTTTAATACATGCATTATTTATATTAAAATAGTTTATTATTTCAACACATGCTTAAAATATTTTTCTCAGTTTAATATCTAATAAAGTGAATATTGATGGATGTATCCTATATAAAAAATAGTTCTTTGGGGTCCTCAATAATTTTCAAGAGTATAAAAGTGTCCTGAAATAAAAATGTTTTCAAATCATTGATCTTTTCTAGAAGAAGCATGTCTCTCTTAATTATTGTTAAATTATTTGAACCTAGGACAGTGCCCAGCACAAGTAGTTGCAGAATGAATATTCAATAAAGGCAGGAATTAAACATGTATTCAATCTTAACTGACTATAAAATTGCTAGTAATAATTTAACAAGACATTGTTTATAAAAGCTAAATGCATACTTGTGTATATCTACAAATATATATAGTCAACTCTTCAGGTTGTTTTACTTTAGCATTTTTACTGACATATTTTTCACATAAGCAAAATTCACCAGTTACAAGAGTATATGTTAGTGTTTTGTTTGTTTGTTTTAGTATATTCACTATGCTCTGCAACAATAAATATGAAATCCAGAATTTTCTGATAACCCAAAAAGAAACCCTGTACATGTTAGCTGTTAATGGAAATCTCCCGCCAGCCACTGGCAACCACTAATCTATTTTATGCCTCTGTGCCTTTACTTGTTCTGAACATTTCTTCTGTATGGAATCATACATTATGTGGTCTTTCGTGTCAGACTTGTTTCACTTAGCATAATATTTTCAAGGTTCATCATGTAGTATGTAACACTACCGCATTCCTTTTTATGATGGAATAATATTCTATTGTATGAATATAATGGACATGTGCCTTTTTTCTTCTTTTACCTATAATGAATATGCTGCTAGGAATATTGGTGTATAGTTTTGTGAGATAATTTGTCTTACTTCAGATATGGCTTTGTTGTGTCCCCACCCAAATTTCATCTTGAATTGTGGTTACCATACTTCCCACATGTGGAAAGGACATGGTGGGAGATAATTGAATCATGGGGGTGGTTTTCTCCATACTGTTCTCATGGTAGTGAATAAGTCTGATGAGATCTCAATGGTTTTATAAGGGCAAAGCCCCTTTCACTTGGCTCTCATCCTCTCTTGCTGGCTGCCATGTAAGACATGTCTTTCACCTTCTGCTGTGATTGTGAGTGAGGCCTCCTCAGCCACGTGGAACTGGGAGTCCATTAAACCTCTTTTATGTTATAAATTACCCAGCCCCGGGGATGTGTTTATCAGCAGTGTGAAAATGGACTAACACACTTCTCTCAGGCATTTACCTAGCTGCGGAATTGCTGGGTCATATGGTAATTCTATGTTTAACTTGTTGAGGAACTGAAAACATTTCTTTTTTCATAGTGGCTGTACCATGTTTCATTCCTACTAGCAATGTATGAGGATTCCGATTACTCTACATCCACACCAATAGTTGTTTTGTTTCTGTTTGCTTATTTTTTAATTATAGCCACCTAGTAGGTGCAAAGTGCTATTTCATTGTAGGTTTGATTTGCATTCTCTAATGACTAATGCTAGTATCTTTTCACTGCTTATTGGCCATTTGTGTATCTTCTCTGGGGAATAGCTTAATATTGAACTTTGTTCATCTTTTAATTGAATTGTGTTTTTACTGCTGATTTGTAAGAGTTCTTGAAGCATTCTAGATACTTAATACTTGTCAGACATATGTTTGCAAATATTTTCTCCTATTCTGTTACTTGCTTTTCATTTTCTTGATAGTATCCTTTAATGCATAAAAGTTTTTAATTTTGATAAAATCTAATTTATCGATTTTCCTTTGGTTGCTTGTGCTTTTGGCATCATATATAAGAACTCATTCCCTAATAAAAACTTTTGCATATTTTCACCTATGTTTCTTTCTAGGAGTTTTATATTTATACTTATTAAATTTAGATCTTTGATCTATTTTGGGTTAGTTTTTGTATATGGCATGAAGTGAAGTAGGTGTTCTGATTCATTATTTTACAGGTGGATATTCAGTTTCTCCAGCAAGTATTTTATTTATAATATTTACTTGGTAGTGTTCCCTTGGTATGTGGTGAATGAACCCAACAGCCTTGTGTGGAAGCTCCTTTTATTCTATTTTATTTTATTTTTTTGGTCTGCTCAGTACATTTCTCCTTTTCTCTTATTTTCTCTAACAGATTCTGTTCTTCTTAAGCTGTCTGTCATTCAAAGATCTTTTTTGGCTTGCTCTGGTTGGGTCCTGTTGGCATAGCCTATCCAAATAAGATGACATGTTGCCAAAGCTACATATCTTGTTATTTAAAATAAGGCATAAAATTTGCTTACAGACTGGATTTTAAAGGAAAAATGTAACTTTACATAGTATCTGTCTTTGAATCATTTACAGAGTGACCTGAACACCTTCCTGGTTTGAGAAGATTAGAAGAAGAATCTCTATCAGGACCAGTCTTCAGCCATAGGGGTTCTGCTTCTCGGCTTCTATAAACAACCAGACAAATAGTGACGGCCAAAGAAACTGTAGGGAATTCATAGAATTTGTAAAAACTTGAAAAATTAAATCCTACATTTAGACCCAGATCTCTTAACATTATTTATGTTATGAAATAATAGTAATAGTAAAGGAAGAGTACAAGAGCAAAACAACAGATATATCCTACTGAAGTAACTTATGATTCACTTTCTACTAAAAGTATATAGAAAAATGTAGTGTTGAATTAGGAACACTGTACAGGAAAAAAATGGATAAACCTAGTTTTTAAACACATTTTCACCTTGTTTGTCTGACAAATAAAAGAAAAATAGAAAAGTGTATCTGATACCACATCTTAGATTTTAATCTGGAAAAATCAAATACTAAACTGAGATCTTTGAGCTTACCTGGTCCAGATAAAGAAATTAAAGTCCAGAGGAAAAAATCATTTTGTCAAGGGCACATCTCTAGAGATGGAAGTTAGATGGAGAGCTAGAACGAGAACCTGTTGTGGTCTCACTTCCAGATAATGTTTTCAACCACAATACCACAATATCACTGCCTATATTTATAGTTCCCATGGCTTTTTCTGCTCTTTTTCTTGTTACGTATGGAATATTAAGAGATACCATCACAAGTCTCTTGTCTAAGAAGAAAGGCAAGAATAACAGCTACAATTTCTTTGGAAATACACTGTTAAACTGAGTCTCATTTTTGCAAGATTGCAGATTTCTTTTGAATCAAAAATTATAGTTTCTAAAAATAGCTATGAGTCTGAATTGTGCACATGATTTTTGTATCATCTAATATTTTGAAAAATTAAAGGGAATGGAATGAAATCTCTATATTTAAAACTTTTTCACTTTTGCAAGAGCAGTTTGGTTATATTTATTTATCCACCTAATATTTATGGGGTGCTTAATATTTGAGCATATTTTTATTTTTTATTATATTTTGCAGAGATAAAACAGAAACTCAGTTTAATAAAGCCAAGCAAAAATCAGTGAGGGGTAGTATATTGCCATGAATATAAGATTTATAAAATAGAAATTAAATATATTTCTGAATCATTAATTGGCCTATGGTTAGTACAAAAAACTACTAAAATAATATTTGAAGGATACTACATAATAAAATAGCCATCCTTTTAAAGCCATGACATCTCATGTATTGCTAATAACATAAAATCCAGTTGATAAACTTTTAAAAATAGTTTATATAATTCTGCTTGATGATGCAATAGACTTAGAATTGAAAGTGATATTAGATCACGTTTCAAGGTGTGCCAAATATCTTTCTAAAATTAATACTAAAATAGTACATAGAGTGTTTATATTTCACATGAAGTCTTTTTCTCTCCAGACATGACACTATTCTAAACTCGTAAGTCAAGATTAATTCAAAGAAAGGTTGGCCAATATAAAGATGTATCTGCTAAAATTATGTCACAGTGTCAATAGAATATATTTTTTAATCACTTTGTCCACATTCTATGATATTACACAAATCTTGACAAGTTTTAGTTTGAGATAATTGCAGTATTTCTTATAATTTTTATCAAACCACTGAAATTTGGGTATTTAAATCCATGTCACACATGGACTCATCTTAAACTGACACCACAATATTCAACTATGATCAATGGAAGAAAAGAGGCCCTTACTAAAATGAAGCATCCATTAGTTAGTTCCACTACAGCTGCAAACCTTTGATCATGACGGGTATTCTAGGAAACATCTTTATGTGGTAGGTTTTCTTCAATATATGGACTTTAGCTTTTCAGGACAAAAACTCTACACAGTGTGGGCAACCCAGATAGCAGTTCCTTGGTGAAAACACACTAACAAAGCTCACGGGAGAACACTTTTTCCAGGAGCATGTAAATACATTTGGTTACAGTGAAAAATAAATCTGCTCGGAAGATGAACTGCTTACATTGGCTGGTCAGTTTAGGTGCTCTGCCCTTAAATATCTATTTGAGCCACCTGGATCTACGTTCCAGTAAAAGATCATGTACTATTTGGCAGCCCACAATTAATTCATATGTTAAGGAGATGTCATAATATCTGCCCTGCTAATTCACAGTACTTCTGTAAAGGTAAAATAAGATTAATCATATTAAAATATACATAATCTTTCAAGAGAAGAAAAGATCTTAACCTAAACAGGAAAAGAAGCAAAGGGCTCTATATTGTAAATTAAAAAATTAGATTTTATGAAAATAGACTTTTCCATCCCTGTAAGAACATACACATAAGAACATATAAATACCTTTGCTTTAAGTATTTCCTTTTATTGCATGATATTCAATGCAATCTTGTTTTTATCTGAAGCTTTGTTAAGCTCAAGATACTGTTAAGATAAATTATACCATTTTAGTTATCATTTACCACTGCTGATAGTACATTTTTTTAAAAGTCGTCAAATTTATGAGTACCTCTGAATTTCAGCAAAAGTATATGTAATATCTAAACAGTTCCTTAATGGAGAGTTCAGAACAACAGATCTGACAAAAAATTATGGTCTAACCAAAGCTTCTGACCAAATCTTACTGTAAAACAGTAATAACAATTCAATTTATCAGTTGGTAGAATAGGTAGGTGCCTTCAAAATAAGACTAAAAGGGACAACAGAGACTAAGTCCATTTAACATGCCAATGGAGAGGCTTGGCAAGGATTGGATTTGACAGCAGAGTAGTACAGCGGTCAGCAGCTAAGGCATCTGAGTCTAACAGAGTTTGGTTTGAATCCTTCAGCTGATGGTACCCAGGTAATCCGAGAAAGCCACTAATATTTTTTACCCTCTTAGGTGTTATATTAATTTCGTATTACATTTTAACACATTTTGAATCGAGGGATGACCTGCTTATAGCAAAGCACATGAAGTGCGGTAATGTGATTGGTCACCACTTTGAGACATAGGCCATGTTCAACACCCCAGGATTCCCCACATCCCTCCCCAGGCCATACCATGTAACCACTCCGATGGCTGCTGTCACCATTACAGAGTTTTATCTGTTCTGAAACTTTATCTGAATGTTCACTTATCATCATGATTGATCTTGGCCATTTTAGATATCACTTACATTAAACATCCTTCTCTGAAAATTTTACCTTAGGCTTCCATGATGAAAATTTGCTAGCACCCCCTTTCCTCGTGACCATGTCTTCTCCCTTTTACAGACAATCTCTCCTGTCCACACTTAGATGTTGGAAATCACACAGGTTCTCTTCTCGCCTCCTTCTTACCTTTCCCTTACCTTGTATGCCTCGCTTTCCTTCTGTCTTCTGCTCTAGTGCCCTACTTTTAACTTGCCACTCTCATGTTCTCCCCTTTATCCTCCCTCCATTTTTATCTTCTGTCCCCTTCCCTTCCTTATTTCATTTTTAGCAACCCCAAATAGCACCAAGAGTTATACCAGTACACTATAATGTCACAAAGACTAGTAATATCCACCTAGGTCTCTTTGTAAACCTTCTAGTAACCAGTAGACTCCTTGTATAGACGTCAAAAGTTCAACACACTTACAACTGCTTCTTTTCTCACATTCTTAATCTCAGTGTCTGGAAACACTGTTCATTCCTTCTATCTCCCATGAAATCCTGGATTCAACCTGGATGACCCTTTCTAATACTCCCGCCTGTTATCAGTTACCATATGCTTTGGATTAAAAATATATATATATGTATACACACACACACACACACATATATATGTAATAATCTCTTGTGCTCATTCACATTTTTAGATTCACTATTACTGACTCTTCATCTTACTAATTTTCACACTTGACACATTCTTTATAGGATATCAGAATGAGCTTTCTAAAATGTGTATAGAATTACTTAATTCTTCCCTCTAAAACATTCCAACGAATCTTTCTTACCTAAAAAATGATTTTAAATTCCATTACACACATGCATGTGTGTGTTTATCTATGATCTTACCTTCTAAATAACCTAATTTAATTATTTGTTATTTTGATCCTTAAATTGGATGCTCCACCTTCCTCATCCTTTGTATATTTGTTCGTTGTACCACTGCTTCTTTCACCTGGAAAGCACTTTTCTTCTTGTCTGCAAGGATTATGCCTCCGTTTATCCTTTGAGATTCATCTATTCTAGAAAGCTTTTCTGTCCAGCTAAGTAGAATTGGCCATTCCCATTTCAGTGTCTGTATTGTACCTCTTTATTTTGTCCTAACAGTTTATTCCAATTATTTTATGCTCTAATATCTTTAAAGGTAATACAAATACCACATATAACTCTCTGTCAATAGGACTAGTATGGTGTTGGCATATAATAATATGAAACAACAACTTTAATAAAGGGGCAAGTATATATTTTCTCTTTATACATTTAGCTAACATAAATGTTATTTCATTATGTTCATAGAATCCCATTAGATGTTTAAAGAGAGCTATCCCTGGATACTCTGACTCTAGGAACTCACACTCTACAGGGGATCACAGATACACACACTGCAACACAAGGTGGAGTGGGTCTGCAATAACAGAAGTACAAATAATGACTAAATATGGGGATACCAAAGTGGAAAATGAGTTTAAATCCATTAGAGGGTGGGATTACAATGTAAACTGTCTAAGTGTCATACAGGTAATAAAACTGGGCTTGGGTTAAGGGAAGGTAATAAAAGCTTTAGAAATAATTGTGAGAATTCAGATTTTCCTGTTCATGCAGAAGAGCCATCAGACACAAGATAAGCAAAGAGTGCAAGTGAGGAGACTGTGCATTTAAGGCTAATTTTGAAGCGTTCATTAGTGTGCATTGCATGATACACCATGTGGTAAGTGTTAGGAAAGACACAACATTTTAACTAATAAATTATTGTTTTAACTAATAAAACACATCACAAAGAAGCTTTAAAATTTCCTGATAACAGAATGATTTATATTCCTTTGGACATATACCCAGTAATGTGATTGCTGAGTAAAATGGTATTTCTGGTTCTATGTCTTTGAGGAATTGCCCCACTACCTTCCACAATGGTTGAACTAATTGATATTGCCACCAACAGTGTAAAAGTGTTCCTATTTCTCCACAGCCTCGCCAGCATCTGTTGTTTCTTGACTTTTTAATAATCACCATTCTGACTGGTGTGAAGTGGTATCTTGTGGTTTAGATTTGCTTTTCTCTAATAACCAGTGATATTGAGATTTTTTTCTTGTTTGTTGGCTGCATGAATGTCTTCTTCTGAGAAGTATCTGTTCATGTCCTTTGCCTACTTTTTGATGGGGTTGTTTGTTTTTTTCTTACAAATTTGTTTAAGATATGCACACATATGTTCATTGCAGCACTATTCACCATAGCAAATACATGGAATCAACTCAGATACCCATCAATGATAGACTGGATAAAGAAAATGTGGTACATATACATCATGGAATACTATGCACCCATAAAAAGGAATGATATCATGTCCTTTGCAGGGACATGGATGGAACTGGAAGCCATTATCCTCAGCAAACTAACACAAAAACAGAAAACCAAATACTACATGTTGTCACTTATAAGTGGGAGCAGAACAATAAAAACATATGGACACAGGGAGGGAAACAACACACTGGGGTCTATTTCGGGGTTGTGGGGAGGGAGAGCATCAGGATAAATAGCTAATGCATGCTGGGCTTAATACCTAGGTGATGGATTGATAAGTGTGGCAAACCACCATGGCAAATGCTTACCTATGTAACAAACCTTCATGTCCTGCACATGTATCACAGAACTTAAAATAAAATATAATATACTTTTTAAACTTCTGATTAAGAAAAAACATAACTAAGACACAAGGCATCAGGATCCTAAGAGAATCACAGAAATAGTAGTATGGCAATATCATCTTTGGCAAAATTTATGTTCCCTGAAATTAAGGTCTGGTCTGTCTTGTCCTCCCGTAAATTCTGTTTTCTTAAATACATGGCCCATGCTTGTTTAATGAAAGCTGAGATATACTGAGAATGATTTAGGGGAATGAGAAAATGGCTTTTTGGAGGAGGTGACATTTAAAGTAAACTTTGACAAAGTATAAGGTCTTGCTTTGATGACCAGTATCTATTTTCTTTTTTGACAATTATACTCAGTTTCTTTGAAAAGAAATGTCTTTTCTATTGTGGGCTGTCTTGAGGAAGCTGTCAATCAATATACTCTTTTTTTGCCCTGAGTCTCTTTCCCAGTATCTGACCCTGACATCAAAGAATACAAGGAAGCAAAACACACGTGCAGCTTATTTATTCCTGAGGCAGGGCCTATGTGAGTCTGTAGACTAAGTTCCTTACAGGGATGCTGTTTGACATGTCCTGTCTGAGTCAGACTATGTAGCTGTTTCTTTGATTTTGTGATCTACCCATCATCCTTACACATTGACATTTTTGCTTCAATCAAGCAGGTAGAATTGTTTTAGTTTATTGTTAATAGTAGTCAAACAACACAAGTTGGTGCAATAATTAACATACCAAAAAGTTTTGCTTTTTTATATTTACGTAACTATTATATTTCATGGAAAATTTCACAGTTTGCTGAGCATTAGAACATAGAGGGGGGAAACAAACTCACAAACCTAGTTCCCCTGCCAACCAAATTGTAGATAGCTGAGTTCCAGGTAGTCTTCATACAAATTTGCCATGGAATGTTAGACAATTCACTGAGCCATTTGAAAAGTTAGTTTATAAAAGTTACCATCCTGCACTTATCTAATATTATATCAATCAACTGATCATTACCATGATTCTAGCTATATTCTTTATATTGTGAAGTTTTCATTGATTTTGACAGTGTTTTTGGTGTGCTATTATGGAATACAGTCATGTGAAGCCTGGCTTCACGTGTGCAAATCTATGCCCTGTAGAGAAAGGAGGAGGGATCATGAGAAATTCCTTTACTGACCAAGCGTCCTCACTGATGAATTGAGAAAGAGGATACCTGTGTGTGTTGGTGGAGGTGGGGGGAGTCCCTTTATTTATTTTTTTTCTTTAATGCTTCTGTTCTTTCCAGTATGCTTTAAAATAAAATATTGAAAATCTTCTAAGGAATAAAGGCATGCAGGTTAGGTGAACAAATAAAGAGTGTGTTTGTTTATAATGGTAGTATATCAACGATTTCAGCAGTGAAAAGACTACTGCAGAAGGGTTTGGGGAAACACAGTTTCCACATAAACATTCTTTTGGTCTTCATTTATTCCATCTGGAAAATAAAAACTAATAACCATATGATTTTAATCAAAAGACTATCTGGGTCAGAGTAGGGAATTTCCAAGTGCCCTTCAGCTGATTTTTCTGAGTTAGCAACGTAACTGGGATGTAAGGGTAGGCTTAGAGGGTGACACTCCATTGGCCTTTGCTTCTCTTTTACATCATAAAGAAAGACTCCTAGATTTGATAACCAAATTTAGTGAATTCTCAATTTACAAAATCATTGTACACAAATCATTAGCATTGCTATGCACCAACAACAACCAAGCTGAGAATCAAATTAAGAACTCAACCCCTTTCACAACAGCTGCAAACATACAAAAATAAAAAAATAAAATGCCTGGTAATATAGTTAACCAAGGAGGTGAAAGATCTATACAAGGAGAACTACAAAATATTGCTGAACAAAATTGTAGATGAAACAAACAAATGGAATCACATCCCATGCTCATGGGTTGGAAGAATGAATATCATGAAAATGACCATACTGACCAAAACAATCTACAAATTGAATGCAATTGCTATCAAAATACCAATATCATTTTTACAATACTTTTTAAAAACGTAAAATTCATATGGAACCAAAATAAGAGCCCGAAAAAGAGCAATTCTATGCAATAAGAACAAATCTGGAGCCATCACGTTACTGGACTTGAAACTATACTACAAGGCTATAGTTTCCAAAACAACGTGGTACCAGTATACAGTAGACACATACACCAAAGGAACAGTATAGAGAACCCAGGAATAAATCCAAATACTTACAACTGACTTAATTTTGACAAAACGTACAAAATCATAAATTGGGGAAAGTACCCACTGTTTAATAAATGGTGCTGGGAAAACTGGCTAGCCACATGTAGAAGAAAGAAACTGGATCTCTCAACTTATACATACATCCATTAAAGATGGATCAAAGACTGAAATCTAAGACCTGAAACTATAAATTTCTAGAAGTTAACCTAGAAAAAACTCTTCTGGACATAGGCCTAGGCAAAGAATTAATGAATAAGACCTCAAAAGCAAATGCAAACGTAAACAAAATAAATTAATTGGCCCACATTAAACTAAAAAACTGCTGCACAGCAAAGAAATAGTTATCAGAACAAATAGACGATCTCCAGAATAAGAGAAAATATTTGCAAACTGTGCATCAGACAAAATATTAATATCTAGAATCTACAAATAACTCAAACAAATCAGCAAGAAAAAAAAACCATCAAAAGTGTGCAAATGACATGAACAGACATTTCTCAAAAAAAGAAATACAAATGGCTAACAAACATATGAGTTATCAGGAAAATGCAAATTAAGACAACAATGAGATACCATCTCACTCCTGCAGAAATGCAATCATTAAAAAGTCAACAAACAATAGCCGTTTCTGTGAATATGGTGAAAAGGCAATGCTTAAACATTGCTGGTGGGAATGTACATTAGTACAATCTCGATGGGAAACAGTGTAGAGATTTAGTCAAGAAATAAAAGGGGATCTACTATTCAATCCATCAATCCCACTACTGGGTGTCTACCCAAATAAAAAGAAGTCATTATATTAAAAAGACATCTACAGGTGTATGTTTATTGCAGCACAATTCACAATTGCAAATATGGAACCGTTCTAAGTCCCCATCCACCAGTGAGTAGATAAAGAAAATGTGGTATAGGCTGGGCGCGGTGGCTTATGCCTGTAATCTCAACACTTTGGGAGGCCGAGGGAGGGAGGTGGATCACGAGGTTAGGAGTTCAAGACCAGCCTGGGCAAGACGGTGAAACCCTGTCTCTACTAAAAATACAAAAATTAGCCAGGTGAGGTGGCAGGTGCCTGTAGTCCCAGCTACTTGGGAGGCTGAGACAGGAGAATCTCTTGACCTCGGGGGGCAGAGGTTGCAGTGAGCTGAGATTGTGCCAGTGCACTCCAGCCTGGGTGACAGAGTGAGACTCTGTCTCAAAAAAAAAAAAAAAAGAAAAGAAAAGAAAATGTGGTATAGATACACCATGGAATACTAATCAGCCATAAACATAATGTCTTTTGCAGCAACTTGGACGGAGCTGGAGGCCATTATTCTAAGTGAGGTAACTCAGGAATGGAAAATTAAATACTGTATGTTGTCACTTGTAAGTGGGAACTCTGGGTATGCAAAATGTAGAGTAATATAATGGACTTTGGAGACTCAGAAGAGGGAGGTTTGGTGAGGGATAAAAAATGACATATTGGATACAATGTACAGTATTTGAGTGACTGGTGTGTTAAAATCTCAGACTTCACTACTATACAATTCATGCATGTAACCAACAAACACCTGTATCCCAAAAGCTATTGAAATAAAAAAATTAAAATAAATAATATATCAAATAAAAATCCAACAACAAATGCAAATGATATTTATAAATATGCCTCTATATTTAAATTGATTATGAGACCATCAAAAATTATGGTTTGTAGTCAATAAAAATGTGTGTTTTCTCATTAACACTTTTTTAGTTCCTTTGAGAAGCTAATGGTCATTATATGGAAAATCATTTAGTTAATTTCCCATTATCAAGTACAGGATATAAGTCTTCTATAATCACAGAGGGGTAACCCTGAATTTACATACTTTAAAGGATGGGCACCCTTGGACACAATATTTACTATCAAAATAAAATTTGACATGTAGTCCCAAGTCCTTCCACTTCAGCCAAAGCCCAAATATTCTTGTCATAATATCCCAAAATAAAAAGTTATACCGTTTATGAAGTAACAACCTGAGAAGAACGTAATCATTTTTCTTCTTTCCTGGAATATAAATAAGGGTAAATCATTTCACATATATCCCAGTCTGTACATAAAATATCCTGTTTACTATAGCTGAGATTCAATATTAACAAAAATAACATTTTATAGAGATAAGTTAATTTCTGTCCTGGTCACTTATTAGCTAAAAACTCTCAAGCAAATGGCTTAACTTCTGTCATCCTCAGATTTCTCGTTTATATGAGGGAAAATAACAACTGCATCATAGGTTTGTGGTATGGCTTAAATAAGCTAATGGTTACTATATGTGGGTAAATAATACTGTGGGTTACTATGTGTTTTAGTCAGGGTTCTCTAGAGGGACAGAAGTAATAGAATATAGATAGATAGATAGATAGATAGATAGATAGATAGATAGATAATAGGAGAGTTTATTAGAGAATATTAACTCACATGATCACAGGGTCCCGCTTTAGATTGTCTGCAAGCTGAGGAGCAAGGAAGCCAGTCCAAGTCCCAAAGCTGAAGAACTTGGAGTCCGATGTTCGAGTGCAGGAAGCATCCAGCCCGGGAGAAAGATGTAAGCTGGGAGGCTAGGCCAGTCTAGCCTTTTCACATTTTTTTCGACCTGCTTAATGTCCTGGCTGTGCTGGCAGCTGATTAGATGGTGCCCACCCAGATTAAGGGTGGGTCTGCCTTTCCCAGCCCACTGATGCAAATGTTAATCTCCTTTGGCAACACCCTCACAGACACACCCAGGAACAATACTTTGCATACTTCAATCAAGTTGACACTATTAACCATCACACTATCTAAATGTCTCTTGTTATTATTATGAATTCCAGGATGTAGAAACTGTTACTAAGAGTGAGGAACATCTCTCAACAATGGACCAGAATAATCAATGACAATTTGAGAATATCACATAATTGATATTAAAAGTATAACATTTTCATGGAGTATATATAAAAACTGTGAATAGATTCAAATGAAATCTTTATGAACATGTTCGTATTATACTGTAAAATGCAATCATATGGCAGGAATCTATGAATGTAAGTGCTAAAAAATAAAGCCATCAGCATATATACTCTGTAGTGAAGGAAGGCACATTTAAAAGTACGCAAACAAGTAATATATATCTAAGTAGGATTTGAGACTTGCAACTTGGCAGGGATTGTTGAATCAAGGCCTTTCCCCCTGTGATAAATACTAACTTAACAATTATTGTTTGTTTTTATAAAACAAAATTTACTCCTCATTTATGAACTTATAAAATATAACTTGTAAATTATACCTTACCATTCGGATTACAAAAAAGGAAAGTAGAGTACAATGATCAGTTTAAACAGCAAAGTTGTATTTCCAGATGTAATGTTTTTAATTTTAATGAATATTTTTGTGACTATTAAATCTTAGGAAAAGTAAATTATTCTGATGCCAGTTTGCAGGATGTTAGAGGCTAGACTCAAACAATATATTATACCATATTATTTAAACACTTCGTAATGCAGAATAAAATTGGATGTAAGGAAATATAAATGAGTCATTAAGGTTCTATTTCAGCATAAACATATCAAATGATTCTTGCAACATGTGCTCATATGACAAAGAGCTATATATCCATATTTTATTTGGGGAGTAAAAGCATCGTGTCTCCTCAACTAGAGAATTATGCCACATAAAATAATTACCATGTAGATCATTTTTTGGAAGAAACATTGAAAATGATCATGAAAATTAAGTGTGAAGCCACTTCTGAAATTTTCAAGGATAATTTTTAAAGTAAGAAATGTTAGAAAAATCAAAATCAGGCATAAAATTATCCAGGGTACAAGTCGACAATTTCTCACTTTCTCAGACCATTGCTTCAAATTAAAATTTATTTTTATTTTTTGTAGAGACGGGGTCTCACTAAGTCGCCCAGGTCCAACTCCTGGTCTTCAGCAATTCTACAACCTCCAACCTTAGCTTCCCAGGGTATTAGAATTGCAGGCATGAACCATCACATCTGACCAGATCTTTTGTTTTTCTTTTTCTTTTTCTTTTTCTTTTTTTTTTTTTCAGAATTGTTTCTACTACTAGTAAAACTGTGACTTAAATAATTAAAACAGGACAGAATTTGTTATCCTTGCCACTCAGCTCATAATATAATTCCTCCTAAAATGCTGTTATATTACTAAAAGTCTATGTATACCAGATTATGATTTCATATTCATGAAGTTCAATGGTGTACTTTGTTATATAAATTAATCACATATAAAATCATTCATATGCGATAATAAATATCAGAAAACAAATATATATATATAAATTAAAATGGAATGTTTAAAAGTAGTAAACTTCATTTTTACAACCGTCATACGGTAAAATTTGAAAATGCTACAGTTTACCATTGTCATATAGTGACGTATTTCAAAGTATAAGTAGAAAAATTAGCTGGATAATTAGGTGCAGCTAACTGTGCAGTGATATCTGATACCTATTGGTACTAAAAGGAATAAAGAGTGAAAATTACCTTGCACGAAGTGTTTCACATGACACACACTTGATAAATGTCAAGTCTTTTCTACTCTCCTGAGAATTAGCAGATTCGCAGAGCTAAGCAATTTACAGCACGTTTGTCAATTCATTTCTATAACCCTCTATTTATCCACAAGGTTGATATGCCTGAGATCTCAGTCTCTCTCTCTCTCTCTCGCTCTTCCTCTGATTCTAATTATTTGGAAAATCCCATAAAATTTTAATTTTTATTATTAATTGGAAAGGCTTACTTCTTCAGCCAGCTGAAACAAATATTTATTGACCACCAATTATTTATCAGTATGGGGTTAAATTTTAGTTGTAGAAGCATGGTATGAAATTCCCCATAGGAGCTTAGACTAAAGGTCAATGAAACTTGGATAGAAATCATTTCAATACAACGTGAGAAGGGCTAAGAGATGGATTGTGCCAGGTGCCTACCTTTTATTTCAGTATATTTTTACTGAATACACATTACAAATGTTTCAAAGAATACGTTTGGATTACATTGCACATAATATGAATTATATTGCATATGATTTAAGTATAATATCATATAAAGGCTGTAAACATACAGAGTATTTTACTGAGTAAACTAGCTCTGACAGCTCCATAAAGAAATAAGTGACTCTAACATAATGTGGCACAAAAGAGTTGAATTAGTATAGCAAAAATATAGAATTTTGACAATTCATGCAATACATTGATTTTATTAGTAAGTTACATTATATTTATTTTAGTACCTCATATCTAAATGTGTGTGTATGTATGTATACATGTATATATATTTCCCTTTTGAAAAATATGCAAAATGTTGAGACTTGTAAATTATAAATTATGAGTTATATTTTCCATGACTCTCTGTAAATGAATCCTTAATCAAGTGTAGTATATATACTTTGTGTTTGAATGACATTGACATTAAGCATTTAGTAAGTTGAATTTCTTAGAAAATTGACTAGGTAAATATTAAAATACAAATATTAATTTACTTCAAACATTTGAAGCCCCAAAGTTTGAAAATACAGATAGGGCAAATGGCAATTCTCCTAATATATAGAAAAAGAGTGATATATTTGCTTAGGGCTTCTAGATTCTGTAATAACAAAAGACACTTTACAAGGTTTTCTTGAGTCAAGTATTAAATATAACAAATGCAAAGCCAAAAACACAGTTGGAGTTTTGTCTAGTCAATGGTAGTTAGCTATAATTTCACAATTTCATCCCAAAGGGAAAGTTTTAAAAAGAGAGTATTTCTCATTTGCTTTTAAAACTTAACTGTTCTATCAAGAAAGGCCAGCCAGTCCTGGAGTGGTGGCTCAAGGCTTTAATCCCAGTACTTCGGGAGGCCAAGGCAAGCGGATTACTTGAGGCCAGGAGTTTGAAACCAGCCTGGCCAAGATGGTGAAACCTCTTCTTTACTGAAAAAATTAGCCACGTATGGTGGCACATGCCTGTATTCCCAGTTACCTGGGAGGCTGAGGTATGAGAATCGCTTGAACCCCGGGGGTGGAGGTTGCAGTGAGTCCGGATCCCGCCACCGCACTCCAGCCTGGGTTTCAGAGAAAGACTCTGCTTAAAAAGAAATAATAATTAATTAAGTAATTTTAAAAAGGCTAGCCAATTGTCACCTGAAAGAGTATCTGTTTAGTAGAATGCAGTTAAATATGCTGTGTGTGTGCGTGTGCGTGTGTGTGTGTATGAGGCCCATCTTTCTCTCTGTGTTCATTCTTTTCACAAAATTAAGTTAAGTAGCCATCAGTTTTGGTTTAAGATCTATATTATGGTGATCACACAAATCAAATCTTGGCTACTGATCTGACTCCTATGTTATTCTGTTTGTGTTTCTTATTGGGCTCTGTGACCTTTGGGAACTTGCTTGATTTCTCTGCCATTTTTATCCCTATCTCAAATGCGTATTTTGAAATTTTAATGTCATTGTTAATGTGAAGAACTCAGCCAGTAACTGGCATGCAGTTGATGCGTAGTAAAAGTTGGGGGTAAAAGGAATACAGTGACTTTACACCATAGAAACGTGGATGATTACAACTGGAAGGAATATCACCTTCTCATTTCCTGTATCAGGTAGAAAAACATTCCAAATAGGCAACAAGGCTTACATAAAAGCAGAAGTGAGAACTCAAAGTAAGGCTACCAGCTCTCAGTATATTGATTATTTTGAGTGATGTGTACACTATTTTACTTCCATCCACTGATATTGAACCCTAATATGAGAATAAAAGCAAGGATTTTTAATGTTTTTGAACGGCAGTGTTTGCCTTGTATTTTCAGCTGGGGAAAAAAAAAAAGAAAAAGAAACATGTTTAAACCAGAAATTTTAGCAACAGCACTGACATTCTGACTTTCATGAAGAAAATTCTTTGAAAGTTACTGGTAATGTTCCAAAGCCAGATCATCTGCAGTTCACTCCTATCAAAAAGCTTTCATGGTTGAGAGTAACGCTCCTGGAATTTCTTAGATTAAACCTAAGAAATTTGAGCTCACAGAGCTGCCACAAAAAAAAAAAAACAAAACAAAACAAAAAAAAAAAACACATATTTCTCAAAGAGAAAATTCTCATGGTCCCCAAATGAAGGAAAAGATAACTGACTTATTTTTCAGCATTTTTGGAAAGAAAGGCAGATGACTAAATAATAAATATATAAATAAGGTTATATATATTAAGATACGATATGACTTTAAAGTTTTCAGCAAATAATTTTGTAACTTAAGATTATACATAAATACTCTACCTTTAGATCACATTATGTCTAACTGTTCATACTTGTTTTTCAAATCAGGTCGTTCAAGTCCCTGAAACTGTGTTACAGAGAATGGTCAGATAGAACAGCTCATTTAATTTGTATTCCAAAGTCTAGGATTACCATCTACCCTGCAGTAATGCTCACATCCTTTTAGAAGTATCCAGAATTTTGGACATAAAAACTCAGAGAGATGTCATTCTTAATTTTAAATGAAAAAAAAGCGATAAAAGTTTACATCCTGGTTACTTAAGTTTAATAATTCAGACTAAAATGCCAAATTTACAGAAAATCAAGAAATCTCAGATTTTTTAAGGATGTGACTGCAATGCATGAAAATTGAGAACATTTTTATTACTAAAACAGTAAGCTAGATGTAAACACAGAAAAAAATTGTTTTACTGTTTAGCAATGAATACTGTTACTTTTATATAATTTATAGTCTTAAAATACGAGAAAAAATAAGAGTTGAGATATCTGCCAAATTATTGATGAGATACTGTAATTTTTATTATTTTCTTTGGTGAATAAGCCTTTCATTAAAGTATTATAAAAAGTTTTTATTTTGTTAACAAATATAATTTTACTCTATAAATTATAGATACGAATTAACTTTAACCCCTCTCAAAATAAAAAGGGAGTTATGTACATGATAAACAGCTGTAATACCAAAGGGGTAAACTTCAGGGTGACGTTAATTCTGTAGGAAATTATCAACTTGTTGGTAATTTTTTTTTTTTTTTTTTTTGAAACGGAGTCTCGCTCTGTCTCCCAGGCTGGAGTGCAGTGAGTGGTGCGATCTCGGCTCACTGCAACTTCCGCCTCCCAGGTTCAAGTGATTCTCCTGCCTCAGCCTCCCGAGTAGCTGGGACTACAGGCGCCCGCCACCACGCCCGGCTAATTTTTTGTATTTTTAGTAGAGACAAGGTTTCACCATGTTGGCCAGGATGGTCTTCACTTCTTTACCTCGTGATCCACGCACCTCGGCTCCCAAAGTTCTGGGATTACAGGCGTGAGACAGAGCGCCCGGCCACTTGTTGGTAAATTGTATGTCTTCATATTATTGAGGGCATTGTAATTTAGTAAAATCTCAAAAAAAGAACAAATAACTGGATTTTCTCCTTCTGATTTTTATATAAAAGAGACACATGCCAAAACAACACTGTATTATTATGTTTTATTGTAAGGTTTTGTAATATTAATACATTTTTTCAATATAATGTTTTATAATTTTTATTGTATAATCTAAGAGCCATTAGATAATTTCAAATATTTTGAAACTATAACAATAAAGATTATTCAGTTGTTCATAGCATGGCTAAGTTCAAAACCAAGGAAATGTAAATGCAGTTACTCATAAAATATAGTTAGCCAAAATAATATATGTTCATTCCCTCTCTGTGAGACCATTGTGTCTCTATTTTTTAATATAATCAATAAATTATGATTAAATATAAATCACCACATGCTTGTGTAATAAACCCACTATGGCAACTAAAAAAATTATGTGATTACATTTGTTCTTATTTTCCCTGTTGCCCAGGCTGGAGTGCAGTGGCACAATCTCGGCTCACTGCAACATCTGCCTCCTGGGTTCAAGTGATTCTCATGCCTCAGCCTCCAAAGCAGCTGGAACTACAGGCACACACCACTACACCTGGCTAATTTTTTTGTATTTTTAGTAGAGATGGAGTTTCGCCATATTGGCCACGCTGGTCTCAAACTCCTGACCTCAAGGGATCCTCCACCCACCTCAACCTCCCAAAGTTCTGGGATTACAGGAGTGAGCCACCATGCCCAGCCTTATTTTCCGTTTTTAGAGCAAGGGTAAGAAAGGCTTTCACAACAACATTTTATTTTGTCAACTAAACCAATATTATTAAATTATGTTTGTTGAATACTTTAATCATCACTTTTGCTTCTAAAAGTGTTTTTTTGTGGAATGATTAAACCTAAATTTCACAGAATGCAATTAAGTCTTAAATCAACATAATATTCTAACCAGAAAATACGCTGTATTTTCTACTTTATATTCTGTATATTTTAACTGATTCTATTGATTTAAAGACAGCCATGAATGAAGAGGACGAATTTAAAAGCAATATTACAGTATGAATAAAATATAATAACGAACTATTTATTAACTAAGACCCATCAAAAGGTTATGGTGATATCGAACTTCTGACACAGAGACCTTGGAAATATAAGGAACGTTCCTCAGCTGTGCGCACTTGTCATCTCTTTCTATTACAACGCACACTAACACTTTTTCCTATTCCTACCATTACATTTTAATTAATAGAGCTATATTTGATTTCACAATTTAATGATGTATATTTTTTCATAAAGAAGTTTGATTTTAATCCAGTTGGTAAGGTTAGATACTGGGATTTTCTAAGGAAAATGTCATCTTGGAAGGTTGTGAATTTGATTTGGAATCACCTGCTGAGTTCTCAGAGGTCTACTCGATAATTCAGAAACCATTTATCGGATTGTTACGAATATAAGAAAAAGAAGAGGAAACTTCATTATAAGGTATCTTTCTGACTCCTCTCCCTTAGCTGATACATCTAAAATAAGCCTTGGGGGTAAATATTTGAAAGAAATGTTAGCATTTATGGAAACATAGTAAAACATAAGGCTAGCAGAATGTCTTTTTTGAGTCTACCCTAGAAGCTCTGAGGTTAAAAAAACAAATAAATAAAGATATGCATTATATTTTGGTAAGGAAAATGATATCCTCATGGATATATCTTAAGAAATTCGTTAAACCAAGTATATTTATCCAAGATCCAGGGTATCTTGCTTTCCTCTAACTTAAGCTCATTACACTAATTTTAGCTGTGTTTTATTCTCATAGGAATTCTCAAGATATATAGAACCCAACTACTCTAAAAGATCAGGATAGAATGAAAATCAATGTCTTTATAAGGCAAAAGGATGGCTTAATCATTGGCAAGGACTTAACATGTGCTTTTTACATTATGGTTTCCTCCATTTCTCATGTGTCACTCCAAAAATTTTATGAGAATATTACTTATACTATCAAAACATATCCTCAGTCAAGATATAAATTTTCACAGGATGGGCATATATTTCAAAGTTCTCCCTATTGATCCTTAAGCATGTCTCCATATGCTTAGCAAATCTAGCCCTTTGCTAGGGAGAATAATGTATCAACCGCTGGAAACTTCTTTTTCCTTATTCAATGTGTATTTGGTCTGCCTCTCTCTCCCACTGTGCATACAGATTATTCTGCTGCTAATGCTTGACATGCTGTCAGAATAGTTGAAATAAGACATGATACATGAGAAAGAGAAGAATACATAACTGGAAGGAGAGCATCCAAGACAACTCAGAAAATAAACAGGAACCAAATCCTTCCCATGGTCTTGGAATCACCTGCTGTGAATGTCTGTTTAAACTATTGTGGACTTGTTTTGTCTACATAAATGTACTGCAAATGCAAAGTTTACTGGAAACGTGATTTTGAACCTTGCTTTACTTAATATATTTTTTTGTTTATTATACTTCAAAACTTTTAATAGACAATTGAAGCAAATTTACTCAATTTCAGAAATCTGTTATAGTTTTTGAAGCAATCTTCCTATCTCGGGATTGCAGTTCTAAACGAAATAAGAAACAATGTAAAACTATTTTTTAAATCTACCCATCATGTATGAATTGGGTTGATTTCAAAAATCACTCATTAGGTGGTTTTGAATTAAGCACAGCAGTACAAACAAACATTAATAAACAATTTTCTGATTTGCAGAAACTCACAATTCACTTAAGAGTTAAAACAAACAAAATATAACTATAATAAATAGCATATGATTTGACAGTCAGCTACATATCATTTCCCTCTCCTCTGGCAAATAGCTGGGTCATTCAGCCATGCAACTAAACTAGTACCTAGTGGATCACTGGAAAAGTTTCCCAGTCTAAACTCAGTTACATTTAGTAGCTCTTCATGTTCAAAAATTATATTCGTGATCCAGCATTAGTACCAGACCTTCAGACATATTATTTCATTAATAATGTCTCACTTAGACTGTTTTCTACCAAGCATATTTACTTTCAGTTGGCCAAACTAACATGAGAATTGAAATCTGTTTTATGAAAAAAGGGAACTCTTGACCAGTCAACATTCAATATATTATAACTTGTATTTACCACTGAATTATTTAATGTAAGTTATTAAGAACATATTATATTTTGAAAACTCCTTATAATGGGTTACAGAAGAAATATGTGTACTCAAAAGTAATGTAGGCATGAAGCACGACAATATTTTTGGATTTAGCATTTGTTTCTTTTCTGGGTCAACCTGTGTATACCTAAAATTTTGAGTAAGTGGCAAATAAACACTTAAATTTAATATTTTTAATTTGTCATATATTATACTAATAAAATGAAGCAGGTAAGAGTCTTCTATCTGAGGACTTTCAAAAGTATTATTTTCATTTTCTTCCTTGGAGTAAGACAGGGTTTCACTTTGTCATCCAGGCTGGAGTACAGTGGCAGAGTCACAGCTCACTGGAGTCTTAGACTCCAGGAAAAAAGTGATTCCCATCTTAGACTCTCTAGTAGGCTAGAATTATAGGTAAGTACCACCACATTGGGCTAACTTTTAAATTTTTTGTAGAGATGGAGTCTCTCCATGTTACCCACGTTGGTCTCAAACTCCTGGCCTCAAGCGATTCTCCCGCCTTGGCCTCCCACAATGCTGAAATTACAGGTGTGAGCCACCATGCCTAGGCATTTATTTTATTTTTAATATACACAAACAATATTTTTAAGCTTCCTCGTGTGTAAGCTAGTTCCTCTCCTTTGCCTCCTAGACTAGTTCACTCAGTCTCAATTATTAGTATATTGATTCTGCTTTCAAAACAAAACTCACATACAATCCTTCCTTTCCATGTTTGTTCTAAATGAGAGCCTTCTCATCTCAGGATGAGACCTCGGTAGTAGTTTCCTAAAGCACTTGTCCATCTATGGTCCCTACAGTAGTGATCTCTGATGCAAACACCTTTCTGTTCCAGGCTCACAATGGGGAGCAGGCCAGCTTCAGTCACAACAATGTGGAGATAAGGAGAGCCATGGAAAGCAGAAGCAACTTAGCTTCTGCCAACTATTGCCATGTGAAATCTATTCTACCAGATCTTTGCAATTTCAGGAGATTGTAAATCTTCTGTTTGTTGTGGACCTGCTGATGTTAGCATTTGGTTTTGTTTAATAATCAAACATTCTACGGACTGGGTCATATCTGGAAATGATAGCTACCAGTTTAATCTTGCTCCCCGCCCCGCCCCCCCTGCTTCAGATGAACATTTTCCAAACACCCCTTTTCTCTGAGTCAGATAGGAAAGGATTCCTGATTGAAATTTTCAACAGCTTCAAACCCAGCCCTGTTATTTCAGTGTCCATGGCGTTCTGTAAACTGACCTGATGCTCTCCATGCAAAACTTCCATTTCCAGCAGTTGATGTCATCTTCTCAATCCCAGGTGATCCCCTCATGCTCATTTTTCACCTGTGTTTGTTTTCCTATTCTCTTCATTTTTTTTCTATAATAACCCTCACTCCTCCCCACCTCTCCATTCAGCAAATTCTTATCCTTGCTTTTAATATCAATCAAATGCTTGCTAATCCAAGCCTTCTTTCACCACATCTGACTCTTCTTTTCCTTCATTCTTGAAATTTTTCACTCTTATTTTCTGGAATATATTCATTGACATTTTATAGTACCATTGAATTAGTAAATTTACTTGGAATGTGGAGCCAGTGTAGTCTTTTTTTGCTTTATTTTGGCCTAGGCACAAGAATTGATTTGTACAACACAACAAATTAGTGATACAGGTAGGATTCAAATCCTGCTTATAATTGCTTCTTCTACATTTCTTGACTCACCAACAAGATTCAAAACTTCTCAAAGACAGAAACTATGCTTTGCATTTTTATATGCCTTTTATAAAAAATACAAAATACAAACTGGCTATATATATATTTTTTTAATTTTAAAAAGCTAAAGAATTCGTTAGACTTTTCCCAAAATGGAAGCATTGATATTCCATCACAGACAAAGAATAAAGCTGTGTTCTATAAAGCAGCCGAATATTGTGGATCTGTGAGCAGATTGCTTGTTGACTTTGCTGCTGATTTACTCTGCTTTCCCCACCTGGACTTCACCAAATCCACCTTGACATTGCCCTCCCTTCTCACATGCAGCGAATCCAGGTGTCATGTCTCTCTTGATTAAGCCCATAAATATTGATTATGCAGTTATTGGAATAACTGATGCTGATGTCAATGTCGTCCTAGGCTAAGATGGGATTGATTTATTTCCTATCACTTTACATAACTAGAGTGGCTGTTTCACCTGGAAAGCTAAATCGCTAGATATAGCTCACTATAGTTTTGCTCATGCACGTTATAACTGTCCACCTTGTGTTCAAATATAACTTTTGTGATAAATGCAATACATATACAATTATGAGACACTCAAATGAGACCACAATAATACAATTTGGGGAACTTGTTTATTTGTAACTCATTCAGTCTTTGTTTCTTAGTACAAACAAGATGAGTGAATTAATCCAGGCTGTTTAAATATCTTCTGCCTGAGCAATATATAAATACAATACCTTACTGTGTTACATGCAGTGTATTCTTTCTTTACACAGGCACACACACACATTGTATACAATATTAGTGCATAAATGATTAAAAACATGTTAATCTGCTTCCCTCCCTGTTTGCTTTCAGTATTTTTCAAAACATAATACAACTTCACCACCACTGCCCTCCATGTGGAAACAGGCTCATTTTCTCACCTAACAAAACAAGGGCTGGGCACAGCGGCTCATGCCTGTAATCGCAGCACTTTGGGGGGCTGAGGGGGGTGGTGGATTATGAGGTCAGGAGTTTGAGACCAGCCTGACCAACATGGTGAAACCCCGTCTCTACTAAAAATACAAAAAAAGTAGCCGAGTATGGTGGCACGTGTATGTAATCCAGCTACTCAAGAGGCTGAGGCAAGAGAATTGTTTGAACCCGGGAGGTGGAGGTTGCAGTGAGCCAAGATTACACCACTGCACTCCAGCCTAGGCAACAGAGTAAGACTCCATCTCAAAAAAAAAAAAAAAAAAAAAAAAAACAAGGGGGAATTATAGCTAGAGTGACTTAGATTAGATAACAAAAGAGACTTCCTGGATGACTACACTAATCGTCTGAAAGATCACCTAAATTGTAGCTTTCACGCTCTTGATGGGAATTAGTGAGAAAGACACAATTAACTTAAGAAATGCCATTCTCTGTGATTATTTATGCAAAATCACATACCTTAGTATTTCCGTGATGAGGCCAGATACATTTTAAAGGCAACTTGCCATTAAATAATGGGACAAAATATAGATTTTTTTGTAAAAAAGCAGAAAGTTAAAATGAAAACAAAAGACAAAAGCAAGGCCTTGTGGCCTTCAAGTGAGCTTTTAGAGTGCCTTTAGCTCCTATTGCTATAAAAAGTGAAAAGAAACAGATTCTGTTTCTATGGCTCACACACCTTTTATTCTTACCCATTTTCCCATCAGGATGTAAAATATGAACATTATACTGTTCTCAACTTGAAACTCTATCAGGGAAAATGGAGACTTGTATGAAGCCTCCCACTCCTTTTGTTAATCTGACAAGTGCCACATGTTGCAGCTAATATGCTATTCTGTTCTTATCTCCCCAAATTCACATGTCTGAGAAAACCAGCACACAGTAGAAAAACAACCTGAATTCTGGCCACATCTCAAGAGTTAAGATAGGCATTAGTTCCTGCCTTAGAATTTCCTGACCTGGGAGTAAAAATTCCTCACTTAAGCCATGCTGTCATTTAGATGAGTTCCATTGTAATGGCATATCTATAAACCAACATTTCTGAATAGGTCCTTGTTTCATTTGGTGATTTCCTGAGGAAGTTTTGTCAGTGCTCTGATGTACAGTAGCCTGATAAGCCTTTCTTTAGCACCCATATATCACTCCTTAACCTTTAAGGGAGACTATAGGCAGCCAGGCTTTCACCCATTTGGGTAATGATGGTGCATCCACCATCATTTGAAGCAGATTAACCAGATGGTACCTCTACACAGAAACTTGCATTTTAAGCTTCATTAAGATTTCTCTACCAAAAATGTCACCCTCTGAACTATCTATTTATAAGTGAAAAGGTTTAGAATCTTGTAAACTTAGGAATACACATCAGATCATCTCTCTCTCTCACACACACACAAACACACACAGAACACACACACGAAATCAGCATCTGATAAAATTATAATAGTTTAAATTAACACATTTTTTAATAAGAGAGAATTACACCATTAGATATGAGAAGTAAAATCTCTAGGAAATGTTGAGCTTTAAAAAAAATTTCATTCCTTTATACTGACTTTTCCTCCTATCTAAACTATCTGTATTTCAACTGTGTATCAATGAATAATGCTCAGAAGTGTTAAGTCAAATTCTTTTGTGAATTGGCACATTATTAAAATCCACGTGAAAAACTCTTAGAGACACAAATGATGTATTACATAAAAATCATGGTATAAAATAAAAAAAGATGTCAGGTGGACAATGAATACACTTTGTGATTCAAAATTCAACTTGAGTCTCATACCACTTCGTGGAGCCGTTGGAAGCACGTGGAACATTAACAGAATGATCTTAGATTGCATTATGAAACAAATGTACTGGAATTTTGGGATTTCCTCAATCCTCAATTTTATATACTTAAATTTGGAAATAGGCAGCACTCTTCTTAGAAGAAACTTTATTGGAACTTGGCCTTGAAGGGTAAGTGGCCAGTTTCTAAACTGTAAAGGTGGAAGGGCTTTCTGGCCAGAAAATACAGCAAGATCAAAGTGCAAAGATACCAAAGAGAATGGTATATTCAGAGAACAGACCACATTTCACTTACGATTGGCAGAACTACTGCTGTAAAACAAGAGTAATGTTAGGTCCCAAAGCTATGCAAGGTGGTTGGGCCAGATTGTCATCCCTCTGTTGAATCCTGCGATAGAGATTTTGACTTTATTCTGTTAATTGCAGAGGGTTACACTTATTTTTAATGAGAAGATCTACTAAGAATAAAATCAATATCACCTTGGAATTTGTGAAAAATGCAAATTCTTGAGCCCACCCCAGTCTTAATCAGCATGTCTAGGGCTAAAGCCCTGGATACATTATGAAATAAGACCTCCAGGTGAATCTAATACTCAGTGTGTAGGGGCTTGTTTACTCAGAAAGCTAAAACCAAAGCAAAATAAGATCATTAAAGACCTTCTCATAAGCTTCCATGTGGAATTCCCATTATTTATTCTGAGTAAGTATAAAGGCATTTGTTTGCATGAGGTATCCATACTTGCATCATTAAATGTGTCTACTTAAATTAAAATTACTCTTTCCTTAAATGTAGATATTATTCCTAGGAGTTAATAATAATTATAATGTTTATGAGATTTTAGCGAATTTGCCTGAAAAAAAAAAACTATGGAAACCGTGTGTGTGTGTGTGTGTGTGTATCTCCACATTTATTATTTAATTATTAGAAATAAGAGAATGATGCCTTTAACATCTTTGAAAATGAACATTTATATTCATCCTAGTTGGTGGTGTCATCACCAAATAGTAGCAAACTTTCAAAACATAAAGTGACCATAGGAAAGGTATTAATAGATCTGGTGTCAGGGTTTCTCAACAGAGGAGCTAGCCACATTTTGTGTAGGTCAAGATCTAATTTTCGTTTTGTGGATTGAAAAAATGTTAGCATACTTGGCCTTATTCATTAAATTCTAACAACATCTCAGGCTTCATTACACTCAGCATAGGCATCCACATCCAGATCCCTCTGGAAGGGTGGGGTGGAAAGGACACAGCAAAGGGCACCCATGGAAAGAGCATGGTGGCAGAGGATCAACTAGGATACTCGTAGGAAAATGTGAGGATAATTTTCTGCCTGATACACACACACACACACACACACACACACACGCTTTCCGTAGTTTTTCCCGAACCCCTATATACCTTTGTTGCCTCACTTGTAAGTGTACGGTTTGGATAGGATGACTGCTGTTTGCAGCACAGACTTAGCACCTTGCTTATATCATGGCACAAAGTAGAGGCTCAGGAAACCTTAACTGAAATAACGTGAACTAATGTGCCATCTACATCTTGACTCAACAATTCGTCTTATGGCAAAACCCCACATCTACAAAAAATACAAAAATTTGCCAGGAGTGGAAGCATGCACCTGTAGTCCCCAGCTACTTGGGACGATCGCTTGAGCCTGGGAAGTTAAGGCTGTAGTGAGCCATGATTGTGCCATTGCACTCCAGCCTGGGCAACAGAGAGAGACCCTGTCTTAAATATGTATATAGTCTGTTGGGTTAAAATCAGATTACTGACAACTATATGCCTAAGAGATGATTACTTTTACTTTGATGACTTTGAATGAGTTATTTTTATGGTTCAAAACTAAACACAAATTTATTTTAAAAATTTAAAAGAAATAATCAAAACATAGAAGACAGGAAACAAAGATACATTTTAAAAGATACAAGATTTGGTGAATTTTGTTTTTACTTATTTGGAAATGTGTCAGATATTAGATGCGGCAAATAAAATGAAAGTTTGAATAGAGAAATAGATATTTTAAACATAAAAAACGATCTTTGGAGTCTCAGAATCAGATTGTTGTATAGTGAATTTCTCCCAAATGTTAAACGTTTACCTAATTTACATCTTATATAAGGTGCTCCTGCAAATGAGCAAAGATCAGAAACCTTCACTCTATTTTATCAGGTTGTTATAATGTTGATTTCAAGATCACTTAAGATACATGCAAGAAAATAAAAACATAAGTTCAATATGTATATGAATCTCTATATAAAATGTTTTACTTAAAACAGTAACTTAATGACATATTTTTAAAAAGCTCTTTAGAAATACTGAAAAGTAATAATAATAATAATAGTAATTCAGCAGTAGTATTAGTAGCAGTAGTCTGTTACAACAGCAAGAACAGATACATTGACCAATGAAATGAAATTAAAAGTCCTCAGAGACAGATGTATGTATATATGGAAACTAAATATATAATGGAATAAGGCCAGGTTACTTAGTAGAAGGTACAGAGAAACATAAATCACTACATGTGGAGAGAAATAAAAATGGACCCCTAAAACTATGTATACATTTGGAATTGAGCAGGGATTAAAGACTCAAATGTGAATGGTTAAACTATAAATTAAGGTCCTACACTGTTATTAATGATACAAATATTTATGTTTATGGTTATAATAATAAGTTTGGAATTATTTTGTCTCCAAAAACATAAAACATAAGGTAAAAGTTATTAATGTCATTATGTCATAATTAAGAGTTCCTACTCATTGAACCTTTGTCTACGCTGCCTTTGGATGGTGGATGCTCTGTCAGCCAGTATTGGAAAGTAGATGAGTTAAGGATCAGGCTGTGAGATCAAGGCCTAAAAAAGGTAAAACCCACCTGCAAGTGCACTGAAAGTTCTATTGATTTTTGTATATTTTTTAGAGAGAAGGGAACTCAAACATAGAAAACAGCTCAGCAGCTGATAACTAAAATAGCATGATAAGGTCCATTCTAACATTAAAATTTTGTGATTTTTCTGACAAGCCCACATCTGTATAAAACATGTATGAGGGTAAATGAGGGTAGCAGAAGGAGTTAGGATGTCAAAAGAGTACAGAGATTTCTGCTTTTATAGAACATGCTTGGCTTTGGAATGAAAGGGATATAAAAGTGATCGAGGACGGAGCCATCACTTTCCCACTCCCTGTCTGGGTGACCTGTGGCAGATTACTTTCTCCACATAACTGTGTCATCATCGGTGATCTGTGCGTAGTTCTTTTCTGTCTTACATGAGTCCTCTAAATAACCTGCCTTCCAATATCTATTCGGTGACAGCTCTGAAAGTCACAAATGTATTTCTATTTTTATATAATTAATGGTTCCTTTATGTTTATATTTCAACAGGGAATATTTGAAATATGGCAGATTAAAACTTGATGTCTCTTGAGAAGTTTATTTTAGCAACACCCATCATATTCGTGGTCTTTAGCTTTACTCAGTCTCGTACAAAACAAATAAATCAACCCTGAGAAGTTATAGATCTTAATCATAAGCATAACAGGAAATAGATTTGAGAATGAATTGTGTTGCAACAAATCTTCATGTGTATGTTTACAGATCTGTGTGCTTACGTTTGAAAGTTTGTGTGTATTGTGTGTTTTTGTAGGTGTGAGCATATTAAAATCGCAGGCAACCTCTGTATATGTACATATTGTGAAGCTGAAAAGGAAAATTAAATGAAAAATCCATCTTCTTAGAAAGTATATTTGTTCATAATTCACAACCACAGGAACAATTAGGCCCTGATTTTGACGTGTCAGAGGGTAAAACGATGTCAGATTTTGTGAGTTAGAGCTTTAGAATTAAGATTTCATGCACTGCAGGCGAAGCAATAAACACCACAGAGGAGAAGTTTCTAATTTTGGTTTTTATATTAGTATCCCAGGCCTCATCAGCCTGTGGGAAAGAGAGATAATAAAAATAATGTGTACTGTTTAAGATTATACATTTTCCAGTTCTCACGTATTTATGTCACCCTAATTTTCCATCAACACTCTTGACTACACTTTTATTACAGAAATTCTGTCATAAATGAAACTTACAGATGCGTTTAAAAAATACTGCCTCTTTAGCCCATGGCACATTAACATGAAATTAAGGTAGGGCAAATATCTGGATGGAGATCCAAATGCAATTAACATCATTAATAAGAGAAGGGATTTAACGGCCCTAAGAAGTGGAACTTGCCTGGCTGGTTCTTCACTAGAAGGCTTCAGGTCATCTTGACTAGAACGAGGTAAAGAGAAAATATCAAATTAAACAAAAACTAACTTCTGTGTAGACACTTTCTTCTCTTCTCACTGTGTACACATTTTATCCATTCACTGAGCTACAAGGCCCATTGCCAAGGTGCCCTCCACAATCCTGGTCTCACCAATGTTTTTGAAGGTGGGAGGAGCTATTTTTCTTGTTTTACTTAATTCAATACTTTAGTATTTGCTCTCATTTCTCTAAAAATCATTTCCATGTTCTTTGATGTATCCTCTCACTATTAATCTAGCTAACCTCTTTGTGGAAAAATACACCTTGTAAAGCTTTTGTATCTACTACAGAAACTACAGAATATCTGATCCATGGTGAATACTCAGAGAATGAATGTTGTGAAGAAACAAAATATCTGTCACACCAGACCACACTCTATCTATAATTGTTCCAGAAAGTTTTTATTAATATCACTTTTCCCATAATAAATTTATATAGAAGCATGTGTTGGGGGAGAACAAAAATCACAAGTCTTACTGGCATAAACTTTTTCACTGGTAGGAGAAGGTAAAATTGCCTCCAGCATTAGACAAACTGGAAATTAAATACAACACCTAATACTTAGTAACATTCTATAGGTTCAGTAGACTCTATCTTATTCTTTACTCACTAGCTTCCACAGATAAATGGAAAATATGATTTTTAATGTCATTACTTAAAAGTAGTTGGAGTTTGAGCATGGAGTTCAGCAGGCCACGTGGTAAAACCTACCACATGATGATTGTTCTCCTGCAGTTATCCTCTCCATAGCAACATAACATTGGTATTAACTCAAGCTTGATGATCACCAGCTCTTGGCAGTAATTCAAGGTATTCAGTATGACTCAAGTCTCTCAACAAAAGTTCCACCCAAACTAATGGAAGCAGGGATTATCTCAGGTTTCTGTAGTATCAGTCATCTAGAACTGAAGAACTGTAAATAATTATGTGAATACATTGCATAATAACATCACTGTTCTATAAGAGAATAAAATTCCACTTTCTCTGTTGATACAGTGTTGATCATTAAGGTCTCCTAAGGGTAATTAAGAAACACCAAAATAAGTTTTTGGAGAAAACCAAGGAATGTCCTTATTTTTTCCAACCACCAGATAATAATGATTTATTTTGGCCAACAGTAGACGGAATCCTGACTTAAAAGATGCACACTATTAAGATTCTACTTCACACATATGCTGTTCATGCCTTCTCTTCCTTCTCCTTTCTGTCTTCCTACTGACGTGAAATCTGATGAAAAAAAATCTTCTGCTTCTCTGGCCTCTTAGTCAGAGGATTATCTCTCTTCCAACCTTTATAACAAGGCCCTGCCATTGGGGACATCTTCTAAGAGAAGCCCTCCATCAGATAGTGACCCACACTTAAAGTCTGGCAACATTTGAATTCTAATGATCTTCTAAAAACTGAATATATGGCTCACACCTGTAATCCCAGCACTTTGGGAGGCTGAGGAGGGTGGATCAACTGAGGTCAGGAGTTCAAGACGAGCTTGGCCAACATGGCTAAACCCCGTCTCTACTAAAAATATAAAAATTAGCCAGGCGCAGTGATGTGGGCCTGTAGTCCCAGTTACTCGGGAGGCTAAGGTGGAAGGATCACTTGGGCCTAGGAGGCAGAGGTTGCAGTGAACCAAGATTGTGCCACTGCATTCCAGCCTGGGTGACAGAGTGAGACCCTATCTCAAATAAATAAATAAGTAAATAAAATAAAATAAAAACTGGATATAAAAGATTTTAATACATTAAAGATGACAATTAGATTGTCATATTTTAAACATAAAAATTTTACTTTTGAGAAAAATTTAACAAATATTTGAAGCTTATTTCTTAAATATTTGATCAGAAAAATAATAAAGGAGGGCATCTTAGCCTTTAGATGTAGGGAGCATTTCTTAGGGGCTACAAGTTGGAACTGAATGCATTTCCAAAATAGAAGTCCCAAAATATTGAACAATGGCAGTAATATGGGAACCAGAACACAACTTCACAATCTGTTTTGAAAAGACACACTCTCTTAGATATAGTTTAATCTGGTTAGCATTTGATTCAAGGCATATGCTTTAATATATTCTCATATATTAAACAAATGGCAAGTGAAAACAATAATATGCTAAGATATATTTTATGGTATAATGCGGAGAAGAGAGAGAATGCTTTAAAAGTATTCAGAAACCAAACCACTGCTGAGTATTTCAGTAATGACACACAATAAGTTTTTTCAGACATAGTCCTTAGAGCAAATTGATGACAGAGTGCAATCCCATGGAATCCTGAAAGATACATGAATCGTATCAACATCAATCTTCTCCACACCAAACCACCTCTAAAGTTTCTTCACATTTTAACTTTGTGAGTTTCTTGACATTGTAGCTGCCACAATTGAGATGATGATGGTAATGTTATTAAAGTTATGGCTATAAGTATCACCTCTCAACTAATTTGAAAAACAAAACTAGGGAGTTAAGTGGCTATGAAACTCAAAGGTCTATGTTTATTTATTCCCAATGTCATCTTCAGTCATTATTAAAAAGAAATGGTACAACCGTATGATGACAACCAAGTAAGTCCACTCCTATATCCATCCAGCACACACTCTACCTCTGTCTCCACTCATCTTGAAGAATGTTTAGATCTAGAAGTGATAGCTGTGGTCTTCCTGTCCAAGTATTATTATTATTTTTTGTTGTTGTTGTGAGACGGAGTCTCGGTCTGTCACCCAGGGTGGAGTGCAGTGGCGTGATCTCGGCTCACTGCAACCTCCACCTCCCGGGTTCACGTCATTCTCCTGTCTCAGCCTCCCGAGTAGCTGGGACTATAGGTGCCCACCACCACGCCCGGCTAATGTTTTTTTGTATTTTTAGTAGAGACGGGGTTTCACCATGTTAGCCAGGATGGTCTCGATCTCCTGACCTCGTGATCCGCCCGCCTCAGCCTCCCAAAGTGCTGGGATTACAGGCGTGACCCGCCGCGCCCGGCCGCAAGTATTAATTTTTTAAGGAAAACAAACAAACAAACAATCCCTTCACAGTTTTCTAATCCACAACTCTTATGAAAAAGTGGTATTTAAATATAATGCTAACAACATATAGACTAGTCAAGATATATGAAGAAGGCATTTGTTCATTTATTCATTGTTAATTTATACGTAGTCTGTGTAGATAGTGGAGAATGAAGGAGTTCTTTCCTCAAAAACTTTGCAGTCTGGTGAGGAGTAGATGAATTGATCATTAATAATACACAGGATAGTAAGTGATGAGACACAGCCCTGAACTGGGTTCTATAGAAAAACAGAGGAGAGGCTTTACCGCCTCTCCTTGACATTTAATATGAAAGGAAACAAAGCCGTCTCTTTTCCAGTAATGCTCTAAGTCTTCCATAGAAAACATAAGTTCTCCAATACTGCCTCAAGTACAGTGAGAGCAGTATCTATAGGTGGACATTGACCCAAACATTCCTTAGTGACAGTTTACACCCTACTTAAAAACGAGTGTTTGATTTGGTAGATGGTGCACTTGATCTAGTGTAGACACGTGATTGAGGGCAAAAAAAATCAAGCTAAGATACATGGAAGACTCAGCGTGGGTTAAAAATCGGTTAGTAAGAGTTTCTTTAATCACAATCACTCTGTAGGGGCAGCTAGTAGTGAAACTGAAAGTGGTTAAAATATACTTCTTGCATTGCTGTTTTTGTGCCTTTCTCTCCCAGCTTTCAAGGTCCCATCTCCTCTGCTCCCCACAAGTTCTTCTCTCTGACAGCTCATAGCTGTCTGCTCTGGTATTCCACCCAAGCACATTTTCCTTTTATGCCAAAATAACTTCTCTCCATCAATCACTATAAAGACTTCTATTTCCTTAATGGAAATTATATCTGATGTTTGAAGAAAAATAATCTGATTTTTAAGCCATTTCATGCTAAAATAAAGGTGACTTTTCTGTGAGACTTAAAATATTCCACGGGGTGGTTGCATTTGAAAGAGGATGCTTGTAGACATAAATAAATTTTTAACTGGAAGAATTTCTTCACAGAGGTCAAGAATGACTGCATCGCAGTGGCAACTTCCTGATGTCTGTAAACTGGCCTACATTTGGCTACAGGGAGGGCACGTGTGTGGCCCTGCCACTGTCCTCCAATCCATGAGCTCATGGTGAGACAGTGCTAAGCGTTCACTCAAAACTTGTTATGTGTTATTCAAACTAGGTTTGGGGTTTTTTTTGAAAATTATAAAGCTTTTAGTTTTTGTAAGGAAGTCAGCATTTCTGAATATATTGGGCCTGGCCACTTGAATGTCCCAGCTGACGAACTCTAGAGCCTCTTTTTTAGGGGTGTGTGGGGGGGTCCTAACACAAATATTAGATTCAGTGAAAGCTAAAAGGACTCAAAGAATTTAGAAACACTAACACACTCTTAGTAATGGTTTATTACAGTGAAAGGCTGTAGACTAAAGTTAGCAATGGAAAAATGTACTAGGGGAGGGTCCAGGAGATAGCAGACATAGGCTCTATTTCTCTTCTTTCATAACATGTAAGTGAAAAGAAACAAATACAAGTTATAGACTGTTTTTTAAGATGTTTTTCAGATGCCAACTGCTCCCACAAAGTCACTGTAGATCACTTGTGCCAGAGTTGATTGCTCTTTGAGATACAGAAGGAAGCTTTCACGATTTCAAACATTTGGCCTTGTATTATAAATATGTATACTCTTATTTTTCTTCCTATGCTCGAATGAAAGGTCCTTGAAGGCATGAAATCCAACTGGCCCATCTTAACTTGCTACCGTCTCTGCCCTTATTCATGTCAGGGGATCCATCAAAATATGTTAATGAATATAAGAATATAATTATCCTATTTACTTTTTTGAGATGGAGTCTTGCTCTGTTGCCCAGGCTGGAGTGCAGTGGCCCAATCTCAGCTCACTGCAACTCCTGGTTCAAGCGATTCTCCTGCCTCAGCCTCCGGAATAGCTGGGACTACAGGCGCGTGCCACCACGCCCGGCTAAATTTTTCTATATTTAGTAGAGACGCGGTTTCACCGTGTTAGCAAGGATGGTCTCAATCTTCTGACCTCGTGATCCGCCCACCTCAGCCTCCCAAAGTTCTGGGATTATAGGCATGAGCCGCCTGGACCCCTAATTTCTTTACACCAATCTTTTAATAGAAGCTCTAATATTTTAGGAAAATGAACATACAATGCAAGCTGTTAAAATCTATCTGTGACAAAAGTCAAATGGATGATAGAAAAGAAAAAAGAAAAACAAATAAATAAGAAAAAAGGAAAAATGCTGAAATGAATGATGTAGAAAGATACTTTTAGTTGATTGAGGAAGTTAAGGTCAATAAGGTAGTTGAATTGCAGCGAAACTTCTTTTGATGTATTTCTTCCTCTTCTACTTATCGTACATAAAGAAAAAAATCTTAAAGCATAGGGAAGTCCAAAAGGCAGGCTAAGGCCTTCCCTGTGACTATATAAATGCCCTGGGAAGAAGGAATACAGTATTTGTGTCCTTGATAGAATATGGTCAACTCTTACCCAGAGAAGGTGAGCAAGTTGGAAGTTGAAGCCACACAATTTGAAAAGATTTTTACCTCTAAACCAGGCTTAGAGAAAAGATGGTGACAAGTAAAAGTAATATATAGTTTAATAGTATACAAGACTTTATTATTTAAACTTCACCTAAGATAAATAATAAATATGTTTGATTACTTCCATCAGCCTAATAAAAGAAGATTAACACATCTTCAACTTTTTGTATATGTCATTCAATAGTAATGTTTCATGTCCTTCATGAAATACACTAAAAGTAGAAATCTAAATGATAAAAGAAATGGGGAATTAACATTAATTAATTATGGTATGTTCTTCAGAAACAACATTATAATAACATCATTCTAACTAAAGGATAAAGCAATAATATCTTCAATAAAGCCCAAGTGAGTGAAATTTGTTTCAACGTTTTAGAAAATTTTGATTTAGTACCCTGAGATACAGCAATTTAAGGATTCGGTTCTCAGTTTAATATATGCCAATATTTGGCTTTAAATATTGTCAAAATAAGAATTAATAGAAGAAGTTAATCAATAATTACAAATATAAAATCCCTGTGTTAATTTTTCCATTGCACTTGGTAATTTTTCAACCCTGCTTAACAATTTCATTTGTTACTTGGCTATCAACTTTTCATCTTTTTGATATTAAACTGTCATTCATTTACACTGATTTGTTATTTTTTTAACAAGAGACTTCAAAACCCATTAACTTTTTGATTTTTAAGAATTTTAAGCAAGTTTTTAAATATGGACATTTGAGAGTTTTATAAATGACACATGCTATTTTATAGGTCTTGAATTAATAACCATAATATTAATTTGGGGTGATAGTGGGGTGCCTGCACATCTGTGTTGCAATTTCTCTCCTGGATAGCATATAAATTATAACATAAATGACTTTGGTGTATTGCAATGTCTGCAACTATATCCTAGAATGTTCATTTAAATTATGACCATTAAAATTAATAATAGCTTATCTTTACATAATGATTACATAGTTTTAGGCAGCTATCTAAGTACTCTACATTAACCAACTTAGTCCTCATGGGTTATCTCTGAGGCCAGTCCTATCGTTGTTCCTCATTTACAGGTGGAAAAACCACAGTTTGAACTCAGAAAGTTGGCCCCTCAGTCTTGCTAGCTAACATCAATAGCACCCACTATCTCTAGTGCTCCAGATGAAACAGTGACTCCTTCAGGGTGGCATCTTGTAGTTACCTCCCCTCCCCACCATGTGCCTTGTGCTATTAAGCAAGTCATTTGTGCCTGGAAACTAGTTTCTTTAGCATTTGTTTCCTTTAGTGTTCAATGAATTAAGTGTGCTACATTTATTACCAAAGTCATATCTTGCAAAAGCCTAAAATAAAATATTCGTTGAATAATTTCAACAAAAATTGAGTGAGTTCCTACTGTGTGGCACAGGCTGTGTTAGATGCTATAATTCAGCTGAACACAAGAGATACAAATCTTCTCTAAGTAAATCATATTCTACTAGATCTGCTTTTTAAAAAATCCTCATGTATAGCAAACATCTCACACTATGTACTTTGTTTTATGATTTTTCCTACAAATCTTCTGCAAGGCCTGCTACACACCTGCCAACATATTTTCTTGGCAACATAATGCATTTAAGTTTGTGGCCATATGCTTATTACGTACTATTTTAGTCACATTTATAGTGGCAGACAAAAGATAATGTTTCCCCCAAAGCACCCGGCTTTTGAACTTTCTCTATTAAGAAGGACACCCATATCCATCATAAAGTTTAACACAATTTTGTAAAGTCCTCGATTGAACATAACAAAATTCTAAACATTGCGATAAACTTGTCAAGGTTTGCTTTACTCATGATAACTGCTTGATCTTTCTTCAATCTTTTGGTCACCCCTTTCGGTCCTGTACTCTTTGGAAGGAAGTCACTCTGTGCTGCCCAGGAATGAGAGTTAGGCTCTGCCTCTTTGAAGGCAGGGCATCCACATAAATTATCTGGATTCTTCTGCATGCAAGAATAAACTCTCCCCCATTGACTTATGTATTCTGTCATTCATTTAAATCAAAATGAATTCAGAAACATTTATTTTGTATTTTGGGTTATAATCTAATACTACTGGTTAATTTTGTTCTGAAACTTTTCCAGTTTTGACTATTAGGAGCTCTTTCAGTTGTCTACTATGCCCTGTGACATACCCCATGTCACAGGGGTGGCAAAAATGGCAAAATATGATAAAATATATTGTTTCACTTGGTTAAGATGGTAAAGTAAATATAGTAATAACTACATTTTTATATTAGTAATATTAATATCTACAAAATACTCTGCTTTGCATAATCCTACTACAAATCAGAGATGGGGGCAGCTATACTAACTACTTTACAAATTGATTAGGCAGTTTCTTTAAGAAGGTTAAGTGATTCATCTCTAATCATGCAGAGAGACCACAAATCTCAACGCATCTTTTAATGAGACACCTTTCCCCAATATTTTTTGAATGAACTCCAGAAAAAAAAGAAAATAATGCCTGTATTCTTTTGTTATGAGATAGCTGTTTTCTGAATATTTTCAGAAGTAACCATTTTCAATGTTAAATGCATACAAAATATATTCTTAGCTTACAAAAGCTATCAAAACAATTGTTGGACATAATATTCTATGGAAGTTCTAGAACTAGACAAAAACTCAAGTGTTGCATGATATTTTTAGTTGCATCAAGATTTAAAATCAATAATGGACTATTATTTGTGCTATACTATATTTTAAACAAAAAGCAGAGACCACTGAACATTTTGATTTTGCTTTTATGGAATACATTCCTTCTACATAAAGGTCTTCTGCATCCAAAATGAGTTCATTTTACCCATTAGTGGAGAAAAACCCATTTTGCCTTTTTTTGGGTTCATTTTCATCTCAGAGAAATAATACAAATCTTGGCCTGCAGCATTTCCTGCGGCTTAATAACCAGCTGGACCTCAAGCCATCACCTCCTCTCAGGCAACCATTAGTTCCCAGGAAACACTCTTTGCCTTGATCATTATTGCATAATTAAGACCATTTTGTGTTCCTTTAATGTAGCATATCAATTATTGAGGAGAAATATAATACAGGGAAAAAAGTGATGACATTGCTTTATATTTAAAAAGAAGAAAAACGAAAATGAGTAATCCTACAAGCTATTTTAATAACTGTCCTTCAAAAGAAAACCAATATCCAAAGTAAATTGCTAAAGAGCTTCTTATTTCGATATTTCTACTTGCAGATAATTTGGCAAAATGGATAAATAACAAAGAATACAACAAAGCGGATATTTGTCCTCAAGGAAATTTTACAGAATGTTCCCAAACCTTGGTGCATGTAAGCTGCAGTGTTGGGAATAAACTCCAAATTCAAGTAAGTAGGCAAGCTAAGCAGCCAATGGAATATTCACATAAAATCATGAGCTTTTTCGGTTACAAAAATTCAAAATAGACCTCTTCCCCTCTGATTTCCTCTTCATTATAACCAATGGCTTTATTTTGCATAGAAAAGATGAGTAGAGAAAAGGGACCCTATTTACCCACACACATACTGTGCAACAACACCTCTGATGATTCACCCCCCTCCAAACCAGAGGAAGTCAGAGAGTAGGTAGATAAAATATAGGCCGTTATATTATTCAAATACTATTCTTAAGCAAACAAGGGATATGAGAAAGTGCTAATAGTCTGTTTTGTTGTTGTTGTTGTTTGTTTTTTGTGGTTTTTTTTTTTTTTTTTTTTTGAGACGGAGTTTCCCTCTTGTCGCCCAGGCTGGAGTGCAGTGGCACAATCTTGGCTCACTGCAACCTGTGCCTCCTGAATTCAAGTGATTCTCCTGCCTCAGTCCTCCAAGTAGCTGGGATTACAGATGCTCACCACCACACCCGGCTAATTTTTGTATTTTTAGTAGAGACGGGGTTTCACCATGTTGACCAGGCTGGTCTCGAACTCCTGACCTCAGGTGATCCACACTCCTCGGCCTCCTGAAGTGCTGGGATTATAGGCGTGAGCCACTGCACCAGCCTTAATAGTCTGTTATTGTAACAAGCTCTGCAGTAGTCACTATCTCCTTTCATAGTTCCCTGGGAATCTTCCTCTGCCAGATGTCTTCCCTCCCTCCTTGTAACTGAACAGGGAGCAGGTTGGGAAATGGGATATCTCCACATGGGCCAGAAGAAGGGGGAGTAGTTGTAGACTGAAATAAGAAAGGAAAAATAAAGAGAAAGAGAGGAAGACAACCAAAATGATTCTTTTATTTATAAAAGTGGGCATAAACTTCAAATGAACAATCTTGTTAAATTATCATTCGATAAGTCAATTCCGGCAATATATAAAGTATACACTGTGCATGTTTCTATTAAAAACTCACATTTGTAAACATAAAATTCTGGTATTTTTGCTTTGAGTAACTGGAAAAAAAAAGGAATTATGGAACAGTGGTTTAGTGTGTTTCCAACAAACCATAGTGTTAATGAAAGTTACATGGACCTTTTGCACTGGAATAATCTTCTCAATATTGGCATAGGTAAGGTACATCCTGGGGGCCTTGGGCCATTTCCAATTGTGGACTTACTTTTTCTGGCAGCTTAAAATTATAAAAATATCTAGAATTAGTTGCTTCTTCAACAATGTTATAAGTTTTATCTAAAACAATCAAAAAATGTTTTAAATGGGACTGCATTTCGAGGAGGCGTCTGTCAGGTGAAACAGAGTTGCCGCCGCCATTTATGCAGGAAGTGGACTTCTTTCTTTCCTGTGCTCCACTCTGTGTCCTGTTGTCTCTCTAGGGTCTTCCAGAAGGCCACATTTATTCATTTATATTAGAGCTTGACCACTGGGCTTTTGTATTTAAAACTGTTGGTATAGTGTTTAAAGCAGCTTTGTTAAAAATTCGTACAGTAATACCTACTAAACAATGGATTCTTAGACGGATGTTTACTTGTATTATTGCAGCACAACACATTACCTTGTTGACTATAACCAATGTGTGTTAAATAAATAGACTGTGATTTCTTTTTTAATATTTTTATTGATAGCTCATCTAAAATTGCTTTGGTGTTAATACATGGGCTATGAAAAGTAGCAGATAATTATGAATATTCTTATTCGTTACTTTCTAAATGCACATGTATCCCTCAAAACTTGTATGCTCAATGATTCAGCAAAACTGTCCAATGATTCAGCAAAACCCAGTTCCAGGAATGGTAGTCACACACCTTTCCTGCTGGATCTTATTCCGTCAGGTCCAATCCAGCCAGTTGTAGATGATGATTCATTTTTACCTTTTCCTGTCAGTCTCTCTCAAACATGACTGTGAGTTCAGCAGGCAATTTACTTTGCCCTCTTAAACTCCAAAATCACAATCTGAATATCCACAGCCTATCTCTTAAGACAGCAGAATAATCTATAGCAATCACATGTCCCTCACAATATCTGATTGGATATACCATCTTGACAGCACTTGCTACTTGATTGAAACTTAAATGCTTATAATCACAGCCTCTTCATACTTTCACATTTAACCAGGATAATTTGAGATGTACCTTTCCAATGGTCAATGCCATATTTTAATCAAATGATATAAACAAATAGATATATATAAACAGATCAATATGGAGCTATCCGTATTGATAAGAATATAAATTATAGGCACCAAAATACATTGCCTAATATTAATGCTTTTCTTTTTTTCTTTTTTTTTTTTTTGACCCATTATTGGAAGCTTACTATGTCCTTCATCAGCATCACAACTCATATATCATGGTGTACAACCTGGCTTGTCCTGTGAACGTTTTTGGTACACGGTGTTGTCCTCTACTGGTGATTCCACCATTTTAAAGTCCAACTCCTTCCTTGAATCTCAACCCAACCCAACATCTTCCCTAGCTCATACACAAATTTCATTGCAATTTTATAGTCAGCTATGTTTAAGAAATAGAAAAATAGAATTAGAAAGAGTCACTGTGCTCTTCCTAAAGGGGGCAACCTGCGCATATCCTGACAAGCTTGACATGTCCAAATCATTTAATTATCATAATAGATGTGTTGGTCAACATCCAAAACTTTTTAAGAACCAGTAAGGATTAAGAAAATACTTTCCTTTGCTCTGCAGCTTTGTAGTTTAATACAGCCCCATTTATTTATTTTTGTTTTTGTCCTCTGTGCTTTTGAGGTCTCCCCCATAAAATGTTTGCCTAGAACAAAGTCCTGAAGTGTCTTCCCTGTTTTTTTCTAGTGGTTTTATAGCTTCAGGTCTTACGTTTAAGTCTTTAGTCCATGTTGAGTTGAATTGTGTGTATGGTGAGAGGTAGGGGTCCAGTTTCATTTTTCTGCATATGGAAATCCAATTTTCCTGCAAACATTTTTTAAAGAGGATATCCTTTCCCCAATGTATGTTCTTGGCATTTTTGTCAAAAATCAGCTAGCTGTAAATATGGGGTTTTATTTCTAGATTCTCTGTTTTGTTCCATTGGTCTCTATGTGTCTTTTTATACCAACACCATGCTATTTTTGTTACTATAGCCTTGTATTTTGAAGTTAGGTAGTGTGATGCCTAAAGCTTTGTCCTTTTTGCTCAGGATAGTTTTGGCTATTTGCGCTCTTTTTTGGTTCTATACAAACTTCAGGATTTTTAAATTTTTTTCTGTGAAAAAATAATGTTATTTCGATAGGGATTACATTGAATGTGTGGATTGCTTCGGATGATACGATCATTTTAATCATATTAAGTCTCTTCATCCATGAGCATAGGATATCTTTCCATTTGTTTGCACCCTCTTCAATTTCTTTTGTCAGTGTGTTTTAGTGCAACTTGTAGGTATATTTTACCTCCTTAGTTACATTTATTCCTAGGGTTTTTTTTTTTTTTTTTTTTTGGATGGAGTCTCGCTCTGTCACCCAGGCTGCAGTGCAGTGGCACAATCTCGGCTCACTGCAAGCTCCGCCTCCCGGGTTCACGCCATTCTCCTGCCTCAGCTTCCCGAGTAGCTGGGACTACAGGCACCCGCCACCACGCCAGGCTAATATTTTTGCATTTTTAGTAGATATGGGGTTTCACTGTGTTAGCTAGGATGGTCTCTATCTCCCGACGTCGTGATCCGCCCGCCTCAGCCTCCCTAAGTACTGGGATTACAGGCATGAGCCACCGTGCTTGGCCGGGTTTGTTTGTTTGTTTGTTTGTTGCAGCTATTTTAAAGAGAATCTCCAAACAACCTGTTGAATGGGAGAAAATATTTGCAAGCTATTCATCTGACAGGTGACTAATATCCAGAAAATACAAGGGACTCAAATAGCTCAACTGTAAGAAAACAAACAAACAAACAAACAAACAAACAAAAAACAACCTCACAAATCTCACAAATAATCCTATTAAAAAGTAGGCAAAGGACATGAGAGGACATGAGTAGACATTTCTCAAAAAAAGGCATACAAATGGCATAACCACCAAGTATATAAAAAAGATGCTCAACATCACTAACTATCAGGGAATTGTGAATCAAAACCACTATGTGATATCACCTTACCCCAGTAGAATGGCTATTACTAAAAAAAACAAAAAAATGACAGATACTGGTGAGGGTACAGGGAAAAAGGAGCTTTTATACACTGTTGGTGGAAATGTAAATTAGTACAGCCATTATGAACAAATACTATGGAGATTTCTGAGCAAAATTAAAAATAGAAGTACCATATGATCCAGAAATTCGACTACCAGGTATTTATCCAAAGGAAAATAAATCGGTGTTCCAAAGGGAGACCAGCACTGGCATATTTACTGTAGCACTATTCACCATTGCAAAGATATAGCATCAACCTATATCTCCATCAATTAACAAATAGATAAGCAAAATGGAATACTAATTGTGCACAAAAACATTGAAATTATGTCATTTGCAGCAACATAAATGGAACTGGAGGTCACTATGTTAAGTGAAATAAGCCAGACACAGAAAGACAAACACCACATGTTATCACTCATACATGGGAATTAAAAATGTTGATCTCATGTAGGTAGACAGTAGAATGATAGATGCCAGAGGCTGGGAAGTGTGTATGGCTGAGAGTGGGGAATGAAGAAAAGATGATCAATGGGTGCAAACATAGAGTTAGTTGGAAGCTATAAGTTCTTTTTTTTTTTTTTTTTCTTTGAGACAGACTTTTGCTCTTGTCACCCAGGCTGGAGTGCAATGACCCAATCTGGGCTCACTACAACATCCACCTCCCAGGTTCAAGCAATTCTCCTGCCTCAGCCTCCTGAGTAGTTAGGATTACAGGTGCCCACCACCACGCCCAGCTGATTTTTGTAGTTTTACAAATACAAACATTTCACCATGTTGGCCAGGCTGGTTTTGAACGCCTGACCTCAGGTGACCCGCCCACCTCGGCCTCCCAAAGTGCTGGGATTACAGGTGTGAGCCACCACACCTGGCTGGAAAGTATTTTAAGTTCTAATGTTCAATGGCAGAATAGAGTGACTATAGTTAACAACAATGTATTGTATATTTCAAAGTAGCGAGAAGAGAGAATGTGAAATGTTCTTAAAACATAAAAATGCTAAATACTGAAGGGGATATATATCCCCAAAACCGTGATGATAATTACACCTTCTATGCATGTAACAAAATATCACATGTACTCCATAAATATGTAAAATATTCCGTATCAATAAAAAAATGAAATGATATAGGTAAAAGAAAGAAAATAGGCTGGGCGCAGTGGCTCACGTCCCAGCACTTTGGGAGGCCGAGATGGGCAGATCACGAGGTCAGGAGATCAAGACCATCCTGGCTAACACAGTGAAACCCTATCTCTACTAAAAAAATACAAAAAGCTAGCCAGGCGTGGTGGCACACACCTGTAGTCCCAGCTACTCGGGAGGCTGAGGCAGGAGAATCACTCGAACCTAGGAGACAGAGGTTGCAGTGAGCTGAGACTGTGCCACTGCACTCCAGCCTGGGTGACAGAGTGAGACTCCATCTCAAAAAAAAAAAAAAAGAAAGAAAGAAAGAGAAAGAAAGAAAGAAAATAAATGTATAAACTCAACGCTCAAAAAGTTGTGTGATCTCAGTTTCTTCATTTCAAATATTGTATTAAAATATTTTCATATACAAACATATTATTTACCATTTATCTCCTAAATTTGATACGTTAAACTCTCCAATTTTAGTCTTTTTTTTTCTTTTTTTTTTTTTTTTTATTTTGAGACGAAATCTCGCTCTTGTTCTCCAGGCTGGAGTGCAATGGTGCAATCTCAGCTCACTGCAAACTCTGCCTCCCAGGTTCAAGGGATTCTCCTGCCTCAGCCTCCTGAGTAGCTGGGATTACAGGCGCCTGCAACCTCACCTGGCTAATTTTTGTATTTTCAGTAGAGACGGGGTTTTCACCATGTTGGCCAGGCTGGTATCGAACTCCTGATCCACCCACTTTGGCCTCCCAAAGTGCTGGGATTACAGGCATGAGCCACCGTGCCCGGTCTCCAATTGTAGTCTTTAAAGACTTACTTGTAATATACTTCCCAGCTGAATAACAGGGAGAGTTTAAACCAAATTCCTACCAGTAAATATTTTTCTAATATAATAAAATGGCATAGCATTTCTTAACTAAAATATAAACAGATCCTATTTGAGCACAAAAGGGGAGAGCATATCATTCAGTATATTGATTAGATATTGCAGAGATTTTAGTAAAATTGAAGTTTATTAACAATATATACAAAATGTCAACTTGAAATACATTTAAATGAGATGTACTTTCACTTAGATAAAAATGATGTTTCTTGCACCCCAAACAGCATTTACTCTGTTGTAGTGGTTATTGATTTCATCATCGGTGCTGGTCAGTTACATTATGACTATAGCTGAGTTATGGCAACTAATAAAATAACCATAATTGAGAAACAATGAGCTTTCCAGATACTCAGTGAGATGCTTCCTCTTGGCAAAACAGACAATATTTTCCGGGTTTGGCTGCACTATTCTTTGTGTTTAGGTATTGACTTTCTGATAATCCTAACTTGGCCTTGCTTACTAACAAGGAAAAGTATCATTTGCCATTTTAATGTAATGGGGTTGGGGGAAGAAGAGAAAACTACTATTAAAAGCAGACCTCATCAGACTGCAATAAAATATAAACTACTAAAAGTCTGACTATCTGATAACCAAAGGCGTAAAATAATCTTTTAACATTTTTACTTTGTTTACATAGACATGAAAGTGTTTTAAAACCATACTGCCATGCAGAGCTGATGTTCATTCTGATTCGTCAGTCTCCCACGATATTTGGTTGGTACTTATTCCTGTTCCAGGTGTTAAATGTCTGGAATAGCATTCCTGCTTTGAAATATTTTTCAAAGTGTAAGAAGCAAAACAACAAATAGGGTGTTGTTACCCCACTTCTTCCCCCCAGCTCCCCCTTCCTCACACAGTTCATGCCACATGCCACTCTCCTGGACTACTGGAAATGCGTCAGTCCACTCTGGGCTCATCCCATCATCCCCCATGCTGCAACCTGAGAGAGAGTTGCAAGTTGCAAATCTGATCTTGTCACCACCACTCTCCACACTAAATCCCTCTAATGCCTCCCCCTTTCTTTTTGGATAAATTCCTTCTGCTTGCATAGCCACGTGGTTGGCTTCTATAGCATCACTTCACACTGTGGTCACCTGCCTTCTCCTCACTCAGGAACTTCTCTCCATTGAAGAAGTTCTTCTTCCCCATCTCCAGGGCTTTCCCACTGACAGTTGTATCTCCCCCATACCAAGCCCAGGTGGTCATCTCATCCCACAATTGTCTTTCAATCCCATCAACAATTATTTGGAAAGGCTTCCTTGATCCCCGAATTTAAGCCAGCTCTCTTGATGTAGGTGTCTTTCCTTCAGAATAATTATTTACATTTGAATCAAGTATATATTAATTAATGTAATTATTTCACTATTATCATTTTCCCACATAGGATTGTAAGCTGTATGTGAGCAGGGTTCTTGAAACCTGTAAATCGTTTTGATCATCACTATAAACTCAAAGCCTAGGACAGTGATTGCATGGGATAAATACTTAATATGTTGTATCAAATAACAAATGTTTGCCCTTCTGTAAGCAGAGTAAACTCTGCTTATAAGTTTTGTAACCTCTTAATTAATTATATTTTTCATTATAAGTGCTGACTCTTGTTACAAACACATTTTAAGTTTGACATTATTGGTTGATTTATTCAGTTAAATGTATTAATTCTGAAACTTATTTAAAAATCAGAAAAACGATGATAACATTTATAAATAACCGATGAGTCATAAAGACAGAGTGGTATCAAGGGAATATCCCTCCCTGCAAAAAAAAGCAAGCAAACAAATAAAACTACATTTATCAGGTTTTCTATAAAGAGGTTTGTATTTAAATCAAATTTTAAATTATGATAAAATGCATTTTGAAGTGTTAAACAGAAATCCAAATATAGGTGATATTTTCAATGCTCCTCAACTACAAAATTTAATTTTAGAGATGGCTAACCATCTATGAAGTGTTATTGGATGAGCATGGTAACAATATTATGAAATAGAGTTTTTCTCACTTAAAATCCCAAAAGGAGCCCTGAACAAGTCATTTTAGAAAAGAAAAAAAAATACTGAATAATATTTTCACAAGCGTTAAATTAGATATTAAGTATAAATGAAACTTCAAACATGTAACATATTAAAGTAACTTTTGTTATTTAAGCATTACCAATAAAATTTCAAAATTATTCTTACTTTAGATTTTAGAAGAATTAAGTAAAAGAGATCAGCCAGGAGTTCTGTGTAACTTTGAGTAAGTTAAATTTCATCTGTAGTTTCCATGTCCAAAATAGAAATTTGAAAGATCCAACAGACCTTAAGACACACATCTTCAAATGGAAAAATTGTTGCTATTTGTTTAACATTTGGTAAGATTTCAAAGTATTGTTTTTTATTACTTCTAAGTAGGAAAGATTCCATCCAAACTTTGAAATGTCCTTTGCCCTTATATATGAAAATGTGCACTCATGTGCATTCATGAAGGGGAGAGAAATGATCAATGCTCTAATTAGAGCTGGCACCAAACCTGGCGTAGGCAGCTGCTGTGAGCTTTGTCATTACAATTTTGACGTGACATATGATTTGCGAAATACTGGGAGCATTAGAAGGCTGCCCCATCTAGGCTCCATCATGCTCAGCTCCAGACACTACCCCCACCAAAAAAAATCACATAATACCACATAAAATTATTCACTTCCAACCTCTTCCATCACTTGGTTACTCCATACAACCTCAATAGATTCTCCAGAACCTGATCAATTTTGAGATACTATTTGTCAATCTAAAGTGGTCAAGAACATTATGGCTACAATCCCTTGCTGTTCAGTTACTTTTTTGTATTCAGACAATTTTTCAAAAGAATGACCTCTCTTAAAAGGTTATGTTTTATAAAAAGTCACTTGAAAGAGGGATAAAATTTTCTATCTCAAAATGTTCCTCTGCAATTATAAGCAGCAAAACATGGAGAGACACAGGTCTTTATACTGACTTTAGACTCATTCTGTTTAGATAACTGTATCACAGAAGTATTAGATCAACAAAGGTTCAAATCATTTCTTCACTAAGTTTCACTCTCCCATCAAAATCCAATGCTCAGCTCTCAAAGTCAGCAGGAGATTTCAGTGTAAGCAGAGCAATGATTTCTGTGCCTACAGGTTGTCTTTCCTAAGAGAAGAAAAAAATGGTAACTATTAATCAATAGAAAATCCAACACCAGTGGAACAAATGTGTGCTTGCTAAAGCAGCATTTTCAGAACCCACATTGAATCTTCAGCATGGAAACAAAGTGCCTGTGCCTGGAGGCTCCTCCAGACCTTTTGCATCCCTAGAATCTTGTGGAGCTATAATCTCTTTTCCATAAATCTCAATTCCAGAAGGTCTTTATTCCTGAAATTATGTTACAATCTCTTTAAAACCAGATTTGGAGAGATGGTATGTGGAAATGTTTCAATGAATCCTTGGCTATGTTTACATTTGTTATGAATGTTCCCTATCTTTGATATTTAATACACAAATGGAATTTATTTCCACACATTTGGCTGGCTTAAGTCTGGGCAGAAACATTACAAGTGTGAGCTTAAGGGAACTATTGCGTTAAAAATGTTATTTGTAACATTTTTGTGTAGACTCTCATGAAGAGGATGTGTAGTCTATTTGTGGAAGAAGAAGGTGGTGAATATATGCATAAATCAATAAGTAGACAGATACAGAAATGGCTAGATGCTCACTAAAGCACTGTTCATCTTGGGAGGAAGTAGCAACAAATTAAATTACTAGCCACTTACGAGTGATTAATTTATACACTGAAATATTATATACCCATTTAAAGAAATGAATGAATCTGTGTACAACGATATGAAACAAATACATATAGGCCCAGAGAGAGACCTGCCCATATGTTGCATCAGCATAGACAAGCGTTTAACACAATATACATCACTACTTAATTTCAGAGAGTAAGATAATATTAGAATCTATTAGTAATATTCAAATTTGTTTTTAAGAGTATATTATAACCATTTAAAAATAATGAAGGAAAAAAGAGGAACGTGCTATGTCAAGGACAGCTTGTATATTATACAAGCACAGACCAGGGGAACAGGGAATCTAAAAAGTCAAGGTAGCAGGTGGGAGGGAGAGCCCTACACACAAGAAAAGAAAGAGACTCGCCCACTGAAGTTTCACTTGACCTGGTCTTGCTGCATTTATAGTGTACAATTGGACAATGTAGTTAAAATATTCCCTTAAAATGAGAAGATACAACCTTTATAATACATAAAAGATCAAGTCCACTACCATGCGTTAGCTGATTAGCAAATAACACTGCCAAAAGTAAAAATAAAAATAATGGATAATAGCAGTAATAATAACGTGTTTTTTTTTTCCTCACTTAAACTGGCTTCCAGTCATTGAAAAATACTCTGTTTGTCTTTGGTGTTGGTAACAAAATACTAATATTTTCTGAATAATTATCTTTTTTATAATATTTCTTATGTTTTTCTTTAACATTTAATGTTTTTATTCTTTTCTTAAGGGAAAATGCCTGTGGACTTTAAAAGTCAAGAACTTCAGATAAATATCTATTTTTTACATCTCAGTTTTAATCATATCTTTTCACTGGTTTTTTGACTGCTGGCATTTATATTTGCTTTTTGCCTAGAATAATTGCTTCTTATTTAAAACCCTCTGAATTTCTAAATTGAAATATTGGATTACTCCTCACAATGAGGGTTTGGAATTTTCTTCAAGATGCACATTTTTCTTTCTTTAACCTTTAAGGAAACGAGTTGAAGCACGTCATGGTATGTATTTCTACAGCAACCACTTTGCTTCTGCAATTTCAGACACTTTACACTGTCTTTCAAGAATAAATACCATTTGAGAAAGAGTGGCGGGGGTAGCACATCTCTCCAGCCTCAAACTATTCCTTCCTCAGGGCAGAATTTCCCCGTGACGCTCTCTTGTCATCATCACCTTCTTCTTGTCTGAACTCATCAACATTTCAGCCAAATTACTGTGCTGCTAAGTCACTGGGAAGATCAGGACCCCACACCAAGATGATCATCTTAGAGATGCACAAAACCCTAGAATGGGTAAGGAGAGATCAAATATTTCAGATAGGAAAGTGGGATATTTGTCTAGATAGGTGGCCTAAACGTCTACTCTGATCAGGAAAACTACCTTAAGCAGAATCAATCAAAATAATGCCTTAATAATGAATCAAAAAGTGAATGCCAAAGTATCTGCCTTTAGTCAATTTGAGTGTAGCAAATGAAATATGACTTAAAACAGGGTCAATCTTGAATGCAAAATATGGACTTTCTGAACACACACAAATGTTTCCATAAATATATAAAATGTATTTGTATTTCATAGACAACTAAGGTACAATTTAAACTACGTTTGTTTTTGCAAACTCCTAAATTTCATTATCTGCCATTCATTAAGAAAAGGAGGCGAAAGAAAAAAAAAAACTTTAAACACTAATGTATAATTTCAATTTTGTTTTAGGCAACTGTGTAAATGGCATTTTTTTTGGCATATTTGTATAACACAATAAATGTGTAGCCCACAGCCAAGGGGATTGCATAAAATTTCCCCTGGCATAGCTACTATTTCCAATCCAATCATGCTCAAGAGAATATCTTATCTGCTTTGTATACACACACATACACACACACACACACACACATCTTCAACATTTGTTAACATTAACATTCATTTTGTTTCCTGTTATGCATGTGTATATGTGCTTTTATTTAATAATGTTAGTTAACATTTCCTTTTTCTGTAAATAATGATAGTATAATTTGAAAAGTCTGGCTCAATTCCCAGACTTAGGTCAAGCTAATATACGAATATATTTAGTCCAGTTTACTGTTTTATTGGACTTTGATGTTGAGTTATGTTTTTTGAAAGAGTATTTTTATACTGCAAGTTCCAAAAAAGATCCTAAAAAAGACAAAGCCTTGTTTTCTTTTTATCTTTAACTGTAATAAGAAGTTGGATCTAATTTCGAAACTCCCACAATTTGCTGCACATATATTTTGGATTATGTGGGAGGCTAAAATTATATTGAGCATGAGGAATTGTTCCTATCTTATTTTCTGGCATAAAATCATGTTTTTCTTTATTGTTTTTGTATGTCTCAGAACTTCAGAAAAAGGAAAAGCATGCATCCAAAATAAAGAAAAAGTAATTATAAATTTACAACATCACAAGTGAACACAACCTACTTCTCGTAGTATTTTTGGTTTGGATATATTGCTAAATAGCATCATCATTCTCTTAGACATGAGGTTGAAAATTTCTGGGTTACTGTTGACTTCTTTCTTATTCTTACTTTTTTAAGTCCTTTTGTTTATTTTTATTCTTTCTGTTATCACAGATCCTACTCATTTTTGTCCCTCTGTAACTATTATCTAAATACATTTAAGAGATTCTTAATTGTCTTTTATAATTTACCTTCTTTCCTCTCCAAGCTATTATTAATTTTGAAGCCAAAACAATCTCAATCAAAATATTTACTTCATTTTAATGATTTCTCATTGTCTAGTGTGTTGAGTTTCAGGAAGAATGCCGGTGTCCTCTCTATTCTGGCTATACCTTAAAATTACTTCAGTGATTTTTAAATACACCAGTCTCTGGACCATAACCTCGAGACTCTGATTCATTATGCAAGAGTGGACATGGGTCTTTGAATTTCTAACAAATGTTATTGTGTTTTAATTGTGCTAAGAAAACCCTGCTCTGGCAACCTAATAAAGTAGCCTGCTAATAACAGGTACTCAATAAATATTTGTGGAACAAATGAATTATTGATTCTTTGTATGAACAGTTCATTCTCAAGCAAACACCTGAACATCAACCTCTCCCACCCCACACCCCTTTTGAAATATTCTTCATAAAACTTCCTACTGTATGAAAGTATCTTCTGTGTGTGAATTTTTACAGTCTGCATCACCACATGGAATGTGAGATCCCTGAGAAAGGAGACTTTGTTTGTTTTGTTCCCCACAGTGCCTCAGTGTCTGAAATAGCACCTGGTAAATCATAGGGACTTCTGAAATACTTTCTGAATGGATAAATGAGTGGTAGGAAAAGTGTGAACATGGTAGATAAAAGAGAAGTCACCACTAGAACACCAAGTTCCTGACATACAGTTTCAAGGTCCAGCAACATAGTTGCTACGAACTAGCTGCCTTTAAAGTTCTCTAGATCAACTATATAGATTAGCAAGTCTTTTAACTAAGCATTAAGCAGAGTACTGCTCTGAGATTTAGCACCTCAGTCTTTTAGGTCCCTAAAGACTCCGGATTGGTTCCAGAGGTGGACTGTCAAATAGGAGGACTTTCTGCAGTAATGGAAATGGTCTATGTCAGTGCTGTCCAACATGGTAGCCAAGTGTGTGTGGTTATTGAGTACTTGAAATATGGCTAGTGGCACTGAGGAACTAAAGTTTTAATTTTAATTAGTTTAAGTAGCCTTAGGTTGCTAGGGGTTACCATATTGGATATTGCAGTTCTAGAGTTATTCTTCTCTCCTCATATTCAAAATTATCTTATGATGCTATCATAATTGAAAGATTAGCCAGGGACCCTATCATGGCTATGGCAGTCATGTCCTGTGAAAAATTCCATTAATGACCTCCACGTTTTATGATGTGTAGAGCAAAATCTCAGTCTCCCTGAGTAAGGCCTGCTCCATGTGGACACCTGGCTTTCTCCCTTGTCTACCTCCCTCAGTGGAGAGTCCACCTGCTGGTAGTGCACTCCTTAGGTGCCTGTCTCTGGCTGTCCTGTGCCACCTGCACAGAGTCATGCATGAGCTCCACTGTGGGAAGTCTCTAGAGATGAGCTGAGCTTACCCTACACCAACTGAAAGAGTCTATCTAAGTCCTGAAGATCACAAGTCATCCTCATATTCCCATGAATGTGAATGGAAGTTGGGCCTGCTCAGAGAATCATCAGGGCTCTTTATTGTGGCCTGGAGCCAACTGCCAAGGAGTGCCTAGGAACACACTCAGTAAGAGTGTTGCCCTCAGGCCAGATCAGACTTGAACCTGCAGAGAAATCCCCTAGGTATGTCAGCAATTGCTCATTTGGATGCTATAAACTTGAAGTTGTGAAAAATATAAAGACTTACATTATCCAGTCTCTCCTGGCAAAATATGTAGGTTTAATCATTCCTGAATTTTCCTTAGTTCACACAGATATACAAATATATATCCTAAAAATTGGCATTGGTAGGCGTGTCAAGTTATCATTTTAAAAACATAGAAACCTGAACAAGATGTATCACTCCAGTCTAGAATGTCTATATGCAGAGTATCCACAAAAAACCAAACTTCAACAGTCTTTCATGTCTATATTTCTTCAACATTCTTTGTCTTCAACATTCTTTCATGTCTAGAATGTCTATATGCAGAGTATCCACAAAAGACCCAAACTTCTTTCATTTAAAGAACCAAACTTCTTTAAATAAAAATGACTCACAATAATTTAATATTTTACCATTTACAAAGAGATTAACTACAACAATATTGATCTTGAGTTAATTTCCCACGAATAACATTTTCATTTCTTAAAATTTGCTGAATGGAAAGCCAGAAAGTAGAGTGAAGCAAGTAATGTGTGTGTGAGTAGTCATTGGATACATACATAACAGTGAGCAAGTTTATCAGCTCCTGCATGGCAGTGTTCTGATGATCTTTTGCTGCAAAAGAGCTACACCCCAAATTAGTGGCTTAAAGTAAAAGCTTACTAGTGTATATGATGATTCTGTTGGTCCAGGATTTGGAAAGGGCATGGCAGGAGGTCTCATCTCTGCTTCACAATGCCGATGATTTAGCTGGGAGGACCCAAAATGCTGGAAAAGCTGATGGGTGCTGATTCTCTCCAGCTTTTCAGGTAGGTAGCTTGGGGTTTTTTACAGCATGGCGGCCTCAGTGCAATGTGACATTTGCATGGCAGCACAGAGCTCCCAGGGTGAATGTTCCTGGAGACAGGAAGTGGAACATGTCAGGGTTGGAAGCCTGAGCCCAGTATATGGTTCAGCCTTACTTTCTCCCATATTCTGTCAGTCAAAGGAGAACCTAGCCAAGGATCACTCATGTTAATGAGGAGGAGACATAGGCCCTCACCTATCCCTGGGAGGAGGATCAAAGAGTTTGAATCTTTAATCCACAGCAGGCAGACAGCTTTCCATTGTTATAAACCACCTCCCCCTCACTCCATCTGCCTGTGCTAATTGTTTGCTCACAGGAATTTGTTTAGCACTGTGTAGAACTGGGATAACTTTGTGCTTATTTTGCAGTTAAAAGGGAGAGGCGCTAGTTTGGAGATTTTTAAAAAGCAAAGGTTTGAGAGCCAGTAAGACCTGGAGTGAACTCTCCTGTCAGCTATTTACCAACTGTATGACTGAGCAATTTATAAAAAAAAAATGCAAACCTCAATATCTTCATCTATAAAAATAAAAAAATAAGACGTATTTGGCTGAATAGTTAAGATTAAAAATATGAAAGTGCTAAACCATACATGTTATATGCTCCATTGATGTTGCTTATTCTTTCTCTCTTCTGCAGGGTATAAAGGAATCTGAACACGACTGATATTTTCTTTAATTTTTAGATCCAGATATACATTGGGTAAAATCTACTTCATAGGTTTTCAAAGGAGCATTCTTCTGAGCAAATCTGAAAACTCTCTAAACTCTATTGGTATGTTACTCTTTATCTTTATATGAATTTAAATTCTTCTAGAAGTTAGATAAAACTGTGGTAAAGCTACATAATACTTTTGACATATTTTCAAGCGTAGACAAACTTCAATTAATTTGTAAGATACAGGAAGAAAATTTTTCCAGTTAAAATGTACCTCTTGGTTTCTGGAGTGTTAGCAACCATTCACACTTACAGTTCAAACAGTGCAACCTTGTAAAACATATATAACTTATGAAGAGATCGATATCTCTTTTTATAAAGCAAACAAGTAAATTTTTCCCTCAATCCATGATTTATTTTTGTGAAGTGGGAATTTAAGGCAGTAGTTCTGCTTTCAAGTGAAAACCTGGATCAACTTTTAAATATCTATAGGCGCAAACCCAAGCTAGGTCTCACACAGTGCCTCACTTAATAATCTGTCAACGTTTAATTCTTTTTCTTTTTTTTTTTTTTTTCTGGAGACAGGGTCTCACTATGTTGCCCAGGCTGGAGTGCAGCAGCGCCTCGGCCTCCCCAAGTGCTAGGATTACAGGTGTCAGCCACAACACCCAGCCCATTAATGTTTAATCCCCTAGAAGGTGATCCTTTTTTTTTTTTTTTTTTCAAAGAGACAAATTGCAGCTCCTTCTCTGGGCTTTTCTACACTATAGCAGATAACTTAAAATCTGACATGCCAAGATATAGCCTTGTCTTAGTTTTCTATCACTGCTATAACAAATAAGCACAAATTTAGTGGTGAAAAAAACAAGCACATTCATTATTTCATAGTTCTCATCAGGCTGACAGACATCTTACCTGGCTAAAAGCAAGGAATGGGCAGGGCTGCATGCCTTCTGGAGGCTCCAGGGCTGAGTCCATTCTCTTGCCTGCCCCAGCTTCTGGAGGCCTCCTGCATGCCTTGGCTCGTGGCCTGCCCTCTGTCTTTAGAGTCAGCAATGTTGCTTCTCTGACCACTCTTCTTCCAGCATCCCCCTCTCTAAGCACAGCAGGGAGACCTTCACTGATTATAAAGATGCCTGTGACTACCTTGGACCCACCAGGATAACCGAGGTCACTCTCCACCTCCCGGTCGTTAACATTAATTACATCTATGAAGTCCCTTTGTTACACAAGATTCCACAGGTTTTCAGGATTAAGAACTGGACATTTTTGGGGGGTGGAGCAAAGAAGTTTCTGCCTACCACAGCCCTTGATAGCATAATTAAAACATTGATTTTCATAAGGTTTTCCTAAACTGAATTTTATTTTGCCTCAAAGGTGCAGATGGTCAGTCTTTGAGTGCCAAGTTTAGATGCTCATCTTACTTTTAATTTCTGACCAAGATTGATGATTACTTGAATATGTTGGCTACCCAAGTAATTTTATTTACTTTTATTAAAGAGGATAATTATATTTCAATTAATAGATTCTCTTTAACAACAATTAAAAAATTACAAATGTTAGCTGAGAGTGACAGATATGAAATGAATTTAAAAAGTCTAATCAATGCCTGGTGGAATAATTTGAGAAGCAAAATAATTAGAAACAATTTTCATTGAAAGGCATGCAGTATGTTAATTTCTTCCACTTAGCCTTCAACAAAGCTAAGAATGTTGGAAGGAAAACAAGCTTATTGTCTTCTAATGATGGCCATGCCTTGGAACACTATTCCCTTCAGAGATTTGTCTCTGGTTTGTGGAATCACAGTAAAATATTATGAAAATAATTGTGGGTAAACAGGGAGAAGCCAGACATGAAAAGAAGCGAGATCTTGGAGCATATATCTATTTGCGTGCTAGTCTTGTTAGCTGTAAATAGACATGAACATGAAATGTGGGAATAGCAGAATAATTTTTCCAAGTGCATATTTTTTATCAAATCAATCTTTACTTTAAAAATTAGTGTAAAATTAAGAAGACAGCAGACATCAGTATGTTTCAGCATGTATATAAGCAGAAGTAGACAAGGCATCTACATTTTCTACAGGTAGGAGAGAGTTATCATCTCATTAGATAGTTAAGTACCATACCATAGGGTTCAATAATATTCATACTAGGCAGAACACTAAATTCAAAGTAGCTGGAGGGCAGAATTTTCCTTATGTTCTCTTATCACCATCCACACTGTCTTAACCACCTAGGTGTGTACCGTTAGTTCCTGGCTGCATTTTCTCCTCTTCAACTTGCAAATTTTTCCTGTATTAAAACTAATTCTGCTCTGTCATATTTTATTTGGGCTTTATTTTCTAATAATGACAATGAGTGTAAAAGAAATTCACATTATCCAATCCTATTTTATTTCTTTCAGGTATTCACCAAATCCACAAAAATGTAAGGCCCAAAAATAATGTACCAGTGGTGAAAATTTTAAACATTTCTGACACATAGATGAAGGGGATATATATTTTATGAAGTAATGAGCTTATTATAGGGGACTGAGTTTGATACTTTCTCTGCCTTCACATCGTTGTGAGAGTTTACAGATTTTACAAACTCAAGGTTATAAACTACTTTCCAATTATCGTTTCCCTACTCTGAAATAATTAAAGTAAATTCAAATGGTCTTTTTGGTAGCATTCCTTCTTTCTGTCATAGCACTAATAAAAGCCCTAAATTTGTCAAGAAAAAGAAAATGGTATCAAGCTGAATTTTGTGATGTGTGGGGAACCAACTGAAGGATATTTTTCTAGCAATTGTCTAATTTACTTTCATCATATTTCCAAACTTTCCAAAGCAATATTTAATATTCTGACAGTTGTGTTTTCTCAGTCTCTATTGAATGCAAAGAGAATCACTCTATGTCTTTTTTTATTCCATATTGAGGGCTATTTTTAGTTTTTTATTTCTTGGATGATTTCTTATTGGCTTTTACAATAAATTCCAGCTAATGGATTTTTACTTGGTTAATCTTCCTAACCAAAATTTGATCTACTTTTTTTTTGTCCCCAGGCTGGACATGTTTCTTTACTGGATTAATCATCTTGCTCATTGGAATTTTTTTTTTTTTTTGCAAGAAGAGACTAGAGTTATATTCTTGTTATATATCTAACCAGAATAAACTATCAAGATTAAAAATAACTGCTTAAGGAATAACAAACATAATTTCTAATATATAGCAGCTATCTTTGTTATGTATTAAGCACACTGTCCTCATATAAAATGCTATTCTTTTCCAGTTTTGGGGAAACTGGAATTTCTCTGTGTAGCCATGCTGGCAACTTGTCTCACTTTCCTTTTTCTTTTTTACCCCCATGGCTAATAATTTTAAAATGCCCTGATACCATGCCTTTTTTATCATTCTCATTTTTAAGCCAACTAACAAAATGCCAAACAACACACTCATTAACATTATCTACTATTTATTACATATTTATAAATTATAGAAGCTAGACGGTAAAAGCACAATTATTTTAGAAATTCTACATACATAAAATAAAGCAGCTCACCCATGTACACCCAACCAAAATATTCTATTTTTATTTATTTGTTTATTTTAAATTATTTTGAGACAGAGTCTTGCTCCGTTGCCCAGGCTGGAGTGCAGTGGTGCCATCTGGGCTCACTGCAACCTCTGCGTCCTGGGTTCAAGCAATTCTCCTGCCTCAGCCTCCCAAGCAGCTGAGACTACAGGCACACACCACCACAACTAGCTAATTTGTTTTCTTTTCTTTTTTCTTTTTTCTTTTTTGATGGAGTCACGCTCTGTGGCCCAGGCTCGAGTGCAGTGACACGATCTCAGCTCACTGCAAGCTCCGCCTCCCGGGTTCATGCCATTCTCCTGCCTCAACCTCCCGAGTAGCTGGGACTACAGGCGCCCACCACCAAGCCTGGCTAATTTTTTGTTTTTAGTACAGATGGGGTTTCATCGTGTTAGCCATGATGGTCTTGATCTCCTGACCTTGTGATCCGCCCGCCTCGGCCTCCCAAAATGCTGGGATTACAGGCATGAGCCACCGTGCCCGGCCAATTTTTTTGTATTCTTAGTAGAGACAGGGTTTCACCATGTTGGCCAGGCTGGTCTCCAACTCCTGACCTCAGGTGATCCGCCCCCCTTGGCCTCCCAAAGTGCTGGGATTATAGAAGATGTGAGCCACCACACCTGGCCATTCAATTTTTAAAATACAGTTTGATAATTGAGTTAAAGCCACTATACAGAGAATAATATTGGTCAAACCGAATGTGTGGCAAATGCACTTTATATTGATCAAGGTGAAGGATATGAGTCGAATAAATGGTATAAAATTTGGACTAAGAACCAGTTCCAGGACAAATAACATATTAGCACAGATTTGATATGAAGTTTACCTAGATGATACCAAGAGGGCTTCTAGGAAATGTTCATCCTTTCATATAAAAAATAAATTGATGGGCTCAGAATTTCAAATAAGTGTTTGCTACTTACTTGAAAATAAGAAAGGGAGTGCTATTTGTCTAGAAAGTAGGTTATGTTAACATGATAAGGCATTTAAAGACATGGTAAGCTCATACAGATGTATCATGAACATGAATCAAAGATTTTACTTGATTAATAAGAGAAACAATAAGATGTTACAACCAATTCAAAGGCAAATTTAAAATCATCTACAGGTAAAACTGGTCGATTCACAGAGCAATAATCCTTAGCATTTTCACTGGACACTCCTTTGCATTTTTCTGGAAGAAAGTCAATTGCATTTATATCATATTTTTAAAATTTTACAAAGTTGCAAAATAGCTCAAAGATGATGAAAGGCAGAGAAATCTTGGAAGACTCTGCTAGTCAGGTGATTTAGTAATCTTTACAGCTCATTTCACAGTCTTTCACAACTTTTTCCCACATTCACTATCACACTCCATTCTCTTTCCACGCCAAAGTAAGAGGAATTATTTAACCCTATCTAAGAACTCATAAAATACTAATACAACTTAAGATCCCCTCAAAAAACTACCTTGTGGTCAACACCGGAGGAAAGGCCCCTTGACAGGGAAAAGGAATCTTCCCAACAGTCACACAGGGAAGGGACGAGAGGACTATTTCATCGTGAGGTTTGGAGCTTTGGAAAGGCTATGCACATGTTATTTAAGTATGGTATAGGCAATCCATTTCATGAGGAACAAAGAATTAGGCACCACAGTTAATTTTTTCGTGCCATTTTGATATTTTTGTTTTACTGTAACTAAATGACTCAAAGTATAGTCCGATCCAGAGAGAGAAGCCACCCTTCGTTTGGGCTTAATCTCAAAACACAGATGTATATTTCAATCAACAGATGACATTTGAGTCTCTGAGGGAATTTTGTCTTAACCAAAAACCTCTGAAAAATTAAGTAAAATGGACAATTCCTACAATCGCTCCACAGTCATTAAACCAACATGTATGTTAAAAGATGTGATAGAGTTAATATGTATTATATATCCACTTAAATACTGTTGCAGCAAAGGAGACAGAAGAAGGAAGAGAGACGGTAACAAGGAAAGAAGGATGGAAGAGAAGGCATGAGGACGGCTATTTGGAAATGGCACAGAGGCATTTACAGAGATCATTATGTCCTTGGGTCTCTTACCTTCCTCAGCCCTATGCAGAGTATGTATCTTCTTCATTTTAAACTTTTAACCAGGAGAAAGCTAAATGCTAATGTTGGAACTTACGAAAGCAACTTCTCTGGGCTTTTTAATATTAGATTATACTTCATGTTGAACTTTTATCTAGCTCAGAGATTATTTGTCTATTACATAGGAACCATTTTAACACTTTTTTAAAAGTATCCACTGGCTTCTTCACATTTTTTCATGCAGTAGTTTTTCTTGAATTTTGTTTTTTATAAAAATTACTAGGAAAGTTTGTTAAATTTTCAGATTTCCAGGCCTCATATCATCAGTAAATCTGGATCACCCTCAAAATACCCATCTTTGTCAAGCATCTTGGGTGATAATGTTGTGTCTCTCTTTAGAACCTCAAGGCTATTGAGAGGGAAATATGTGAAAAATAAGCCTGCCCATACACAACAATAACATGGGAAAGGAACAATGTAAATTTCACACTGCCTACGTGAGAGTGTGTGTGTGTGTGTGTGTGTTTGTGTGTGTAGGTGTTTTAAATATAAAACACTTAAAACTGTTTCCCAGATTATTTTCCACTGTTTGACCCCCTAGTACTGAAGCTCTACCAAGCTACAATATCTGATGCTATCTATCTTTTTTTGCCTCTTATGATAATTATTTAATTATGTGTTCACATAATTAAATGGGACTTTTTCCCCTAAATAATGCTTTTATTTTCATGTTAGGCTTAACGAGAATAAGCAACATTGCATTTTTTTTACCTTTTTAGAATAGTATAAACATTAAGTTAAAATCAGTTGCAAAATATTATTTTTTAAAATTGTTCTGAAAATAATGTTTAACCAAATAATTTAATGTTGACTTTCATGTTTTATCTGAGGCTATTTAAATTTGTCATTTACCATATTCCTAAAGCCCTTTAGTTTGCCACGCAAAAAAAGTATAGCCAAGCAGCTAGAAAATGGAAAAGTCACTCACTGAAATTATATTTATAGACATAGCAACAGGACTATTGCAGAGTAATTCCACAGTGATTTTTAGTCCTACTGATGAGCTATAATCTGTCTATAAAGTAGTAGAGGCTATAGTTTATCGGTGTGAAGCAAAGTTAAATTTAGACGTGTTCTATAAGAGGTTATTTCTACTCATTTTCAATCTAGAGTTCCAATCAGAGCTGCCTAATCTTTTTGTACTACAGGAAAGCTACTTAAATAAGCTCTACCATCTCTAAAAGGAAGCTAAATTATTCAACTTCCTTATCAAACTTTCCTTTGGAACAAGGAATTAGGCAAGAACATATTGTAGGTATGATTGTGTGAAGTTTCATGCTAGAAGCTTACCTGGCCAGAGAGTTAGACTGTACCATTCTATAACAGGTGTTCTAATTTAAACTATGTATATATTTTATTTATCCGTGTTGAATATTTCTATGACATCCTATTTACTAGGTTATAAAATTTTCCATGATAACTTTTATTATTATAAGTAATGAAATTATTTATTTATACTGAATGAATCTTTGATATGTTGAGAATAATGCCAATGGGACTATGAGGTTTCCCAAGTCCTTCAATAAATATCTAAACCATATAATTGCAGGCATCACATAGGAAGACAGAAATTGTTTCGATTTGCTAAACATCTTTCAAAAGATTTTACTCAAAACACTGCTTATTACTAGAAAGTGTGAGTGTGTGCATGCGCGTGTGTGTGTGCGTGTGTATTTTAAGAACATGATCATTTGTAATACATAGATATTGTCTTACTAATGGCACTATTCTGCTTCTTCAAAATTATCTCAAGGCAAAGGGCAAGAGATTAATCAATAAATGACAATGTTCTATCAACTTGCATTTTAAAATAAAGTCAGATAATGCTACAAATTCGTAATCAATTATTTCACGGTGAAATTAATCAGTTTAAGGGTTTGGGGATTGACTGACTAAAGCCAGCAAATGTGCATCTAAAACAAAATCTGACATGCATAAATTTACAATTATATGAAACAAATCGGCTGCAAGAAAATACTCCAGAATGGAAAAAGTTAAGATTGCAATTACTCTTTTCAAGTTGGAATTGGGAATTGGGGAAGAGAGGAAGTTGGAGAAAAGCCAGAGTCAAAATTTTGGTGAGAAATAAAGAATAGTTGAAGGAGTGTTTTCACAAGTGTCCTTAAGGCTTTGAAAATGTCATTCCTCTTCTGGAAATCTCATGACTTTTAAAAAGTAAAAGACAAACTTGATGATAAATCTGAAATTAAGCAGAAGATTGTATTTCCCGTTCTGAACGAACATTCACCTCATTTTTTTCTAGACATTCCAAGGTGATTCTAAATGGCAATTTGCACTGTCATTTTAAAAGAATTTCTCAGATATTTGCTGGGCACTTTATGGAAGGAGACACTGAGGTAAAGATGTTAAGCTGCATACCCCTAGTGAGATAAGAAAGCAGAAGTGAAGTCAGCCTTAGAAACCAGATCTCCAGACTCCTGGGCCTTCATTCTTAAACCACACTCTCATTTAATATATCCACTGTGGCTTTTACCATGACAAAAAACGTAATTGGATCCATGAATGCAGAGCCTTGGAGGGCACTATCAGCATTACACATTATCTTTCATCTTGAAATCTCACAAAGCTTTATTAAACTGTTCAAAAAGGAAGTGTTATTGTTCCCAGATACCTCTCTCTTCCCAAAAGATAGCTCAAGTGGATTTATCAGGTGGCTAAATGGGAGTACTAAAGAGGTTAAATTTAATTCAGGAAAGGATCTTTCCCTTAGGAACACAGAAGCTTTTGCAGTGTTGGTGCTAAAATGGTTCTCTTGTCAGAGGAGTTACGTTTTATGAGATCCTCTAAGCAAATTTAGAAAAGGAGAGGAACTTGACCACAGAAACTGTGTTTGATACATTTGAGCAACAAAGTAAGTTTTCATTCCATGGCATGCTGTAATGTGGGAAGGTAAAAATATCTCAGATTGATAAATTCCGCTAAATTAATCAAAGGCTGTATTTATGAAGGCAAAATAAAGAAACAATTAGAAATAATCTGGGTGATTTAGGGTGAAGAATATTACATTATGAATCTTTAAGGCAATTTGAAATCCAATCATTTTTATTTAAAAAGTTTAATATGGAAATACTCTCAATTATATTTAAGACAAAGTAAGATGTTGGTAGTGTCTTTATTGGAATATCTATTTACAGAACTTAGCAGGAAAAATGTCTGTGTAATGGCTTCAATTATTCACATTTATTTTGTGTGTTTTGCATAAAGAAAAACTAAGAACTGCACACTAAATTTTTATGAATGCACACACATATATATATACCCACATTTTTAAATGGGTTATGATAGGGGAGAGGACTATTAAAATAACTCTAAACAATATTTATTGGAGGGTCTCATTCTCATATTAGTTTATTAAAATTTTATGTAAATAATTCTCCACATTAATATATATATTTTTTCAGACTCTTTCAGAGACATTTTAACTCACGATGTGGGAAAACCAATGAGAGAAGAAAAAAGAAATTCTCATCTGAAACTTGAACTTATCAAAACTCACTTGTCTAGAAATTAGCCTGGGAACATCCAGGCACTGGAATTTCTCACTTTTTTTCCTTCTCCCTCTCAACTTCAGTACTGAAAGGAGAAAGTCATTTCCAAATGTCTATGTTTTGACTTTTTAAATAGACCAAATTTAGAGTCATGTAAAGATACAATAATTAGCTTTCTTAACAATTTTCACCCAGAGGTATTTTTATAGAGAATAAAAACAACAACAAAAAAGCCTTTTCGTTATAAAACGTTCACTTGTACCAAAAAACATGAATCTGTAAAAAAAAAAAAAAAAATTACATATGAGGTACTACAAAAAGGGAGGTCCACAGGCCTAATTCTCCCTCTCGGTGATTTATGATGTGGGTGTAAAAAATGAGGTGGGTATTTTAAAAAATAATAAAAAGAATCCTTCCTTTACCTCATTCTAAATCTGATGAATGGCTATAAATAGGGCATGAAATTTGGGGCCAGCCACAGTTCCAATTATTCCTAATTTCCTTATACCCAAGGCATATGATTGAGTTAGAGTACCTGGTGAGTACTCTAACTCAAAACGTTTGAGTCTCAGCACGATTCCAGTCCCTGCCTCAGTTTCTCCAGGCTCCCATTGATTGGTGTCAAGCACAGTTCCTTCACCCCCTACAGAGCCCCTGTATTCCCAACCCACCAGCCACCAGGGGCTCCTGTCAGCACCCATGAGCGTTTTCATAGCCCTCTGCAGCTTACAGTTATCTCTGTAAATTGTTCTGAGGAATCCTCAGCAACTTTCTGATGAAATTTGTTAGTAGCCACAAGCTAGTGGAAGAACAACGTCACTCTTCTCTTACTTTCTCCTGTCTGCCTCCTGTAGTTCTCCCTCTAACCTGGTGGCTTACATCTTTCAATCAGGCTCATTTTGTATAAAGCAGGCCTTTATGTCAGAAGCTGAGACCTCCAACAGATGGAAATGAAAACCATCCTGCTACCAGACCTTGGATCTGGAAGGTCAGTCTTGGTGCTTGTTTTTCCCAAAGTCACTGAGGCGCTTCAAGGCTGTGACACCTTACCTGCAGTGCAGTCTATCAGATAGAGTTTCTACTCTCCCTAAATTATACTTCCTCCGGTGCAGATTAATTAGTGATTTACTTCTGGGTTACATACCTAAAACATATTGGTTATAAAAATAATCCTACACAAATGCCAGTCACATAAAAATAAACTGAATGTAAAAATTAGAAACTAACCAGGCATAGTGGCTCATGCTTGTAATCCCATACTTTGGAAGGCCAAAGTAGGGGAACTGCTTGAGCCCAGGAGTTCAAGACCAACCAGGGAAACCTAGATGCCATCTCTACAAAGAATTTAAAAATTAGCCAGATATGTTGGTGCATGCCTGTAGTCCCAGCTTCTTGGGAAGCTGAGGAGGGAGGATCCCTTGAACCCAGAAAGGAGAGTATTCAGTGAGCCGAGATCACAGCACTGCAGTCCAGCCTGGGTGACAGAGCCAAACAACCTATAAACTAAAACATTTAAAAAATTTACATATGACAGAAAAACATGATTTGTGAGATAGATATTTATCGGGTATCTACCAGAGCAATTTAATTCCTAAAAATAGGCACATAGTTTTTAAAATAATAGAATATCATGAGAGTCATTTCCAAAAGGCATGATTCTATGTCTTGAACATTAATTATTTCACTTGTAAAATTTCATTAAAAATTTATTTAACTTGTTATGTTTAAGACTTTGCCTCAAACCAAAATAGAATCTATCATTTAAAATATTTTTCAAAAGATCTCTACTGTGCAGTATTATTTAACACTCTGTAATGATAGTTAATACTATGAAATATATTTGGTTTCTTGGTCATTTGTGACCATCCAGTTAGGCAATTATTTTAAGCCAAAGCAGCCTATAAGAAATTTTAAGCTGAGTTTTCTTAGAACAACATCTAACAATACAGCTGCACTTCAATGAAAAATGATTGTTTTTTACACAAATGTACCTTATACAGATGTACTTTTCTAAAAAACCTTTTCTTCAGATTCACCAGGAAGATTATGGTGTGTTTCTTTAATTAGAGGATTTCTGCAATTGTGTGGTTTACTGGTCTGTACAGAAGCTTCCCTTAGTACGCATTCAATAGTCAATTGGTATCGAGGAGTGCTGAAACCTGTACTAATTTTCCAACTGAACAGAGCAGATGCATACTCACCCATTTGTACTTTTACAAACTAGGACAATAGCAGCTTTTCTTAGGGGCTTATATAAAATTCCAAAGAGAAAGGGCACTGTGTTCTTTTCTGTTCAAGAATAGACTTGATTACACATTTTGGGGCATAGGGTTTAAAGGAATATAGGAAAAGGGAGTCTCCAGTTGCCTACATTTAGACTAGAACCTTCTCTGCACCTTCCATGGAAGGGTAGTGTGAAAGATATTTTAAACCAATTGATTTATCTTGCTTTATTTCTGAGCATCTTGACTCCAACTGTATTGCAATTAAAAATAATTTTATTTTAATGGCGGAGACTCTGATTTGTCCCATGCCCCTTCTTCTAAATTCCAAGAGTCTATGTTCCCTGACAGTAGGACTTTGTTTTGCTATTTCATTATGCCAAACACCAATACCCATGCCTGGCAAATAGCAGATGCCTGCCTACTTGGCTGAAAAAATGGGTGATCTTCAATTTTTAGCCAAACTAACCCACTCTTGTCTACTCATTTGTGTTGCTTTTTGTCTCACAGATTGATTATCTCATCAATTCATTTATTTGTTGATTCATCCATTCATTCAACAACTATTCACTGGGCACTAACATATACTTAGGTTTTGTTCAGAGTTCTCAGAATTCAGTGGTGCACAGGACCATTTATCTTTATCTCTTTATCTTCGCTATAAATTTCTCCTCACCTTTTAGAACACAGCCCCCATCTTTCCATTTGAGGTTGCTTCCCAAAACAAGTACATAGCTTTGTTTCTGTTCGTATTGTTTCTTGGTTTTTTCAAGGGATTTTTGCCAATCACAATAAAAGCAAATAGGAGAGACCGAAAGAGCAACAAACATTACAGAAGTGTAAGAATGCTAGAAGGTCCTATCATTATTGTCTGTGATCTATATTTCCTGACACCTTTATTGAAATTCTCTAGGGCTTTGTATTAGCTTTTTAGGGCTGACATAATACACTATTGCAAACTGAGTGGCTTAAAACAGTTTTAGGCAATTTATTGTCTCATAGTTCTGGAGGGTAGAAGTCTGAAATTAACACACAGGCTGGTTCCCACTGGACAGAGAATCTGTGCCAGGCTTCTCTCCGACTTCCTGATGGTGGCCGGCAATGCGCCACCTTCCTTGGCTGACAGGCACATCAGTCAATCTCTACCTCTGTCTTCACATGGTCACCATTCCCTGTGGCTCTGCTCCTCTTCCTAGAAAGACACCAGCAATATTGGATGTAGAGCCCACTCTACTCTAGTATTACCTCATCTTAACTAAGTACATCCACAATGACCCTATTTCCAAATAAGGGCACATTCTGGGGTTCTGGAAATGACATAAATTTTGAGGGGACACCATTTAAACCAGTAGAGACTACTTTCGTGAATTTTAAGAAACTCATAGAAAGAGTTCACATAGACTCTTGGAATTTAGAAGAAGGGGCATAGGACAAATCAGAGTCTCTGCCATTTAAAAAAATTATTTTTCATTGCAATACAGTTGGAGTCAAGATGCTCAGAAACAAAGCAAGATAAATCAATTGGAAGACATTTTCTCTGATGTCTTCTTTAGCAGAAGCCTTTATAAACTCCTTTATCTAAAAGTACCCCTGAAAATAAAATAGGTCAGAATAATAGGTCATTTTTCAATGACAAAATATTTAATAACACATAGTATTTATCATTTTAGTACATAACAATATTCAGCCAGTCACATCTTATAAATTGAAATAGTAAGATTAAAATTCCCTGTCATTAAAATTTCATTTCTTTTTCTTCTAAGTAAAAACTGATGATTTTAGTCTTTTGGAGGCTGTCATTTTCTAAATCAGTATTTGAATAATGGTAGATTGTGGTAGTGAAATGAGCTGTGTGAACTAGCAGATACAATATTTTACCTTTTCTGGCTTGTGTATTACATGGAATTTTACATGTGTTTTTGGTTCCTAAGAGTCATTAAGGAAGGAGAGGAATGTCAATGGTAGACATTTGCCACTTGGTTTTGGTTTGCTGGCATCTGTATTAGGGTTCTCCAGACAGATAGAACCAATAGGATAGATATAGATAATAGATACATAGATGGATGGATGGATGGATAGATACATAGATAGATAGATAGATAGATAGATAGATAGATAGATAGATAGCATTTGTTAGGAGAATTGGCTCGTGATTATAGAGACTGAAAAGCCTCCAGACAAGCCATCTGCAAGCTGGAGATCCTGGCATGGAGTAGTGTGGCCCTGGAAGCCAATGGTGTAACTCTCAGACCAAGATCTAAGGAGTAAGAACTCGGCTATGGGAAGTGGGGTGCTAGTGTAATACCTAGAGTCCAAAAAGTGGAGTTCTGTTGTCCAAGAGCAGGGAATGAAGAGTAAGTTCCAGCCCTAAGAAGGAGAGAAACACATATTCCTTCCTCTATCTTATTCCATCTGGGCCATCAGCTGATGAGACGGCACCTGCCCACGGTAAGGAGGGATCTTCCTCACTCAGTCCACTGACGCAGATGCCAAAGTCTTCTGGAAACATCCTCGCAGAAACACCAAAAATGATGCTTTACCAGTTCTCTGGGTATTTCCATAATCCAGTCCATTTGACATCTAAAATTATCACAGCATCTAAACCAGCCTCCTCTTTGAGCAAGTTCTCCACATGTTAATCTAGTAATGTGGATTTCCATTTCCAACAATACTTTTCTTCTTAGTATTGAACTCCTTGGAAACATATTAATTGGGCCATTGTGTTTTTTCATTTTGCTTTATAATAGCAATAGTCCTGGGCACAATTTATTCAAAACCCAGTGTCAGGACCTGTGAAAATAGTTGAACTAAAGTATTTCATTTATTACTCCCAAGAAGTCTATGGTGAACATGCCATTATCATCCCACTTTAAAGAAGATTTGGGGTCTTAACTTGGTTCTGTCATTGTTCACAGTACCACAGGTGAATGGAGGAGCTAGGATTTGAATTCAAACCCCTATAACTCCAGGGACTCTGGTCTAAACTAAAACACATACTGTCTGCCCCACTCTCTGAAGTGGCTATTTCATATATGTTTTTATTCATTAAAACTATGATCCTCCTGTCCAAACCCTTAAATCTTGGCAGACATCCTTGCTGCCAAGATCAAAGAGAAAATAAAAGCCATAAAAAACAGACTCCCTTAATATCCCACCCTTAGGATCCAGCATTCAAACCCATCTGCTCTTATCTCTCCAATGAGGAAAACTCATTCCTCTATCAAACCTCTGGATCTCATCCTTTTCTGTGGTAGTGGAAACAAACTATTGATTCAAATTTTCTCTCTCCCTTGTATCCTTCTCATCAGTATTTAAATATGTTCTAGGCTCTGATATCTTAATAACAAGAATACTTTACCCTTCAGCTAACAATCTCTCTCTCTCTACTCTCCTCTCTTCCCTTAGAAGACAAACATTTAATGTTTTTTATACTTGCTGTATTAGTCTGTTCTCACACTGCTAATAAAGACATACCTGAGACAAAGGAAAGAGGTTTAATTGACTCACATTTCCACATGGCTGAGAAGGCCTTACAATTATGGCAGAAGATGAAGGAAGAGCAAAGGGACTTATATGGCAGCAGTCAAGAGAGAGAGCCTGTGTAGAAAAATTCCCCTTTATAAAACCATTAGATCTCATGAGACTTATTCACTATCACAAGAACAGCACAGGAAAGACCTGCCCCCATGATTCAGTTACCTCCCAGGGTCCCTCCCATGATACGTGGGATTGTGGAAACTACAATTCAAGATGAGATATGGGTAGGGACACAGCCAAACCATATTACTTGCTACCTCTATTTCATCATTTCTCAGTCAACCTACTTTCTTTTGTCTCATGCCTTATTTAACTAAATTCCTTTTCATTAGTCCATAATGTTACTTCTGAAACGAATGGCCTTTTTTAACTCTCATTTTTTTTTTTAACTTCTAAGTAGCATGAGGAAGGACTGTGTGGTTCCTGCCCTTAGCTTCCGTGGGAGCTCTCATTTCTTATTCTCTATCACTCTGCTCTTTTTCTCAGTCTCTTTTGCCAGCTCCTCTGCTTTGACCTTGGTGTAAGTTTTTTTTTTTTTTTTTCTTTGAGATGGAGTCTCACTCTGTCACCCAAGCTGGAGTGCAGTGGTGCGATCACGGCTCACTGCAACCTCCGCCTCCCAGGTACAAGCAATTCTCCTGCCTCAGCCTCCTGGAACTGGAATTACAGGTGCCCACCACCACGTCTGGCTACTTTTTGTATTTTTAGTAGAGACAGGGTTTCACCATGTTGTTCAGGCTGGTGTCAAACTCCTAACCTCGTGATCTGCCTGCTTCTGCTCCTCAAAGTGCTGGGATTACAGGCATGAGCCACTGCTCCTGGCCAGTTTTTAAGAGTTCAAATGAAATTGTGAACTTGGAAATAGGAACTTTTTTTAAAATCAACTTTACAGAGGCATAACTGACACACTAAACTGTACATATTTAAAATGTATAATTGGATAAGTTTTTACATGTGAATATACCCTAAAAACATTACCACGGTAATGTTTACCACAAACCTATTATTCTCTGAGGTTTTCTTATGCTCCTTTTAATCTCTCCTCTTTTCTTTATCTACCCCTTTCCCTCTCCTTCCTCTCCCCAGTTCTCAAATAAGTAATTTTTTTCATTGTGTATTAGTTTGCATTTACTGGAGTAAGGTATAAACAGGATGGCACAGTGTTTGCTCTATTTTGTTTGGATTCTTTTACTCAGTATAATTATTTTTAGTCTCATCTTCGTTGAGTCGTATTCCACTGCATCACAGTTTCTTTATCCATCCATTCCTCTGTTGATGGGCATTAGAGTTGTTTCCAGGTTTCAGCTGCTGTAAGTAAAGATGTGATAATTTGTGTAGAAGTCTTATAATGAAGATATGCTTTTACTTCCATGGGTAAATACCTAGATCAATTGAATAGATCTAATAGTAGTTGGATAGATCACCCTTTATTTAAGGAATCTGCTTCATTATTGTTTTTCAAAGTAATTTAACCATTTTGCATTCCTACAGACAGGATATGAGTGTTCTAGTTTCTCCATATTCTCACCAACACTTGATATGGTCAGCATTTTTAGTTTTAGACTTTTAAAAAAGAGGGCAGTGCTATCTTGTTATGCTTTCATTTGCATTTTCCTAATGACTAATGATATTGAGCATCTTTTCATATGCATATTCTCTACCCATTTTTTTTCAGTGGTCTGCTAAAGCTTTTGCTCATTTTTATTTTTTTTCTCTTATTGAACATTGAGGTTTCTTTATACTTTCTGGATACAAATCTTATATTAGATATAACCTTTGTAAATCTTTTCTTGTGTACCATGGAGAATTGTCTTTTAATTTTCTTAATAATGATTTTTAAAGAGCAGAAGCTCTTTTTCATTTCTTTGTTATTTTTTGTTGTTGCGATTGTTTAATTTTTATGAAGTCCAGTTTATCACATTTATTCTTGCATGGATCATGTTTTGTTCTGTTGCATCTAATACATCTTTACTTAACGCTAATTGACACTGTTAGTCTCATATGTTTTCTTCCATGAGTTTTATAGTTAAAGATTTTACACCAACATCTATAATTCAACTTGAGTTAAATTTTAAATATGGATCAAAGATTAACCGTTTTGTAATGAATACCCAGATGTTCCAACGTCATTTGTTGAAAATATGATATTGCTATTCTCCCAACAAGTTTCCTTTGCCCCTTGGCCAAAATCAGTTGTCCATATATGTATAGGTCTATTTTTTTTTTACTTTCTATTTTATCCTATTGATTTGTCTATCTTAATGCTAATAACTGTCTTAAAAATATACTTATTCCCAGTTTTGTTCTTTTAGAAAAGTGTTACAGCTGTAACAATTCTTTTGCGTTTACATAGGAATTTTAAATTCAGCTTGTCAATTTCCACAATGTAGCTTGCTGGGATTACAGGGAAGCTATAGATGAATTTGGGGACAACTGACATCTTAAGAATATTATCTTCCAACCCATTAAAAATGTATCTTTCTGCATTTATTTAGGTAATCATTAATTTTTCCTTAGTGTTTTCTATTTTTAACTGTGTGAAACTTTCACAAATTTTGTCAGATTTATCTGGAAATATTTTATATTTTTTGCTATTATAAGTACAATTTTTTAAAATTCAATTACATATTGTTCTTTGCTCTTGTATCAAGTGATTTTAATGTTATATATTAAATTTGAATTTTGAAACCTCACTAAAATCATGCATTAGCTCTTATACCTTTTTGTATGTTTCATAGTTATTTATATAGTTTATGATATTGTCTACAGATAAAACCAGTTTATTTCCTCCTATACAATTTGGATGCCTTTTATTTATTGCTGCCTTACTACTATGAATTCAAATTTCAATATCAAATTAAATAGAAATATTGAAAGCAGACAATATTGTCTTTTACCTGAACTTAGGTAATCTCAGGCAATTGTTGGGATCAATGTATTTGCTTATTTTTCTGTCCTTGGCTGCCTGATGTTTTTTGTCTCTAAAACCATCGTTTCAAATGTCCTGTCTGTTTCTTGACGGTTTGTTTTTTCTTATGGCAGGGTTAGTCTGGTCCTTTTTGTTCATATTAGTCTGAAATAGTCCACATTGTTCTTTAAAATGTTTAATGTTGATGTCAAGGTTTCTTCTATTCTGACTAAACATTATCTGGTTGAGGAAAGTTATCTACTTGCATAGCTTTGATGATAATTTGAATAGAAATGACTCCCACACTTATCTCTCCAACTCAAATCTCTCATTTGAATTCCAAAGGCATTTTTAACCACCAAATCTACAGCTCCACATAAAAATTTCACAGACAGATCAAACTTGGCATGTCAAAAAAATGAACCCATGCTCAACCCACCACTTACTTGATCCGTTGGATTTTGTGTCTCAACAAATGGCATCATCATCTGGAAGAAACCTGGAAGTCAACCACGACTCTGCTTCCATCCCTAAACTCAGACTTAATCATGAAGTCCTGTTGAGTCTACCACCAAAAATATATTTTAAAACCTTTACATGGTTTCTTTCCACTAACCCTTATCTCACTTCCTTTCAATAATCCCCTGTTTGGGGTTAAACTATATCCCCAAGAAAGATATATTGCAGTCTTAATCTGCAATACCTATGAATATGACCTTATTTAGAAATAGGATATTTGCAGATGTAATCAGTTAAAATGAGGTCATTAGAGTGGCTCTATTCCATTATGACTGGGGTCCTTGTTGGAAGAGGAGAAGAGGTACAGAGGCAGACATACACGGAGAAGAGAAGGTGAAGACATACAGGAAGAACACCGTGATGATGGAGTGATATTCCAACAAGCAAGGAGCTCCATGGATTGCCAGCAACACTGGAAGCTAAGAGAAGGACATTGAACAGATTTTCCCCTAAAGTCTTTAGAGAGAGCATGTCCTGCTGAAACCTCCATCCCAAACTGGGAGAGAATAGATTTCTGTTATTTTAAGCTACTCCATTCACAGTTCTCTGTTGTAGCAGCCTAGGAAACAAACCCACTCCCATCCCCATCACCTTATTTTGACAAGAGCCACTTCAGCTCCTATGTGCCACCTGGTATCGTGCTTAGTCCCTTTATATGCTACTCCAGGCAGAAGTCAGAGTGATCTTGTAAAAAAGCAAATTGGAACATGTCATTGCCCTTCTTCAAACTTTTAGTGGCTCCTTATTATTTTAAGGATGCTGTCCAGGATCTAAAACATGATCTAAATGGACCTCAATAATCTGCTCTCCACCCTTTTCTTCATACGCGCTCACTCATTGGAGTGTTTTTTTCACTTCATCAAAGTATTCTAATCACCCTTGCTCTTTAGTTGTCCTACACCCTGCCCCTCTCCTTGGAATACTTTTTTCCCCAAACCCACCTGCTTCATTTGGTTAACATCTGTATATTCTTCAGATGCCACTGCCTCAGAGAAACCTCTCCAGAATATCTGATAACAAAATTGTGTGTCTGTTTCTGGGTGGCTCTCTCACCCCGTTGACCTATATAGTGTCATATGTGAACAACAGAGTGTGCTTATTTGCTTGATTTGTATCATGAATAAGACGTAGTACAAAATATTCTTTGGATGCAGCATTCATGAACGCTCTCAGTTTCCAGGTCTCAGTATCGACTATTTTCTTTCTTTCTTTCTTTTTTTTTCTTTTGAGACAGAGTTTCACTCTTGTTGCCCAGGCTGGAGTGCAATGGCGCAATCTCGGCTCACTGCAACCTCTGCCTCCCAGGTTCAAGCGATTCTCCTGCCCCAGCCTCCCGAGTAGCTGGGATTACAGGCATCCACAACCAAGCCTGGATAATTTTTGTATTTTTTACTAAAGATGAGGTTTCACCATGTTGGCCCAGCTGGTCTCAAACTCCTGACCTCCAGTGATCTGCCCACTTCGGCATCCCATAGTGCTGAGATTACAGGCATGAGCCACGGTACCTGGCCTCAGTATTGACTATTTTCGTACAGCTTCTATTTCTTCATTTTCTCCCCTCTCCATTACAGGTCTACATTTCCAAACAATTCCATGGGTAACCTTAGTCATCCAAATCCTAAAACCTTAGATTATTGGATTACAGTGGTCAGGAATTAGGGTAAGAGGAGAATGGAGGAAAAGGAGAGAGAACAGAGAACCCGTGAAAGCCAGCAGAGGGTAGAGAATAACACAATTTTGCCAGCTGGTTTTGAAAATACCCGGAGTCTCACATATATGCAATTATTTAGCAATTATTTTGCACACGAACCAAATCAGTCAAATGGACTGGCTTCTGCTCCCCATTGACTCCTCATGGTGCACTCCTCTCCTTCCCCAGGCTTTTGCTGTTGTTCTGTACTAAGTCCATGTTCTTTTTTAAAAAAGTGATCTAAATCATATAATAATATTCTGATGATGGAGCAGGAAATGATGTGATTTATCCTGTATCTTTATAAGAGCATCTGAGTTCTGTGCTCTGTAAGAAACAGGACTGGCAAACACTTTTAACATTCCCTGTCTTTGGAATTTACATTTTAGAAATCATTTCCTCTCCCTGATACCTTTTCCCTTTGTTCCTACAAAATATACCTAAATGTGTTAAGGCAGAAACTCTAAAACTATTACAGGAAAAAGAAAAAAAGAAAAAAAAAAAACGGTTTGCAAGAAAATAATCTAATGCTAGAGGGAATAGAGTAAATAATCATTATTTGAAGTGAAAACTAGAAAATTAATTAACCAATTTTGAAAATATACTACATACTATTTTAAAATAAAAGTTTTATACAAAATAGTGAATTCCAAATGCCTTCTTTTGTTTGGGCTAAACATAAAATATTTATAGAAAATTGATCATCAAAGTCCTGTTTCTATAATTGCCTGATATTTATTTCAACATTTCTGATACAGCAAATGGAGTGACCAATGTCAACAGGCAACATTTAAAAAGCCATTTCTTTGAGATTTTGAATACTTTTGCCACCCCTGGGGACATGCTTTGAATCTGGCAGGAACATTAGCTGATCATGCTACTTCAATGTGACAGCTTCAGATTTTTAACAGGGGAAAAAGGCAGAACTAATGGATGTGAATAAGCTTAAAAGCACGGGAACTTATCAATCACTGTAAACAGCTGTATTTTGGGAAGCTAACAGAGGTACTTCTAAAAATGTAAAAAGTCAATAGATATATTTCTGGCAACTAATAATTTCAATCTGGTCTTCTTCATTTGTCTGTCCTCCAACCCCCAACCTGCCTGCCTTCTGTGTTTTTTAAGTGTAATATTCTTGTCAGCATTGATTAACATGAAAACATTCTCCTCACATGCACCATTGTACTTTCCAGAAGGAAATAACACAGTATCTAATTTTATGAAAAGATAACTCAAAAGATGAATGAAGCAAATCAAATTATTAACGTGATTATAATCTTTTTCATCCCGTTCTGATTTTATAATAGAGGACATGTACACACAATGCTATTTGTAATTGGTACATTATTGGGTAATGACTGTAACTATTTATCTTTTTGTTCAACCTCAGGCACATAACATCTTACGTATATATTTCAAAGAGCTTAAAAACGCAATTATCTGTTTTGCTTTACAATTATTTCAAAATATTCCACTACTGTATTCCTCCACAGAGGCCTCTAACCCATTATTTTCCAGAACAAATTCGCTTTTGAAGAGATTACTAGTGTGACAATGATTCAAGAAGCACAATAAAACCCTGCTTACTCCACTGGAAAAGTGAAAAACATATTTAATTTTATTCTCTAGCCTTCTAAAGGATTAGGTTAGGATCAGGCCAAGTCATTAGACCTTAGAATCCTATGAAGAAAATGTCCTCAATATGGAGTCCCCAAGGATACAATCTTGTTTCAAATACTCTGATGGTAATCTCTCAAACTGAGAAGATACTTTTCAATCAACATGGCTTGACTGTTTGGGGTGGAACTTGAAAGCCATCAAGATTAATTTCTTCCTATGCACAAGGCACTACATTATTTACTAAGGATAATGGGACACACAACACAGTCATGCTCTGATGAATTAACGATTCACCAGGAGAGACAAACAGTGTGAACACACCTATTGCATTACAATGTGGTAGAGCCCGGATACTGTGGGTAGTACTTACAGGACGGTGTGATTAACTCTATTACTTAGTGTGTCCAGGAAATTTGTTGGTTGGAAGTAACATCTGAGCTGGCTTTTATAAATGCGTTATTTTCCTGATAGAGAGAGTAACATTTGCATGTAAGATGGATGTCAAGTTTAATATCAGGTTTAATAGCATGAGGTCTGAAGCCAGCTGCCTGAATTTGAATTCCTGCTCCAAAATTCTTTAGCTGTGTGACCCTGCAAAAGATACTTAACCCCAGTGTTTCAGTTTCCTCACCTGAAAAATTAGGTTTAATAATTAAATTTACTCATTTCAAAGCATTCTGTGTTCACATCAGGTTTGAATCAGGTCTGCTGGGCTTTTCTGTTAGATCATATTCCAGGAATTGTTTTGCAGAGAGAGTATATCTGTATTTTTAAATTATTTTTCCCCTCAAAGACAAGTCAAATGGCTTCTCCCAATAAGTAAAGTCATACAAACCCATTTTTTAAAACTTTCTCAGTAAGCTAGACTTGTTTAATGTAAGCCTTACAGGCATTGCAGATGAACGTCCTCAATTCTCAGGCAATTCCTACAATTCTTTATGCTTTTTCACAGTCTTTCTTTGAAATTATATCCAAATATGTAGTTGTGGCAGTTAGACCCTAAGTGACCCACATAATCTTGACTTCTTGGTGGTCACACATTTGTATAACCCCTTACCCTTGAATGTGGGCAGGAGCTGGGACTTCTAACCAATGGAACATGGGAAAGGTGATGACACTTGACTCCGGTGATGAGGTTACCTTTCACAAGACCTGGCCAACTGAGACCGGATCTCCTTACAGGCTTGAAGAAGTAAGCAGCCATGTTGGAAAAGTCTTCATGGCAAGAAACTATGAGTTCCTTGCCTATGAGGCCTCTAAGGACCGCAGGCAGCCTCTAGAACGAATGTGGACCTGCAACTACAACCAGCAAAAAGACCAGTCATGCAACCACAAGGAAATAACTTCTACCAAAGCTGAATGAGTTTGGAAGCAGATTCTTCCCAGCCAATCCTTCTGATGACAATGTAGTCTGGCCAACATCTTCACTGGACTCTGACGGACTCTGTGTCTGGGACCCAGCTGATAACACGTGGTAATATGTTTTATAAAATTATATTTTTATGAATATTTTTATGAAATATAATTTTTATGAATTATATTTTTATGAAGATTTGTTACACAATGATATAAACTAATACCATAGGTAATCAAAATCCTCTCCTCTTGTTTGGTAATATTTCATCACTAAATTATTATTGAAAGTTACACATACTGCTTTGTGAGCTGTCATAATCAGTAAAACAAACAACGGAAATTCAAAAGTCCTGTGAAGTTTTTTGAATAGTTAGTGAATTTATGTGGGAAAATATTCAAGTATATTAATTTATCCAAATAGTAATGATGTCTCCCTTTGCCATTGTTATGGATTTATGGATTTATGTATCTGATACATGTAACATTACATTTTCAATCAATACTATTGATGGACCCTTCCCTACTTTTATAATTTCTAACTATAGTTTTAGGGAGAATACTAATAATGGAAGCATTACTTTTATTTTTTCTATAAATTCCTCTGGAAATATGTATTTCTTATGTCCTAAGGTTATTAACAAAAAGAGAAAATAATTTCTGATTTATAATTCACTTTCCTTCAAAAAATAATAACTCAGTGTCTAGTAAGGTAAAGCAAAAAAAGTTAAAAGAACCCATAAGTTTATTTTAAAATACCTACTCAGAAGCAAAACTGACTTTCTATTAAAAATTAAAAAAAAAAGTTTTCTTATTATTGTTTTGTTTCCTTGTTTTTAGGTGATGGGATTGTATTTGCAACTCTCTGGTCAGTAAGTGATAAAATGCCATTTCTATGCACCCACCTGGCCTGTGTGACTGGGAGAATCTCTCTTTTTATTAAATGTGCTTCAAGTTTTAACAACTGACTTTTGTTAGTGATATGATTTATCTACCCGTGACTGTCAAACAACACAGATGATTTGCATATCTCACCTCAGCCAAGATGCCTCATCTTGGGATGAATTTCAGTTAATTCTTCTAGAAAAAACAAATAGAAAGAAAGAATGAAATGTCGTGTAGATATGAAGTGAAGTCTTCTGCCTCAATGGAATTGTATCATTATAGATAGCTTACTTAGTACTGAGAATGTGATGCTATAAATGAGGGCATTTATTTTTATTTGGATGTATCTGAGACTCAAGTTAAATAAGTTACTTGCATTTCATTTATCCTGATAGGAATAAATTCACATGCTGCTGGGCTCAAAATCAATGCGTTAGAGACCAGGGTCAAATGTTGAGTCTTTAGAAGTGACTTCCTGTGATCAAGTTCCACTTCTATCTCTTACTTTCTCATTGTGTAATCTTGGTCAACTGTCATAATCTCTCTCAGCTTTGTAGAGTCTAAGGTGGCGTTTAAATGGAACAAAGTATTCACAGTGCTTAACACAAAGCCCTCCACATACAAACCCTCCGAACATATTCATTATCATTAGTTTACATAAGACTCTCTCCTATGTAATTTAAAGCAGATTCACTAGAATGCCTTTCTTCCTCATATTTGTTATTTAAATAATTAACCAAGAAAATACACTTTACAAGTTTGGGCCATCAGGTTTTCATTTGGTTTGGTTTTGTTTTTGAGTTTTTGTTTGCTTGTTTTTTTCTGTTGTTGTTAAGCAGCTTAGACAAAGCAAGTATTCAATATGTAGGTATATTTTTAGGAAATCTTTAGGTTGATCTATGATTCCTTATAAGGTTTGAGTCAACAAATTCACCTTTAACTTACAATTATCCCCCATGAAAGGAAAATATGAAATATGGATACAAGAATAATGGGCTAAATGTCCAGGAATGAAATGGAGTACTGAACTCCAGATTCTCTGTCAACGCTAGAGGAATCAGAGAGCAGTTTCATGAGCTTTAGAAGAAGAGACGTTCACATACCGTACTTGGTTATCTTTGCATGAGATTTTGCAGTAACAGAGTAAAATTCTGAGATGGTTCTTTATAATTCCTTAAGAAAATTTCTATTCATTCTCTTAGGAGTTTTTGTTTTCTGAAACTGGAACATTAATGGTCGATATTAGGTTTCTGAATAAACAATAATTTTATCAGAGATATAATTATATAAGAAAAATAAATTGGTAGTTTTTTTTGTGTGCATTAGCAATGGTGGAATCATAATATTGGACACATACATATATCAGTACTTGAGAGCTATTCAACTTTGCTTAAGTTTAAAATTTTTCTATGCTGTCAGAGTCTATCTACATAGCTGCATGCAATATGGATATGCATATGCATAGTTTGTACAGTAAGAATGTATATATTATACTCAGACATGTATATTATACTTAAACATATGTACATATGTACTGGCATACAAGTATGTAAATCCATATAATCCAGAGATATAGAAAGAACATAACATACATACAGAGCCTTACTTATGTTGGAAGTTTTATTGGAACATAGATTAATTCACACACAAAAATAATGCTACCTTTTAGATAAAGCACAAAGTTGTCATTAAATCAAAATGTAATATATTATTTGTCATATTAAATGATTGTAAAAAGAAGTCATCCCTCCTATAATAAATATAAGTTAAGCTAATAACAGAAATAATAAATGTGAGTTCAGCCTAATGTGGCAACTTCTGGATTTTTAGTGAACTTTAACTATTGACGGTGTGTAGTCTATTAGGGAACAAAATAATATCCTTAAAAACTTTAAATCTTGTGATACTGCTTCTTAATTGCTTTTGTAAGTTTAAAACATTTGGGGAAAGGAACTATAACCGTATCTGTTCTTTTTATTTCCAAAGCTAATTTTATTAGCTAATATCTCTCCACTCTTAAAATTAAATAAAAATATACAGAATTAATTTATACTAAAACTTTTGCATTTAGACTGAACACATTTAGAATAAGAGGGTGTGAATCACTTTATAATTCTGTATGACTACTCAAAAAAAAAAAAAAAGACACCCAAAATACAAGAATAGTCCGGGCACCATGGCTCATGCCTGTAATCTCAGCACTTTGGGAGGCCGAGGAGGCCGGTTCACTTGAGTTCCATAGTTCAAGACAAGCGTGGCCAACATGGTGAAACCCCGTCTCTACTAAAAATACAAAAAATTAGCCTGGTGTGGTGTCACATGCCTGTAATCTGAGCTACTGGGGAGGATGAGGCAGAAGAATTGCTTGAACCCAGGAGGCGGATGTTTCAGTGAGCCAAGGTTGTGCCACTGTACTTCAGCCTGGGTGACAAAGCTAGATCCTGTCTCTCTCTCTCTCTCTCTCTCTATATATATATATATATATATATGTATATGCATAGTTTAATGAGTGGAGTACTTTCAAGGTGAGAGTTAGGAAAGATAATTGAAGTAAACTAATATTACTACATGTAATATTAGTTTGCAAGTTGATCCAGTTTGCAAGTTGATCCAGTTTCCGTATGATCAGCATTATTAGGCAATAGATGACATATCAGAGTGCTTTTCAAGATTTGCTGAAGTAGAAATTATACAGATTTCATCCTCAAGATACGTAATCCCTATGTTTCTAATATTCTTCATGTAAGACTTTCAAATAAGTCCTCAGGCTCAAATATATGACACTTTTTATTTTTAGTAATGTATAAATTTAGCAGTAAGAGTATATTAATATCATTATTCTTTATATACATGGATATAATATAATCTAAATGACAAGACCAAGCACATTTTGAAGATAAGCTAATATACTCAAAAATGTTATTCATACAACTATTCCATCTATCCATTGTAGACTTCACCCCAAGAATACAATTCCCTGTTGTCTATTATTTCTAGGAATACACTCATTTTTATTGTAAGTCATTTATATACATAGATAAATTACATAAATGGACATAAAAATAAATGATTATATATGATCTTTCTTTTTTTCTCCACCTCTCCTTAATGTATGTGTTAGTTTTCTCTATATGCATATATTTTATAAATGCTGGCTCCCACCTTATTTTAAGGAAGTATAATGTGTTAGTCACAGATGTAAGGAGAAGGGATAAAGAAAAACTATCAAAGGATTGTTATATAGGAAATTACAGTCATTTTCTTCTGCTGGATTTTGGTGTAACTACTAAACTCTTCTAAACAAAACTTTACTTAGTTGTTTAATCAAGATAGTAAAATAATTTATCTCATGAATCAGTAAATGAGTTAAAACCTGAAAAATATTTTGGCGCAGCCTAGTCAGTAGAAAAACTCAATAAATGTTAGCGCCTGTGGCAGGATTGCTATATGCTATTTATTATGAGTTAAGAGGCATGGTGCTTAATAGATTGGATATGCTACTTTGCATTGTGCTTAGAAGGTTGAATTTGTCCTGTGCAAAAATTTATATAAATATAAACCAGGTGTCTCACACTTATTCAGCCTTCAGGGGTGGGTCAAACTTCCCTTTAATGCCTAAATACCAATAGCCTGTGTCCCTTTGTGTATTATGGCAGAAAATCTAGCCTTTTATGGGGTTTCTCTCCCTAGGTATTTCTAAGAATCCCTATAAAATGCTAATATGTCCCACAACTTTTTCATAGTTGCTGCTTGAACTTCAGTGAGCCAACTGATTCCAGAAGCCTGTAGCACTTTTCCACACTCAAACTTTGTGGGTTTTTTTGTTCTGACTTTTTTTGGGGGCACATGCTGTCCCTTCCCATGGCACAGCACAACTGCTAGGCTGCATCCAGCCTTGGCCCTGACCTCCTAAAATTCAGGTAAAATCAGACTTTCACTCTACATGCCTTTAATAAAAGCTTGCAGGGCACAGAATAGAAACTCATGCAGAAAGCTTTGTATTTATGAAGTTTTTAGTGAGTAATGCTGCTTTATACATAACCAGGAAACCCAAAGGCTTGCAACAACAGCCATTCCCTGCTCTTGAAACTGCTGGGAAGATTTCGGCTCACTCTGGGTCTGTTGGGATGGGCTGGATGTGATTCTAGGCTATAGCTTAAGTCTAGATCAGCTGCATGCATCTTCTCATTTGGGGACCTGTGGCGGCATGAATAATGTTGCTCCGACAAATGGCAGAAGCACAGGAGGCCAATCCAAATCACACACGTTTACTTAGAGCCTCTGCTCATGTTAGGTCTGCAACATTTCTGTTGACTGATGCAAGTCAATGGCCAAGACCAGAGCCACTGGCCAAGGAAAATGTGCAGTCGACATAAATTCCTGAAGGCTCTGCAAGGTCACATGACAAAGAGGAGACGTGTCAGTCATCCTGTTACAGGAGGAAGTAAAGATGAGCATAGTAAGCTGGTCATCAGGTAGAACTGCTCAAAAACTTCATAAGCTAAGCCCTCTCCAAAGGAGTTTCAGTAATGGTCATTTCCCCATTGCCTGCAGTTTTATTGCATTTTATAAGAGCCAGATTCCTGGTGAAGTGCCTTTGACAGATTTCTTACCAGAAAGAGAAATGCAGTGCCCAGAGAAGGGGAGAAGGGTAAATGGTTTCCTAGAAGAAATAGTCTGCCAAGATGGAATTCTACTAACAATAAGGAAAGTATTTTACAATATTTAACAAATTATAAGACATGTTTTATTCCCGATTTTCTCAAACTGCCATGTTCCTGGGGGGAAAAAGAAAGGATCTTTCTCTTCCTTCCTTCCTTCCTTCCTTTCTTCCTTCCTTCCTTCCTTCCTTCTCTATATAACCAAATAACCCATTTTGTTTTTTTTCCTCTAAACCAAAGTCACAGTGAATTCCTAATCATGTATTCAAGCTGCCTCTATGGAAAAAGGTAGTATTTCCATAGGTGTGAAGTGGCAGTGTTTCTTTACTTCCAGTCCTCAATATATCCAAATATTGGGAGATCTAGTCTCAGCCAAGGCCCTACAATGCAAATACGAGAGCTGCAAAAGTGTTTGGCTAATCTAAGAAACCTCAGAGGTAAATAGATAGATAGAATCTAGGAATGGTAGGTGAGAACCTAATGATACATGTATGATGACTGCAGAAATTTTCCAGTAGTAACTGGAAAGATTTTTGTTGCTTTTCTGGATTTCTTAAGAAAGGAGTCCATCCTCAGTCCAGTTACTCCAGTGGAGAGGCTACCTGCAGAAAAACATTTAATGGAGCCACGGGTGAAAGAATGAAGAAAGACTGCATTAGAATGGACAATTCTGCAAAGATTAGGAGAGGCTGGTTAAAGATGAGATGGATGCTACTTTAAGTAAAACCTTAAGACGAGTTTATGTCCTAAAAACATGTTTGCAAGTCCCTGGTTATGATCTTGTTAGCTTGGGGTTGTCGGATATGCCAATTTGCATTACCCGAGGGTTTGTCGCTCCTTATGCTGTCAGTGATACCTCAGCTACCTGAGATAGTCATGACGGGAGAGTTTGACAGTAATACACTGAGTCTTAAGTCAAATTTTCAGTAAAACACAATGAAATATATACTAAAAGATGCTCAACCCAGGCAAGTAAATTTAAAAAAAATACACAAAATTGAAATAAATTAAAGACATTTTATTTACATTTTGCTAAACAGATAGGAGTAGAAAGATTTGTGTTTATGCATATAGACACTGGGCATAAAGTCAGGGGTGAAAATAGCAACGATTAAGATTTTTAAAAGTCAATGTCTAAGAATTAAAAAGTAACAAAATTAAACACTTTGTACATATATGATTATCAAAATTAATTTTAGTAAAGATTAAATTGCGTTAAGAAAAAAAGTACATTGCTTATACAGTTATATTTTTTCCCACTCATAGCAAAAAAATGAAAAGAGAAGAGTGAGTCCTGATGTCATTCAGTATCATTAAACTCAGTAAACTCCAAGCTAGTTTTGCCAGAATCTGACACACTTGCAGGGAAATAAGAAAATCAATAGTTTTTGGACCCAAAGCATAGGAAGTGTCACAAGACTTGTTCTTAAAATCTCCTCCATGTGTGGTTCAGATCTACCTGAGACTGGGCTCTGGAGGAAGCTAGCCCGGGTAGAAAACACAGAGACTCAGCAGGAGGCACAGATGGTCTCTGAAGGACTCTGCATGTTCACTTAGAAGGAGAAACTAAAATAAATCACATATCACTTATTTCACAAGGATGGCACAGGTCAAAGTTACAGAAAGGTGCAGTTGAGGGAAAATCATGTTCTGAGTAAGGTAGAAAAAATGACAATGGGCAGTGAGGAAAAACCAAGAGTTCCTGTGTAGGAAAAAAAATCCATTTTGTTCTACTGTCTCCAAAGATATCTTCTTCAAAACTAATATTCATTTATATAATAGGCCAGATGTTCTGCTTTGACTATATTAGTGGAACACTCTAATGGCTGACGAGAGAAATAGGTACACAGCTGAGTCCAAGTAGAAGAAGTACATAGTTTCTTGGGAAACTTTCTTGGAAGGGGCTGCTCCATGGAGCCAAGCCAATAACAAGGTAATTTGGTGAAAATCAACAGTTAGCTGTGCCTGACCTCGTGAAAAAATAAAATTGCATGAAACAATGAAAAGGCATAAAACAGAAATTCTAAAACACAGAAGTGAAGAGGTTGTTTTCCCATTAATTTGCCAAGGGGATAACTAAGGTGTATTTCTAGATGACAGAATCCAGACTTTCCAGTCGCCTGTGGAGAATGTGCTGCATTCCTCTCCAGAGGAGAGGCAGTGCCAGCCCAGCTATGTGCGATCTGACACCTGTGCAGCAATGTACCTGTAATTTGCATCAGACAGGACCGATGAGAGCTTTCACTTGTGTGCAAGAGCAGTCTTCTCCAGATTGTGGCATTGTACTTTAAATTACTATTCTCCCTTGATTGTCAAAATGGCCATGTTCAACAAATATGTTCTTTGGTCATTTTCACTTCTTGTTCCACTTGCTTTTATAGTTGTGTACTCTCTCCGTCTCTCCTTTTAAGTTTCTTCAAGCATAACTTACAATTAGGTTGGTGCAAAAGTAATTAGTGCAATAACTTTTGCACCAACTTAGTTTCTCAAGTGGACTTGTGAAGATGTTTTCTGTATCTTTTCCCCCATTTCTACACAATTTCACATTAAAGTTGGTCTCAAATGATCCTCCTTTTTGTAATCATGTTGTTTTTTATCTCCTACTCTAGCTAACCTTCCTAATAGAGAATATCAGTTTTCACAATTGATCACCTGTTGACTATGGGCTGAAGGGTCCCTGCATTGTCCATTGTGATATCCCATGTCAAATTTTAAAAGTGACAATTTTATTCAAAACCATGAGAATAATATTTGTTTTATATGTCTGAAAATATCATAAATGCAGGTGATGCTGCACTTCAAAAAGTCTTTCTTCATGTTTTTTTTTTTTTTCATTTGTTTTTTCCATAGATGGGATGTGATAGCACATCTCTCTGCGTGGTGATTCATTTCTTATCTTTAAATTCCATATGATGGAAAATATTCCTGTTATAGATAAGCTAGGACCAGGGACATTCTCAAGTGTGACATTCAGTGCCTACAGTGTGTGGGCACACTTAACAGTTCTTTCCCAAAATTTCATACAGTTTCTTATCATCATATTAAACATGCTTTCTCATATAAATGTCTAAATTAAAATGAATGTACTATGAAACTCAATTATGAATAAGAGAATTAGTATGCAGGATCACTATTTCAAATTAGAAATGTAGTGGATATATATATATATATACATTTTTTTTTTAATCACACATTGATGCTTTCTTCTTCTCTGGTCAGCAAACCTCAATTTTTCTCTGGAGGAAAATATAACAATATTAATACATATAGATTACACTAATTATTTGTTTATTTGGCTGTGTACATATATTTGTGTATAAATATATATGTTCATATCCACATATCCTAGTACATAATATTTAAAAATGATTCTAGTCATTTGAAGTAAGAATTTGTTAGCCCTAGAAAGCATTGAAGATAAACAAAATTTCTTTTAAATTGCAAAAAGTGGTAATTCATACTTAAATGTCTTGAATATTTGAAGACAAAAATTGTCATATAAGGATCCCACGTTTGCTCTAAAAATGTCTATAATGGAGTTTGGTACCTCTTGTGTAACACTGTATGCACTGCATTTTGTTACACTTATTATACAAATTGAAATGAATAATAATTTGCAGTTTTACATCCCATGAATATTTTCTGTATTCTCCAGCAGTAGTTAATATGCTAACCAACTTTACTGAAAGGCATACAGATGTGGAAGAAATCTATCTGGGGACTTTAATTATCACCTTGTCAAATTCAAATTATTATCTTGTGAATTCATTTCCATAAAGTATCCCCTTTGCTGTTCCATGATTTAACATGTGTCTACTTTAAAAAAATCTTATTTGTATCTATCTGGAGGCTTTAATCCTTTCAAAGAAGATAGTTCCCTTTCAGACCGTGATGTTTACCGTAAAGTATTTGGTCAAATACATTTTTGTAAACACTTCTTTTTGGCAGAAGAAAGGTATGTGCAATGTATCAAGTAGACTTACTATCGATAATGCCCCATAAATCCGATTGAAAACTACCTTTTTAATAAATAATGTCAACCTAAAGGGGATACTAAAATGAAGACATTATGATCAACCCTAAGCTGTAATTTGAATGATCATCCGTGCTGCATGGTAGTTTATTTCACGAGTTAGAAGATCAGACTGGATCCAAGAGTAAGAAATTGGTGGGCCTGCTAATTTGTGCTGATATATATGTCCCATATATGTATGGGAAATAGGAGTAGAGGCAAAATAAATAACAAAATTGACGTATCTCTTCTCAGGTCAAAGTCAATACATTTTTGCTTGGGGTTAATTGGGGGAAGGGAAAAGTAAAGGCTAATAGAATAGAAACAACTTGAGTTCATTCCTTTATTCATTTATAAAGGGATAGAATTCAATAAAGTGATTTAATCACTTTATAAAAACATAAAAATACTTATTTTGAATTGAAATTAAATGTTAGTACATATTTGAAATCACTGGACAGCTTTTATATAAAGTTGAATAACAAATAATGCTTTGTTTTGACTTACATGCAATTTTAAAAGCTTTCATTTAGAAGAGCTACTGTTACTAAGGGACAGTCTCAATAATTATTAAAATGTGCTAAAGTATATCTTCAAATATTTTAATAAGCATTGCAGCTAATAACCTCTATTATCACCTGTCATGTGTCCCAACCAAAATTTACTGATGAAGGAATGAGCACAGAGTATGTTTAGCTAACGAGGTGGTGGCAGTGACTTAGTAGCTGAACAAATGCTCAACTTCTCAACAGATCCTCATCCAGAAATGTATCTCACCTCCGGGGGTCCATCAGAAGGCCGATTTCCTTAGGTAAGTAAATGTATTAGGACTAGAGTTTAATATTATTTATTAGAGGAGAGTAAATGTCAGGCAAATACTGTTGTACAAAGGAAAATAAAATGTCCCTTTGAACAGGGTCTCTCAGAACAAATAGAAGAAAAGACCAAAAAGACTTAAGTTAGGAAAAGGCAAATCAATCAACAATAACTTTACTATAAAGCAGACATAACCAATATGATTATCTTCCTACAACAGAACATTGCTGTTAACACTTCCATTTCATGGGTGCTCTTTAGTGGTCATAATTAAATATATAATTCAGAAACATATCTTGATATTACCTATGTTTAAAGTGATAACTCAAAGTAATGGAGAAAATATTTTTAAATTCATGATAATTTTTTAAAATCATATTAATCAATTAAAAAAACAAACCCAGTATTCTAGAGCACTCAAGTTAAAATTATAATATTTCTCTTTTCATGGTCTTTACTGGACAGAAAAAATCAATTTCTATTATTTATTACCTGCCTATTCATGGTTTTTACATTGTATAAGCTTGTTGACTTACATTTCTTTCCTACATTCTTGAGAGGTTGCCTAATTCTCTCAAATATTGGTAGATTAGTTGCTATGCATATTTTCCCCCAGCATTAATGAACTTATGAAGACGTCAAGAGGATCCACAGTTAATGTTGTCACCATGGTTGTAAAAGCCACTATTCTGACTAAAAAGTCAACCAACTCCCCTACAATATTGCATATCAGCTCTTATTTCAAATTAAAAAAAAACAAAACTGTGTTTTTCCAATTTAAAATCAACCCCAGACCACTCTACAACCAAATTTGTTCTATTTTCCCAAAGGAATCTTTATATAAATGTTCAAGAAAAATTTGTTTTTCTTACAATTTTGTGTGCCATGTTCTGGGTACCTTGCAAATCAAATTCCCTTCTAAAAATCCTGCCAATCTTCTTGATCCCTCTCCTCATTAATTATGTCTCTTTTCCTCTCTCCCAAATTTCCTAGACCCTTACTTGCTTCCTCCATGTTTCTTCTTACATTACTGGTGGGAACGCCGTTATGCCATTGTTTTGCAACACATCAAATACAGTGAATGGACCACAGGTGAAACAACAAACAGAAATACGCAAAACAAAGTGAGGTCTACAATCCAAAACTGTCTGTCACTGAGACAGAGTTCGAACGGGTCATGCCGCAATTCTTTTGTGTATACTTAATTTTTCATACTTCCTGAAATCAAAAATAGCTGAAAATATTTTATGCGTATAGAAGAAACTCGAAATTATTTTTATATGAAAAAAGCTGTACATGCATTTTTAAGAGCAAAAAGGCAATTTTTAGAAAGCCGAGGGCAGGTTGAATTCACTTTTTTATTCTTCAAAGTCCTAACAATGTTTAATCAGTAGTAGCAATAATTGTGTTTTTTTTAATTTTTAAATTCATAATTGCCACATGGTAATTGCTTGTAGTGTGTTAAATATACAGGGAAAAAATGTCAGTAACTATTAAATTGGAATAGATCAGGAACCTAGGACAACTTTGGAAATCACTCCTAGTGGGGGGAGATGAAATGAGGCTCAAAGTTTTACATTGTGGCAATTTCCTGCAGCAAAGCAGGACCAAAGAGGGTGAAGGTGAAAAGTACGATTTCCTTAATTTAATTTAGCCTTGATAGGCATTCGAGATATGTATCTTCAGCTACATCAGAAACTAATAATTACAACAAATGGGTGTGTATGCAGCTGAGATCAATAAAAACAGCTGTGGCTGCATCTGAACGTGCAAAAATAATAGCGCTGTCACCTGTGACTATTTTAAATTAAAGCTTTGCTAAAGGCAACCCTTTTTAATTCCCAGCCAAGTGGTACTTTGAGGGCGCATGTTGGAGGACAACAGTGAAGTGTTGAATCCACATTCAGAGCAGTCTTAACTTGCAGTTTTACCCCCATTTCCACCACTCTTGTGGTGTAAAGAGAACAATTGATTTCTGCCAAATGACAAGCACTCATGCATAAAAAACTAGTAGCAGCGGCACCCGTTGAGAAATTCCTGCTAATTCTTTCCCCAGGCTTCTCTCTGTAAGGAAATCATTGAGTTTGTCTTGTTTTGGTAGGTTTTCCAAACAGATCTCTTAAAAAAAAAAAAAAAAAAAGTTTATATTCTAGACTACCGAGGAGAAGGGGCCCAAATTAAAGTGCATTAAGGTAGGTGGAACTAATCAAACTTCACGTTTTCCAGGCAAAAATGTTTCCTTGGGTTTTGTTTTGTTTAAGGAGATTTAGGGCAAATGGAGGATAGAAAAAATACAAATTTTTGTTATATCTAAGTTATGGACTAAGAATTATATTAAATTAAGTGAATGATGAAAATAAGACTAAATATAACTAATTCTATTTTTATATGAGTTTAAATTAAGCGTATGGTGATAAAACCTCTAGGTAAATATAACCCATTGTAGTTTTACATTTGCTTTAAAGAAACAAATTAAAGGCAAATATTTTGGGGCAATTCAGTATTTGTGCAATTCTGCAGTAGCCTGATAAAGGACATTTACAAAAAAAAAGGAAGGCTCTGGCACAAAAGCAAAACTAAAATATTAACTGAGAAAAACAATATCTTCATCCATATGTGCCATGGGATATGAATACATGTTTTGATTTTTAAAATTTAAAAGGAGATTTGAGTCTTGTAGTTTGTCATAATTTCTTGAAATTTCCTCCTTGCACCTATGTTAGAAGTGCCAAAAGAGTGCTTTAGGCAGTATATGTGGTTGGGTTCCCTCAGGAAAGGAAGAGCACAGGATAAGCCAGTGTAAGGTACGGCTAGAGATGGGTAGAGAGAACAGGCCATTAAAGTGCCATAGAATTCACAATATTTCTCTCTCATCTATAATTCAGACATGTGCTTTGACAATTGACATAACTTATTGAGTGATTACTATGTACCAGGCATTATAAGAAATTTCTTGTTTATTAAATTCTCACAATAATCTTATGTAAAAGGGTATGATTATTTTCCTCATTATACAAAGAAATCAAGCTACAGAGACATCACATAACTTAATCATTATAACACAGCTGTTAAGTAGCAGAACTTGGAATTAAAAGCCCCAGGCAAAACTAACTCATGCTACCCCATGTAAGCATTAAAACAGCAGTATTCAAAGTGTGGTACCTGGACCAGAAGCTTCAGCATCGCCTGGGAACGTGTTAGAAATGGAAATTCTGGGACCCACCCCCAAATCTATGGAGTTAGAAACTCTGAGGGAGAACCTAGGAAATCCTATAAGGGATTACGTTTAAGACTTAACCCTAGACTGCATTGCCATCAATCATAGCGCAAGAAAACTGTTTAATTTTCAAGTATTCACTTGACCAGGTAAATGGCTGCACATTAAATGACATGCCAAGCAGATTGGGACTGTGTGCCAATTAGTGTGATTCTTATTCCAGTGAATTAATAGTCATTCCTTTGTAAGGACATAGAGCATTAGAAAGAAAAGAAAGTGGCCCTTCAGAGAATACCAATAACAAATACCAAAAAATTCAGAAATATATATTTGGAAATACAATTTATTTTCTGAGCTTCCATTATACTAGATTAGTCATATACTTCAGAATATTTATGGGTCTTCTCTCTCTCTCTTCTTTTATCCCCCTTTACTTTTCTTGCAACTTCTGGAACATAGCCCATCAGTGAACAGTGGACACCATGATTTGCTGTAGCTCAAACGTGATGGAGCCTTGAAAGGATCAATTGAGCAAAAGCAGGAAACCCTGAAGTTGGAAAAAGGCCCTATAAGCAGACAGACCTAGATTTCAATCCAGAATTCACCTTAGCATCATGAGCCTCAATGAGTTGGAGGCGATGAACATAGGTAACAGTGTACAGAACACTAGAACTGTTAAGCAAATTTTAATTCTCGACACCAAGTTTACACACTGTCATAATATTAACTCTAAAAACACCAAAGATCAGGAAACACATGCCAGGCTCCTTATACACAGTGTTGTAAATCCTGCTAACTACTTAATTCAGTATGTATTAGTTATTAAATGATGCACAAATATTCAGCAGGATTAATGTTTCCAAGTTTTCCCAGTTGTCCACTGGGATGAGATTTAAGTCCAGTTCTATTTAATTCCAAATATTCTGTTGCTCTGTCTTTAAGAGATAGGACCATCATTTTGCCTCTGCTTGGACCCTTTAGTGAGTAGCCATTCACGGGCTGTCAAGCTGGCTGGTTTAACCTGTGAAATTGTTTCAACTGCTAAGATTTGGAAGAGAGATGCGTTTGAAATAATACCCAAGTTCTAATGATGATTGTTTCTAAGAGTTCGTCATCGAATTAACCTCTCTAATTTGGTTAGCATGAGAAATTAGACTTCTGGAGATTCATTTTTAAAAATGTGTTTAAAATATATAAATGATCTTTCAAGGGCAAGGTTCAAAATGGAAAAATAAAGTATAACCTTCAGGATTGATTTTTAGATAATTTTTACTGATCACTGCTGAAAAAGGCAAGAGTCAATATGAAATTGAATGTATGTACATGAATGGATAGGACACATCTTTGAATGTGATCAACTTAAAAGCATCGTAAACAAGGCATGTAATTATTTTGATGTCTTTAGAGCAATAAAATAATTCTCTACAACATTGGAGTTTCTTTGGTATTTTTCTTGAGGGGCTCTGACTATATCAGTTTATTAATAGATTTTCTTTTCTTTTCAATGGAGACATTGTATTAGTCAGGGTTCTCTAGAGGGACAGAACTAATAGGATGTATATATAAAGGAGAGGGTATTAAGTATTAACTCACACGAACACAAGACCCCACAATAGGGCATCTGCAAGCTGAGGAGCAAGGAAGCCAGTCTGAGTCCCAAAACTGAAGAACTTGGAGTCTGATATTCAAGGGCAGGAAGCATCCAGCATGGGAGAAAGGTGCGGGCTGGAAGGCTAAGCCAGTCTAGTCTTTTCATTGATAAAAGAAAAACTTCAGCTGAATTAATTTAAAGGAGTTTAACTGAGAAATGAACGATTCGCGAATCCGGCAGTCCCCAGAACCACAGCAGACTCACAGAGGCTCCAGGGGTGCCTTGTGGTCAGAATAAATTTATAGACAAAAAAGGTAAAGTGACGTACAGGAATTAGAAGCGAGGTACAGAAACAGTGAGATTGGTTCCAGCTCGGCGTTTGCCTTATTTGAACGCAGTTTGAACAAAAGCAGTCTATGAGTGGTTGAATCCCACTGGGACTGGGCAACATTCAGCCATTGTTACAGTGCATACTATTAAATTAGGTTTTAAATTTTGTCTGACTATTAAGCTAGGTTACAGTTCATCCACAAGGACTCACCTATAGAAGTACAGAGTCCTTCTCAGGCCATATTTAGTTTGCTTAACCATCATGATTTTCTGCCTTCTTTATATCCCGGCCGAGCTGGTAGCTGATTTAGTTGCTGCCCACCCAGATAAAGGGTGTGTCTGCCATTCCAGCCCACTGACTCAAATCTCCTTTGGCAACACCTTCAAAGACACAACAGCATCAATACTTTGCATCCTTCAATCCAATCAAGTGGACACTCAGTATTATCCATCACGGGCATATATTAAAATATATTTAAATGATACTAATGTATTAAACATAGCAATATAGAACTCTCCTGTAAAATAATAAACAGCACAGACCAGTTTTGAGAATAAGTGAGTTAAGGGTCTAAGCTTAAGTCTGGCTCTACCACTCGCAAATTGGATTTCCTTATAACGTCTCAGTTCCCACATCTGCAATATGATGAAGAACAATTAGCTCATGGCTTAACTTAAAGCAGGTGTTCCCAAACATTGCCATTCATGAAACTCACCAGGGGCAATTTAAAAATGTTAATGCCAGATTACACCCTACACCAATCAAAACAGAATCTCTATGGATGGGATCCAAACATCAGTATTTATTAAATCTCCTGTTTCTCAAACTTGAGTACATGGTAGAATATCCTGAGAATTTACTAAAGCCTGTATCCCATAGCAATATTTTAAGAACACTAATTAGAACAGTGTTTCTAAAGCTTTAAGGTGCATGAGAATCACTTGGGAATTTTGGAAACAGCAGATTCTGATTCAGCAGGTCTGGGTGGGCCTGAGAGGTGTATTTCTAACCAGCACCCTGGGAACGCTGATGCTGCCGGTTCACAGATCACACAGCTAAGCATCCAGGGCTTAGACTTCCAGCACAGCCGTCCAGCTGGTGGCAGGTGTGTAGAAATACGGACCCGCTCGTCCTTAATTGGTCTCCTTCCGTCACACTGTCCATGTGTGCTGTGCCAGCATTATCACCTTCTATCTGTTTCATCATAAGAAATCTGGGAAACCCTGGTTTCGATGTGTAAGTGTACAACACACCTAAGAGGGTTACTAGTATATGGCGGCTGTTCAATAAAGTTCATTGACATACATTGAAAAGTGTTTGTCTTCGAACTAGAACTGTAATAATCCCCTAATTCTTTTCAACCCTTGACCTGGTACAGCCCCAGCTTGCCTTCCCCCACTCCAATCACTTTCACACTTAGTGTGTAGTTAGGTTTTTGTTTGTTTGTTTTTTGGAAAAATAACACAGGGCAGGAGGAGGGAAGGAACTTTGTTTTTCTATACTGTTCTTATAAAAGGTGTGATGCTGGGAGCTCTGAGGATATAGGGGCTATCTGGTAATATCCCCGACTTATTTTGTTTATTAAAACCTCTCTTAAGAAGAGATTTTCTGTAATCAGGAAAAACTCCCAAATAAAGCCTCAGAGTTCCAACTGCAATAGTAGTTCCTAGTGAGGAGTGTAAATTCTGACACTTCCCAGAGGACTTCAGAATTGGAAAGGGATAACTAATAATCGTGAGATTTCTGATGATAGCTCTACCATGAACCAGCTCTGTGTCTTGAGATAAATTATACAATTTATTGAGTTCTCAGTTATCCCATTTGTAAAGTGAAAGTAATAATATCTTCCCTGAATATTTCATAAGAATAGAAGAGACAAAAATAGCTATGTAGAGTCTGAAAATTAACAAAAAATTGTCATTTTTATTATTTATACTATTTAAATCAGCATGATATTTAAATTGGTTTCTTCTTGTTACTAAATAGAGCGCTAGGATTATTCTGCATTAAAACGAGTTCCAAAATAAATAAAGGTTGTATTTTATGGTATTTCCCACCTATAATTGTAAGCAGTATCTTTCAGTCTAAGTTTTTGTGATTAACTTTTGCGTATCCTAAATAATAACCATTATTGAGTGATTCAACAGAATGCTAGTTTCTTAACATAAACTTTACTTGATAATTCCTGAGCATTTGAGGGTCTTGCATTCAAACTGCAAGACATAGGCAGCCATTCCTGTTTAAAATAGAGTTAAACATATTGAGTCCTTTATTGAAAGGACAAAAAGAATACAAATTCTCAGAAAATTCCTAATTTTAATGTAGATGGTAAAAGTTAATTTTATAATAATTAACCTTATCAGTTAAATTCTTACTCTTTTGAGAAGTAGCACGGATGCAATTTCTTTATTTCCTTGTATTGAAATCTTTTTATATTACTACATCTTTCCAAGTTGAAATAGTTTGGCCAAAGGATCTCCCCCAAGATAAAGCATTTCTTTTAATGTTGCAATGACTGCATTCTAGCACTTTTTCTCTTTTTTATACCACACTTTACTCTTCTTATCTCTGAAGGGCCTATTCAACACCTGTGCACACACTATGGCTTCAACAATATGCCATCTTGGGGAGTTTCCGGTAGCTTATAATTTTGATCAACTAAAGCAAATCTCTCTCAATTTTTTTTTAAAAAGAGCGAGCGTTTTTCCCAGTAAAAATCCCACCGTGTATTTGAATAAGCGTTATTATTTTAGATACTTCATATAAGTGGAATCATGCAATATGTGTCCTTCTGTAACTGGCTTATTTTATTTAGCATAATGCTCTCCAGGTTTATCATTCTGTTGCAGAGGTGAAAGGAGGGAGAAATGGCAAGTTGCTGTTCAACAGTAATGGTACAGAGTTTTATTATGGAAGATGAATAAGCTCTTGAAGTCTGCTGTGCAACATTGCACCTATAGTTAACAACACAACAGTGGGTGTGTAAAAATGTGCTAACAGGATAGATCTCACATTAAGTGGTCTTACCACGATAATATTAACAATAATCATCTTTCTGTTGAAACTTTTCTCTTTCAATAATGGCTCTCTGAAAGTAGACTTAACTGGAAAATAAACACAACTGACAATTCTCAGGAGATCTGCCTCTAGAGACTCAGTTAACACAGCTGGAAAATATTTGAATATTGTGTTATCAGATCCACATCATCAAATATAGTATAGAAACCACTTCTCAAGCAAGGCACATCAGAGATAAGTGATGGCTCAAATTCCCAAGAATATGGAAGAGACAGGAGAATACATCTAATATATTTCCCAAACTCACTTCTTTTCCTAAGAAATCATCTTCTTTGGGATGGGTGATTACAGTGCCTCTTCCGCTCTCAGATGTGGTACTTCTTACTTCCATCTGAACGTATGTATACATTTGTTGTATAAATTGAGAAAACCCAAGATACAACACAGTAATTTCCTGCATCAAAACCCACTACCTCCCACTGTGGATGCCCCCATAAAGAGAGCCCCGGATGCACCCCTGGCTCTGTTAGTTAGCTGCCTCTGCAGCTGGCAATGCCAGGAAATAGTGACAATCAAGCACCCGTAACCAGCAACTTCCAGGCAGTCGTGCCTGGCGTTGTTCCCTAGAAGCTGTTTTGGTACCCTCACTGTTGTGAAGTTTGAATTATGCCTGGTTCGTGCTCTTGGTTTTCTAGTCTCTCTGCCCATCTGCAGAATCCCTGAAGATAAATGAACTCCCAACATCTTTTCAATAAAATCCTTTCTTACTAGCCGGTGATAGTTCTTTATGTTTATAACTAAGAATCCACTTTCATAGAACTAAAGTCATTTCTTAACAAACTACACCAGGGTGGGGGGCAGGGTGCCATCCGCTTTCATCTTGGTGTCCTTAAGCAGGAGTAAAATTCAGATCAAAGTATTACATTTCAAAAATGTGAGAAACAAAATTTCTGCACCCCAGCAAGGCCCCACATAGGTGGCAATTCTGTCTCTGATTCCTCTTCCCATGCTGTTTCAGACAGAACACCTGGCACATAGTAATAGATCATTAAATGTGAGCAAGGATTAGTTGCCAACCATCTACAATTTTGCGGAGTTATACCTGATATAGTAGCTTCCAGTGGAGGGTGTAAATCCTGACACTCTAATTATACAGCTTTTTATTATTTCCCAACCTAATCTCCCACAATTACACTTCTTGCGTATTGAATAAAGATTTGAATTTACGTCTCAAATATCAATGTATTTTTTTTCTTAATACTGGATGTGTTGATTGAAGAGCTAAAGTTACTCTAGTTGGCTCTATTTTCTATTGACAATTGGTACCTGGCAGAGAGAGCAAAGCATAATCTTTCCATCCCTATGGAAATAAATGTTTGTAATTGCAACAAAGCAAGAATGCTGTTCATAAAGCTAAATAGTAACTAAAACAATAAAAATGCTTGCCTTCCAGTTAGACAAGTGATGGATAACATAAGAAATTACTGTGAAGCAATTTTGAAATATAAAGTTGAAGAGAATGTTTAAAGACTTTCACTTACATTACTTAGATTCCAGGGGAAAATACTTTATTTTTGTTTCAATAATTTCAGGAACTTCCTGCAGCTTTTTTAAACCACGTCACATTAACATAAGTAGCAAGTGGTTAATTCCTAACCCCATAATGACATTTCTTTTTCTAGAATTCCATATTTCCGTTTCCAATAATAGAACTATTAGCAAGTGATGTTTCAATGTGCAAACTTTCCTTTATTTTCAGGTTCCTAATATATTGGGCTTCTCTTAAAAGCTAACCTGGGAGGTGGCAATTTTCAAAGAGATTTGCACAGAAAAGTCCAATCCTTTTCAAGTTTCTCTCTTTTAGCAGTTTCCCAGTGGTCAGAGAGATAAGTACTCTGTCAGAAGCAAAGTTGTGGGAGCACGAGGCTGGAGCAAAGGGCATCCAGGTATTTTATCTCATGCTCCGATCTCTGCTTATGTGGGAGGAGAGGATGCTGACCCGCTAAGCTGGCGGTATTTGACTTTCTGCATCACCAGTTCTTCTTTCTCATACAAGCTGTTAGAAAATAAAGACATAGTGCAATGGTTAATACATATTAAAGATTTATCCATTTATATTAACAGTGCAAAGTTTTTTTTCCCGTCACTTTATGGTTCATTTGTTTTAGCTTAATGTCCTCATTTGCAGAAAAAATGCAGAGATAGGTATTTAATCACGGAGAAGATTAAAGTCAAAACTTAAATTAAAAATGTAATTTTTTGATGATCTGTTTTATTGTTAAAAGTACCCTCAGTGTTCCTGTATGTGTAGGGATAATTATGCATGGTACAACGCTGTGTGCAGACACACTGTAGTCTCAATTAAATATTTTAACTACTTAATGAAAGGCAATAGGATTTTTGCAGTTAGTAATTATAACCATAACCTGGAATCGAAACTCTCTATTCACCCTCAGACTGCTTAGTAAGTCAGAAGATAAAATGGTTGTGGCTATCGTGTCTTTAAAAGAATTTTTCATGATCAAAGAATAATTGTAGCGTGACAAAAATTTCCTGCAATTGTTTCAGGAAAGGCATGAAAAGCTGTTTTTTCTTCCTTTGTCCATTTCCTTAGCACTGCAGCAAGATATTATTTGAGAGTTTGGAATTATCAATAGAATAAATTATTTTATTATTTTATATAAAATTAAAAGCCCTTCTTTTGCAGTTATCCACTGGCTTTTAATGTTTTTAAAGTGGCATACTAGTAGATAGGTTGGATTATTTTCTTCATAGAAAATAAGATAATAAAGATAATGTTTAAAGTAAGTTTAAGCTTAAATTCAAGATTAATGTTCTTGGAAATTAAGGAGAAGTGAGTGAACAGTAAATTTTTATATCTTTTGTTTCCATAGGTAATGATATTACAAATCCATAGTACATCATCCTTATATTTGAGAAAGCAAAAAGTAAGTACTTTAAAATAGGGTTTAAACAGCAATTCTTTTTATCAATAAGAGGTAGTTGCTCACGAAATCTCATAGAATGTTATGGTTTGAAGTACACTTCAAGTATGCATGGTCCAGTCCTATAACCCATGCCTGAAACTCTTTGATGCTAATCACAGAATAAAATGTTGCTTTCCAAAACTTCCACAAACAGAAAAGAAAATAAAAAATAGTAGAAGTTTGGAGAAACAAATCTTCCAATTTCCAATTAGCTGTTTAATTAGTATAGCCTTTAAACTCTTTTTTGATTTACAATTATCTTTTTTATCATAAAGCAGAAGTCTCTGAACTCATCCAAATGGCTCTACCATTTTGATAACTGAATAAAGAATGGCTCTGACCCAACATTTGACTTGATAGATCTATGTAAACAATACAGAATAATCATGATGCTAATTTTTTATGCTAGCACTTTATCACTTCTCTGTTGTTTGGTAAGTTTATACTTGAACTTCATATTTATGCTTAGAAAAAAAGTTTCTTATTAATTTTTCAAAGAATCTAGATATCTTTTTATATGTCTAATCGATTCAGAACACATGCACATGTATTTATTCTACCACTCTAATCAGTTCCCACTCTTGAACTTGCAGCCATGCACAACCTTTTGTTGTGTGTGCCTTATTTTCTTAGTTATTAATCTACTGGATTCTGTTAGCAAGATTTTCCCACCAAACACTTTTATTACACATTTCTTGGGAGCCCTTGTATACACAACAACAAAAATTCAAACGATTATATTGTGATCCAGGAGATTAAAAAAAAAAATCAGGGAAACAAATTAAAATAAGAGACCAGGTGGTGTAATAGAAAAACTCTAAACTAGATGTTGGCGCATGACCCCTCTTCAGGAATCAAGTCCCTAGAACCAAAAGGAGGGGAGCAGGGGCCCCCGGCCATCTAGGAGAATTGTGGTCTGGAGTCACCTGTGTTCCTCAAGAGGATGTGAAATGACCTCTCCTTGCCCCATGCACCTTTTTGAATATTCTTTTTGTTTGTTTTTGTTTTGATACAGAGTCTCGCTCTGTCGCCCAGGCTGGAGTGCAGTGGTGCAATCTTGGCTCGCTGCAACCTCCGCCTCCCGGGTTCAAGCGATTCTCCTGCCTCAGCCTCCCTAGTAGCTGGAATTACAGGCACCCACCACAACTCCTAGCTATTTTTTTTTTTTTTTTTGTATTTTTAGTAGAGACGAGGTTTCACCATTTTGGCTAGGCTGGTCTTGAACTCCTGACCTCAGATGATCCACCTGCCTCGGCCTCCCAGGCGTGAGCCACTGTGCCCGGGACCTTTTGAATATTCTTTAGAGTAATATTATAGAGCTGGCTTTACCATGGACTGATTAATTGGGGGCAAATCCCTTAAATGAGACAGAAGAATCTGTCTCCAATTCTGATGTCAGAATGCTAATGTCTATCAACCCTACCTCTTAGGATTATTATGAGAAATATATAAGATGACTTTGGTGAAATTTTCTTGTGAGCTATCCATGCACTCTATGTGCAAAGAATCATTAATAATAAGTGTCCAATCATTGAGCTTTAGGTCTAACCTTCCATTAATTTAATAGAAATATGGCATATTAAAACATAAGTGAAAGATGACTTATTTCCTTCAAGTTTCAGATGAATGTGGATGCAGTCCAGATTGAATGGTTTATTTCACAAAGAGAATAAACCTCATGTCAAGCTTTGTGTGCAATCAAATTTCAATGGAACATACTTCTCTACAGTGGAGAAATACATTTTTAAAGCTTAGTGCGATGCAACTTACAATAACTACAACTCTTTATTATAGAAACAGCTAAAACCCAATAATAAACATTTACATATTTAGTACGAATATCATAGTAACTTAAAAATAAAATCAGGGAAAAAACTGATCCAGCATGGTAAATGTAGAAACAGGAATAGAATTACCTGCAAATGAAACAAATGTGGAGGATAAATAAAAGATTTCAGCCAAAGTAGACAAGACAATAGGAGCCCTGTCCAGTTGCCAGCCAAGGAAATGACCTGGTCTAATAGGATTTGATATACCTCAGTGAGGCGCCCTTGCCTTTAATTTCTTCATTTCCTGCCCTGTCCCCATCCCCAAGTTACAGAGTGTGTTCCGTCACTTAAAGTGGCTGGAGCTGGCTTATTTTTATTTAGCTTTTATTATTTGCAAAGCATTCTTTTTGTAGTAAGGCTAGAGGGCATTCAGTAAAATTCATGTATTTCCAAAAGTATTATTTAATCAACTTTTAATATTGGACTATTTATGAACTTCTTTATTAAAGTAAATTAACAATGTTCTTAATATTTACGTAACCTGGAAAATGAGCAAAGATAAAATCAGAAATCCATTTTCTTACCCCGCCCCCACAGACTGCCTACTTAAAACCACCCCCACTTTGAGAGGCAAATCCCTGTTACTTAATCAAATATAGAGCATTTCTCATAAAGTATCTGTTCACTCCCAGGTAACAAAATGTCCTCTAATCACCCTTCCTCTCAAGAATTGTCTCTTTTATTGGTTGCAATTCTGTGTACTCCATAAGAATCAAGATGCCAACTTTGATCCAAGTTTTCTTCACAAGTTTGGGCCCACTTTAATCAGCAGGCCGCTTGTAGTAAACTTTCTTCCTATTTCCAGACCTGAGGCTTCCATCGCTTCATCACACACCCTTGAAACACTATGGCTCACGGAGGACTGAAGTGAGAGGTGTTACAGAGAAAGGGAGAGCACGGCACTAGTAAAGTTATTGGCATGCCCCCTTGGAAACCGTTGTTTGATTCCTTTGAAAGTAATAGGAGGTTGGGTGCTGAATTCTTCAGGGCATACTTGGGGGTTCTTTGAGATCCCTGCCCACGAATGGTTATCCATCACATGCAGTTTTCCCAGGTAGAATGAATCCCTCAACCTCAGCTGTTCTCCTGAGGCTGGTCTCTCAACCTGGGATCTGGGATGATGCACTTCCAGCTGCTTTCTGCAGAGATCGCCTCATTGGCCAGGGCCTTCTTTGACAAGATCTAAGATAATCCCTGGCTAAGCTCTGTCTCACAATGTCCACCAGAGAGTGATAAGAAAGATGCAATCTGGCCTGCTATCGGGGGAATAAAATTATTTTCAGGCTATAGCCTTCTTTGATTTTGCTCTGGGCCTCTTTGCAAGCCTCTCATCCTTTAAATATTTTCTGGAATAAATCGGACACTTCTTTGTCCCTGTAAGTCCAGGGATGCACATCAAGTTGTCTGTCAGGGAAGGGGAAGAAGATGAGCACTCAGCATCCATCCAATCTCTCCAAGGGGAGACCACAGCTCTTCCTTCATAACCTTCGGGGGGATGCTGAGCCTAAGGCCAGGAAAACATTTTGGACACCTCTTTGCAAGTCCTGCAAAGCAAGTCTTTGCCTTCTTTTGGAATGTGGAGTGGTTGGCACCTGTTGTATATCCCCATAAAGTTAGTCAAAAAGAGCCCTGTTGTAGACACTCAATCTAGTTATAAAGAATATAAGCAAATCTGTGGGATTCACTTTATTTTTTTATTTTTATTTTTATTTTTTTGACACAGAGTCTTGCTTTGTTGTCCAGGCTGAAGTACAGTGGCATGATCTCGGCTCACTGCAACCTCCATCTCCCAGGTTCAAGTGATTCTCCTGCCTCAGCCTCCCGAGTAGCTGGTATTACAGGTGCCTGTCACCACACCCGGCTAATTTTTGTATTTTTAGTAGAGATAGAGTTTCATCGTGTTGGCCAGGCTGGTCTCAAACTCCTGATCTCAGGTGATCCGCCCGCCTCGGCCTCCCAAAGTGCTGTGAATACAGGTGTGAGCCGCCGCGCCTGGCCTTCACTTTAAATTTTTAATGATTTACTCCTTCATATTTATTATCTAAAGTTATCAAATTTTCTGATAAGATGAGCAAAAAACGCAATAGAAACAAAGAAAACCACCATTTAAAAATCTACATGGTCAAGCTGATCTTACCACAGTGGCATTTATATTTAGTTGGTTCATTATGAATTGAACTGTGCCCACTTCCTTCCTTTCTCCCTCCACCAAAAAAAAAAAAAAAAAAAATCCTAACCCTAGGAAAAGTGACTTTATTTGGAAATGGGGTGTTTGCAGATACAATCAAGTTATAATGAGATCATACTTAATTAGGGTGAGTGCATATAGCTAATGTCCTTATTAGAAGAAAAAGCAGACACTGGACAAAGACACTGGACACAGACACAGTGGACAACACCTTGTGGAGCAGGCAGAGATTGAAGTGATGCATCTACAAGTCAAGGGTTGCCGGCAATGCCCTAAAGTTAAGGCAGGAGCACAGAACAGATTCTCCAGAGGGAACCAACCCCACCAACACATTGACTGCAGACTTCTAGTTTCCAGAACTGTGAGAGAACAAATTTCTGTAGTACTTTACCAAACTCATGCACTTAAGAGGGAGGGATAATAGGGAAAAGGTTTTGCTTGAGATCAAAGTCCAGGGGTTTACGCATATTCCTATATAGTATCATTCTGGTAAAAATATATCTTAGAGACACAATTCATTATTTTAAAAAAACTGTCTACTTATTTAAACAGTATGTTGCCTCCAACCCATCCCAGTATCCCACCGAAATATTAGGAAGCCAACAAGCCTGTCTGCCTGAAGATCTATAGAAAGGTCTCTTATTCTTCTCTCATCTTTCACCTGCTGGTTCAGAAATTAAGGGTTGCACCATCCAAAAACTGTGAGTAATCATACATAAACTGCAAGTAGCTTGTTGCAATTTCTTAGCAATACTTTTGTAATCCTATATTGCTGCCCTTTTTTCTACAACCAGGAAATCATTGCCTCTACCAAAATCATGACAAAAATGTAAGGGGAACTAGCCATGGCACACTGCATGCAGAAGGTGAAGGTGCAAATCCCACAAATAAAGCCCGAGAGGCTGAGGCAAAAAAAAAAAACAAAAGAGAGAGAGAGAGACAGAGAGAGAGCCTGGGAGCTGTGCTCACTGGAAATTACAGGTGTTTGTATACTCCATTGACTCAAAGTGTTGGAGAGCTAAGAAGTATGAGTGGTTAAATACGTGCTGCTCAATTTTGCAGAGCAACAGTTTACAGCCTAGTAATGACTTTGTCTTAAACCGATTCAGGCAACAGCTTGGAAAGAATGTAGTATCAAGTACCATCTCACACCCTGACAGCTGACAATAACATTCATAGAAGAAAAGCTTGTGAAAATATAGATATGAAATATCATCTTGAAAATTCAGCTTTAAAATCACACCGTAGAATACAATTTTGGGGGGCAACTAGGAGAAATCATTAGAATAAAGTCTGACATCCTAAAAATGTATACAGGAAAAGGTGATTTCTGTGAGTCAGGAAAACAAGTTAACACGAAGAAAATGGCAGGGTGGTGGGGGATGAAAATGGGGATGACGAATATGTCTGGGAATTCAATGGCAGAATTGAAATCTGCATTGCTGTAGTCAAGAGAAAAAACGGCCTTGAGGAAAAGTAAGATAATGATGTGAAATAAATTTGGAAGACATGGGAAACTGCAGGAGAAGAAAGATATGAAAGTTATTAGCATTTATCTGATAAAAACAGAAGGACAAAAATTGAGAACTCGTGAAACAATTTTTGTTTTGTATTATTTTTTCCAGAAAAAAGAGCATGAGAATAGCATCTAAATACACACAAAAGTCTCCAAAATATTTATATTTTAGTTTTGACATCAAGAATATATATTTTTTATTATATTTGTCTCCTCCTTTCACTTTTATGTTTCGTAGGACATTTCACATGTGAACCACTGCACCCAAGCATGCTTATCTATCTTTCAAAGGCTCTGGTCTCAATGAATTGCAGCAGCCTTCACCCCTAAACCTTCTGAAACATGGCCCCATCAATGACTCCTTTCTTCCTTTCTTATCCCAACACTAATCCGTCCACTTGTCTTTTCCATCTAACTCTCAACAGCCTCTTCAGTCTTTACACATTTCTCCATCTCTACGTTCATTCAAGCCTGGGATATTTTAATATTCCTAAAATTGTTTCCTCTCCATTATTACCCACTGTATCAAATTCCTTCTCTATTACATTTAACCAAAAATAATTTTATAAACAAATTCAATCACATCACCTCCCTAATTAAAATATTCCACCCACTTCCTATTCCAGGAAGACAAACTTCAACACGACTTTTAAGGCACCCCTTATTTTAGAAAGCACCTCGGGTGCCGGCGCCGCTCCATGTCTCTTCCATTTTACAGACAAAGACCATTCAGAGGTAATTTTAGGTCAAAGCATGCTGTTCTTTTCTTAAGTACAGGGCCTGACAGGTCAAGGTAAGAATATTGACTTTCATTCCCAGTGAGAGGAAAAGCTAAGGAGCGTTTCTAGCTGAGTAAGTGGCACACTTCCATTTTGCATGGTCACTCTTGTGAGTGGTCTAGAACAAAAGGTAATTTGTAAAACAGAAAGAATCTGAGACAAGTCTCAATCAATTTAGAAAGTTTATTTTGCAAAGGTTAAGGATGTACCCATGACACAGCCTCAGGAGGTCCTGATGACATGTGCCCAAGGTAGTCAGCGCAAAGCTTGGTTTTGTACATTTTAAGGAGATATGGGATGTATTAGTGCATTCGCACGCTGCTAGTAAAGGCATTCCTGAGGCTGAGGTTTAACTGACTCACAGTTCAGCATGACTGAGGAGGCCTCAGGAAACTTACGATCATGGAGGAGGAGGAAACAAAAATGTCCTTCTTCACATGGCAGCAGCAAAGAGAAGTGCAGAGCAAAGGTTATAAAACCATCAGATCCCACAAGAACTCACTCACTATCATGAGAACAGCAAGGAGGTAATTGCCCCCATGATTCAATTCCCACCAGGTCCCTCCCACTAGTTGTGGGGATTATGGGAACTACAGTTCACCATGAGATTTACTTCTGTCTTTGGGTTTTCTTCCTTGTCTTGTTATAACTTCTTCAATACATGCCAAGCTTATTCATTTTAGTATTTTCTTTTCTAATATCTGCATTAAATCCATTTCTGTCTGACTGTAAGTTACTAGGCTTAATATATATTTTCATTATCTATTTTTTAAAAATATTTTCTAATATCTATTTTGGGTTCTTCTTTGACCCAAGACTTTTTTAAGAGGGCATTCATTGATCTGTAAACTAGTTGTCCTTTTGTTATTTATTTGCAAATTAATGTTTCTGCTTTCAGAGGCAGTTATCTGCATAACATAAATCTTTTAAATACCATGGAAACACATTTTATATCTGTCAATTTTATAGGTGTCCTATGGATTTGTAAAAGAAATCTGTATTAGGCAATTGTGGAGTATACTTTATTTATATATTTATATTTATATAGCATATTAAATTTATATATATAAATTTATATATAAATAATATTTATTATTATTATATTATATATTATATATTATATATATAATATATTATTATATATATAATATATATATTATATATATAAATAATGAGTGCCTTGAAAAATACATTGAACTTTATTGTATCTATATAATCCTGCTTATATAGTTTGGATATTTCCAAACTTCATGTTTCCAAACTCCAAATTTCATGTTGAAATGTGACCCCCAATATTGGAAGTGGAGCCTAAGGGGAGGTATAGACAATTCTCTAAAGAAAATATAAAAATGGCCCACAAGCATACGGAAAAATGCTCAACATCTAATTATCAGGGAACTGCAAATCAAACCCACAATGCGATACCACCTCACTCCTGCAAGAATGGCCATAACCAAAAAATTGAAACATAATAGATGTTGGCGTGGATGCAGTGAAAAGGGAACAGTGTTGGTGGGAATGTAAACTAGTACAACCATTATGGAGATTCCTTACACAACTAAAAGTAGAACTACCATTTGATCCAGCAATCCCACTACTATGTATATACCCAGAAGAAAATAAGTCATTATACAAAAAAGATACTTGCACATGCATGTTTCTAGCAGCACAATTCACAATTGCAAAAATATGGAACCAGCCCGAATGCCCATCAATGAACAAGTGGATAAAGAAAATGTGGTGTGTATATATATATGTGTGTATATATATAATATATATAGTATATATATTATACTATATGTGTATATATGTTTGTATATATAATATATAGTATGTATTTATATATTATATTTATATATTTATATACTATATTTAGATATATTTATATACTATATTTATATACATATATAGTACGTATATTTAGTATATGTATATATTTGTGGCATATATACTACTCAGCCATAAAAAAGAATGAAATAATGGCATTCACAACAACTTGGATGGAATTTGAGACTATTATTCTAAGTGAAGTAATTCAGTCATAGAAAACCAAACAAATATCATATGTTCTCACTCATGTGTCAGAGCTAAGCTATGAGGATGCAAAAGCATAAGAATGATACATTGGACTTTGGGGACTTGGGGGAAAGAATAGGGGGTGGTGAGGGATAAAAGACTACACACTGGGTACAGTGTACACTGCTCAGGTGATAGGTGTACCAAAATCTCAGAAATCACCTCTAAAGAACTTATTCATGTAACCATACACCAGCTGTTCCCCAAAAACCTATTGGAATAAAAAAAAAATAAAAAATAAACTTAGCCTGAAATTCAAAAAAGAAAAGAAAAGAAAGAAACAATTGAGTTAAGATAAGGGGGATTATGGAAACCAAGGTTCTTGTTATGTGGATGAAGTCTCCAGGTAGCAGGCTTCAGAGACAATAGATCATATGTATTTCCTATCATACCTTAAAGGATATCAGACTCTAGAAAATATCTAGTAAGGGAAGGAGATTATTTACGGGCTGCAAATTTCCTCTACAAAAAACAGCTTTTCAGGGTCATTTCAAAATATGTCAAAGAAATACATTTGATATACTATATATACCTTGATTTCCTTCAAAGCCTGCTGCTATCTGTCATGTGATGCTATACCAGACTCAGGTTAGAATTTGGTATCTTCTTGTTACAAAAAGTCTGTGTTGTCAGTCTTCTGATCTCTATTTTAATATTAATGTCAGTCAGTTGTATGCCTGAACTCCAAAGGGAAGGGTATAAGGAGGCATGTTTAACCCCCCTTCCTATTGTGGTCTGAACTAGTTTTTTGGGTTTCCTTGAGATACTCTTGGCCAAGGGGAGTCTATTTAATCAGTTGGAGTTCTTTGAATTTTATTCTTGATTCATATGCCTTATGAAATGAGTATTGCCCCATGCTATTAATGAATTTTTTAAATACTATTTTCCTGTTGTTGGAAATTTAAGTAGTTGCTACATTTATGCTAATTATAAATCATGGAATAATAAGCATGTCTATAGATACATATTTTCTTAGTGTCACTTTTCTTAGGACCTAAGGGTATTACGTTTTTCAGGTTCTTGGGGTGTATTGTTTTCAGAAAGTTTACACAGTTTACACTTTCATTGGCAGTGCATGTGGTATATTTTGTATACCCTCCCCTGAGAATCTTCTTATTGTTATAAAACAGGGTATATCTATACTTTTAAAAATATTTTCTCTATTGTACTGTCACCAGGTTGTCCTAGTTAAGTGTGCTGTTTGTTTCCTTCTAAGACCCTGGAGGCTGTATATCGATGATTTCTTACCTGGAGTATTTATTTAATTTATACATATTCTAATTATTCACATACTAAACTTATTTTTAGAATATTAGTTTTTATTGCTATTTATCCCACCTTTATATGATGTTCTTACTTATAGATTCAGATGGTTGATTATTTTTCTCATTAATTTGTGATTACTTTTTTGGGAATTATATGTTGTATTTTCATTATATTCAGTTCCTTAAAAACTACTCGGTTACCCAAGGAATTTTTTTATTACAGTTAACTTACCTAAGTTTAAAAATAATTTAAAAACTGGTAATTCTCCCTAAACAATACAGGGAATTTAGGAAATTTATCTTCACATTTTCCCCAGGCTATATTGTATCGATATGGCATAATTTAGTCTATCTTGTTTAGTTTTGTTTTATCCCAAGATAAATGATTATTTTTGTATTATTTTGATTTTTATTTACCCATGTAAACAGATTTTTGCTCTCAACTCCCCACTTCCATTTTAGTCCTCTCTAAGTTCTTATTTCTCTACTCCTATTTTGGGTTTAATTTAATCAGGATTGACTTGGACAAAATCTCTGGGTTTCTCCTGTCTTGTAAGTTTTTTTTTTTTTTTTTTTTTTTTTTTTTGAGACGGAGTCTCGCTCTGTCGCCCAGGCTGGAGTGCAGTGGCGCGATCTCGGCTCACTGCAAGCTCCGCCTCCCGGGTTCACGCCATTCTCCTGCCTCAGCCTCCCGCGTAGCTGGGACTACAGGCGCCTGCCACCACGCCCGGCTAATTTTTTTGTGTTTTTTAGTAGAGACGGGGTTTCACTGTGTTAGCCAGGATGGTCTCGATCTCCTGACCTCGTGATCCGCCCGCCTCGGCCTCCCAAAGTGCTAGGATTACAGGCGTGAGCCGCCGCGCCCGGCCTCTTGTAAGTTTTACAGGCAATAGTGTTGTAGGTTGGCAGTTATTTTCTTTCAGAACAATACAGAACAAACATCACTCTACTTTCTGCTAATGTCACTTTTGCTCTTGGAAAGTTAGCAGTTGATATAACTGTCACTCTCTGGGATTTAATCTGTCTTTTCTTGTTGACTATTTTTACAATGCTCTTTTTACTTTGGTGTTCTCCCGTTTTATCATAAGGTGTGTTAAGGTGTGAGTGTTTTATTTTAATTTAACTATCCTGGTTAGTATTTATATGTTTTCATGAATGTATTAATTGTCATCATTCATCAGTCATCAATAATCCTCAGTTACAATCTTTATATTTTCCTGCCACTTCTGTTTTCAGAACTCCAGTGAGAGATATGTTCATCCTTCACATTCTTTCTTCCACCTGTGCTAGGTTGTCCTTCATTGCACTTATTTCCTTGCTTGTCTGCACTGCCTTCCGGGTAATTTATTCAGGTCCCTCAGTTCACTAAGGCACTCAGCTCTGTCCTTGCTGTGGTCATACACAGGACCACTGGTTCTTTTATATCTGAAAGTTCTACTTGGTTCTTCTTTTAAAAATCATCATGTTTATTCTTATGTTTTCTTTTTCCATGATCATATTTTAAAACTAGTCTTTCATTCCTTTAAAGATATTAAATATAGATTTTATATTCCATGTGTGATTACATTCCTACGGGTTCTTACTAAACAGCCTTCTTTCTGATGCCTCTTGTGTTTGCAAGTTCTTCCTCATGGTTCTTTCTTTCTTGATTCTTTAGTGAAATCTGCTGGTGAGTGCTCATTTTTCTAGTAACATTCTCTAGAGATGAGTTTAGTAATGAAGCTGAAATTCTCCAAAAAGATTTGTATTCTTTTTGCCGTATGTAAATTGCCTATAAAATAAACTCTGGGTTTTTTGTGATATATATCCATGTCTATATCTGTATCTACCATGCGTTAAGTGTAAATTGGAGGGAGGTCTAGCTTTTTCCTTTCTTTCTTATTAAAGGGTTGATGGGAGGTTTGTGTGTATGTTTGTATCTCTGTGTATTTACGTGTTTACCTTCCATTCAGGGTCAAGTTTATCGACAATTTACCTTGTATCAGCTGGAGAAAGGAGTTGTCTTTAGTTTCGGCTCACAGCTATGCTAAGAGTGTAGCCTTCTCATCATTCCAGCTCATCAAGAGTACTTATGATCAACTCACATCTTTTTAGGGACCTGGATGTCCTCCTGTTTCCTGCACTCTGAGAGGCTGTGCAAACAAATTTGCAAGTCAAGATTTTTGGGTGATATCCTCAAATTCAAACCTGTTTCAGAATTCTTCTTTCTTCTCAAGGTTTATTTCTCTATTTAGTTTTCAAATGAGAATTCTTACTTTCTTTCTGGTGCATTGATTCATTTATAAAACAAATTTCCCAAGACTTTTTAGGTGTTTTTAATTAGTAGAAAGACCAGTTAGAATATCTAGTCTCCCATATTACTAGAAGAGGAAAATTGTGTTGAGAAAATTTAATGAAATCTTGCAAATGTGCAAATGCTCCATAAAATTTAGCCTTTGTCTGCTCTATGCCTTTCACCTGCTTTAAGCTTGTTTTTTGGCTATTAAAATAAATCACTTATTTCTATTCACTAATCTACTTAACTAAATTGTGACTTGCAATTTAACTCACATTTGGAAATAATTCATGTATTTATGTACTGCTTTAAAAACGCTCTGTAAGTATCCTGTATGAGTGACACACACAGCTTTTAACAGAAACGATACTATAGTGAGAAGAATCTGTGTATAATAATGAAGCACACTGCATAATGCCTAAAAAATAAGTACCAGATTTCCATCAATTTAACAGTTTTTTTTTTTAATGGCGAGCTGCTTGTGGGTTTCTTTTAATGAGTTTATGTGGTAGATTATAAATCAGAATATACTAATTACATTTAACATAGGCATTTTGAACAGATTTGGTATGGACTCCACATACAGAATATATTCTTTACAGATTCCCGTATTTATAGCTTTACAAAATATTGACTATCCATACTCAAGGAATGGTAGTACTCTGCTATTGCACTTAGGAAATTCCCTTAACATGGTCATTCATACCATTGATGGTAGTTAAATGTTTACAGACCAAGTAATCTATGTAATTAATCTTAATTTGTGGTTGATGAGTGTAATTGGGGAAACAAAAAAAAAAGCCTTATCTGGATCAGGTAATTTATTATGAGCTTATGCCTGTCTAACAAGGCTTGCCTTGAGATGATAAGTATAGGTGTGAAATTATGGATGGCCTTACGTATATTCATGGTAACTATTAAGAAAGCAACTGAGGATGAAGGCTAGAAACCCTTGGGATATCTTTGCAGTAGAAAGAAGTAAACAGTTCTACTGAAGCTATTTACTAATGCCTTAATCAAAAATCTTTATAAAAATGCATTTATTCTAGTCTCCCACATTCAAAGCATCTGTTCACTATACAGACAATATTGAGACATGGAGTCACTGCAAATGCCCAGTGTCCAAGTCCTGCTGAACCCTCATCATTGACCTGGAAGTTTGAGCTCTATTCTGCAATCCTACCCCTAGCATGCTTTCTCTTCCAGTCCTCACAGTTCTTGTCCTCCATGAGCTCCTCTGCTTTTGGGTATCCCATTCTCCACCTCCACTCCTACACACTCAGGAGGTCAGCAGATCCCATTTCCACTACCTTATGGAGAAAATAGAAATCTTTTTTTTTTTTTTCTTGAGATGGAGTCTCTCTCTGTCACCCAGCCTGGAGTGTAGTGACATGATCTTGGCTCAATGCAACCTCCGCTTCCCAGGTTCAAGAGATTCTCCTGCTTCAGCCTCCCAAGTAGCTGGGATTACAGGTGCCCATCACCACACTTGGCTAATTTTTGTATTTTTAGTTGAGATGGGGTTTCACCATGTTAGACCAGGCTGGTCTTGAACTCCTGACCTCAGGTGATTTGCCCGCCTTGGCCTCCCAAAGTGCTGGAATTACAGGCATGAGCCACCATGCCCGGCCGAGGAAATTGAAATCTATCTCGCCTTCATGGTCCCCACTAACAAACATGAATATTTGTAGCTTCCCTCACTTTCTTCCTTCTAGACCCACCTTCTTCTCACATGTGTGATGGTTGCAGTGGTCCAGCTGTGAAAATGAACAGTCTAAAATGTCAAGAAAGGGCACAACACAATGGGAGTGTGTTTTTGTTCAACTATTACTGCAGGGATGTTTCTCGTTGTTCCATATTGAGGGTCTCTGCTTCCTTCGATTGTATGGTGCATCTCCTCCTATTGCTTCAGCTTTTCCATTCTGCTGGGAGAAGGGAAAAGCTTCTGCCTTAAAATGCCACATGTGATCTTTATGGCTGGAATTCAGTCACATGGCCACCCCTAATGAATGGGCATCTGAGAAAAGGAATCTGTTTCGCATCTGCAAGTCCAAGGAGAAATGAAAAGGAATGTATAGCCACTGTGCCTGACTAAGGATTCCTGCCTGCCTCTTGAGCTCACCCCTTCTCTCACCTCTACCTCAACACTTTGCTCCTTTTTTGCTGCATTATCTGTAATCACTCCTAACATGATGTCTCCTCAGCATATAAGCAAAATCATCTTCATTATTATCATCACCATCCACACTTGTTTAACACACATTCTTCTCCAGGTCAACAGCTGTTGGCCAGAGGTCATCATCAGCTTTTAGAGGCCACCTGTACCCCCTTCCTTATGTTCCCCGCCATCTTCAAAACTATTAATACCATGTCAAGTCCTTGTCAGGCTTCAAATATCTCTGTCCTGCCTCTTTCCCTTATCTGTCTGCCTTCTGCTTCTGCTAGTACAGACTCGTGTGATTACACTGGGCCCACCTGGACCACCCAGGATCACCTCCCTCTGTTAAAGTCAGGTGAATAGCAACATTAATTACAACTGCAAGTCCCTTCTGCCATGCATATAACATAATCACAAAGCTGGCACCGGGGGTGAAAGTCATAGTGAACAAAATTCTGCCTACCACATTGCATCAGGTTCCAACTTTGTAGTGTGTGTCAGAGCAGCCATTTCAATTCATTTCCTACGTTATTAACCTTCTGACTATACCATTAACTTTATGCCTAGGGAGACCATATGTCACAATTTGCCTGGGGCAGCTCTGGTTTATGTGTGCTATTTCAAGATTAGAATTCACAGCATCTCCTTTGATACTAGCTTGAACATTAAATCAGAGGTCACTTAATTGTATTCCATGCCCTGTCCCATTGTGTCCAGTTTTCTAGTTTCTAGAAATTCATTGTCTATTTCATGACTCTTTGCCTTTTTTAACAGCATTTATGCCTTCCACCTTTCAGCCTATCCTTCTCTTTGATGTCTTTCTGGGCATTTTCTAATTTCTCAGACACAGTTTACCTCCTCTATGAAGCCATCTTTATACCCATTTCTGATAATTTTCCATTTTTTTCTTTGTCCTGTCCCTGTACTTTTATATGCCAGTCTCATAGCAACTAAAACTTTTCTTTTTTTATTCCTGTCTTCTCTTATTAGGCTATAAGTTCTCAAGTCCAGGAAAGGTACCTTATCCTTCTTGATATTTACACACCCCAAATGGATCAGAGATAACCTGGTCCTTTCCATGATTTGGTCTGAAAAGGAAACAGGTGAACAGGCAACAGCCTGAGGCTCCAGGGAGTATATTTCAAAAGGAAACCCAACTCCCAAATAAACTCTTGACTTAGAGATTGGCTTGAAACTCACCAACTCTAGGTATCAATAACTGAAATGAAGACACAGTGTCCAGAACGTAAGAACCCATTCACCTGGAGCAGGAGATGTAGCTCGTCCATGCAAGGGTGGCATTAAAATGGAGATGAATTACAAACACATGTTTTCCTGAAGCTGTTGAAGCTTTGGTTCTTAAACAAAATCAAAGTTTACCATCTGCTGAAATAAGGTTGAGGTTTGTTAACATAGGGACTGGCTTCACCTTTACTCTCTTTGAAAGATTTGTGGGACAGTTTGCATTAGATGGTCATCAACAAGAACTGCAGTGTAGGTACACAAGAGGAAACATGGGCCATCGTCCTCCACCTCTCTCTTTGCATTTCAGGTGAGTCTGAGGAACAGGCTTTCTTAAAGCATATCAGGAAGCAGATTGACTGATATGCAGACTGCGTGACATCCGTTGCACTCTTGTGAACTGCCAGCCTGCTCTAAGTGCTGTGCATTGATACCATGGGTGTAATTGGATGGATGCAGTAAATGTGAATTGTAGGTAGCGGTATCAAAATTGCCATACGTGGCAGACTCTGTGCTAAATTTGTGCATTCTATAGTTTGGTGTTTCTATGCAAGGTAGCAACTAAGCTTCATTTCCTGAAACTCAGCAAAATAAATAAAAAAACCTTTCTGCATAGGAAAGCATTTCCACACTCCATATTATTTTTAGAGAAAAAAAAATGATGATTTGCAAATATAGTCAAATAAAAGTGCATTTCTAAATGGAACTGATTAGACTAGGTTCTTTGTAGCAAAACGTGTATTCAGTGTTTGGCTTTGTTCTCCCCACCACTGCCTGCCTGATCAATGGACTGCACAACTTTTAAAAACATAAGAACATTTTTTGTACTGTACCGCCCATGGTTTATTCTGTAGTTAGATTATTGCTTTTTTCGAATTTGGTAAAAAAAAAAAGGTGATGCTAACTTCTTTGCAATTGAGAGGCTTGTGGGTCTTTTTAATGACAGAATTTAAAATCTCTACGAGCAAAATTGTTTTGTAAGTAACTAATTATTATCTCAATAATTTTTACATTTTGTAAAACAACTACAACTCAAGCCATAATTAGGATCACTTGTATAAGTAACCAGTGAATCATGAGCTTCTTGAGGCTGTGTTGTAACTAGTTTTCCATATTTTCAAAGTGCCCTAAAAGGAAAAGAATGAAGGAAACTGGCATTTATTTGACCCTTTTATGTGATAAATACATGCTTTTACCTTTTTTTCATCAAGTCCTCATGTGAATAATACCTAACATTTATTAAGCAAATCCTCTGTGCCTAACATCAAATTTTTTACGTGGATGGTCACATTGACTTTTCACAATGCATCCAGAGGAAGGTGATACTATCCCTATTTTATAGACAGTGCATAGCATGGGGAAGCCACTTAACATTAATACAGTGTTTAGGCAGCAGAGGTGGGATGACATTGGGTGGGTATTTTTCTGTATGGAGAGATGACAAAGCTGAATGACAGAAACATTGGAACAGGATTTAATGTTATACAGATTATAAATGGAAATTTGTGAATTCGAACCCTGATTGGCACGATATCAAAGTCAGAGTTCTTTGGAGTATGCTGAGCACCTCTGCTGGGAGCAGTAGAGAAACATCCTAAGCCTATAAGGAAAAGAGACACTGAAAACTTCCACTGGAATCTGACACGAGAACCACTTCCACCTGACAGCTGCTAACAGCCGTTCTGGTATCCCACTTATTAGCAGAAGCGTATTTACCCATGGAGCTTTCCTTTCAACATGGTATTTCTAGAATTCACACTAACACTAACGGCAGATGAACTGGTCTGGAAGATCCAAGAGGGCTATTCTCACTTTCTTAGCATCTTGGCAGGAAATCTGGAATTCTGGACTAGGCAGGAACTGTCCATCAGAACACCTCCATGTGTCTTCCCCAGTACAGCAGTGAGGTGGTTGTTAGACTTACATAGCATCTCGGGTCTCACTGAGAAAGTGTTCCAAGAGAGCTGGAAAGAAGCTTCAAGGATTCATATGACCTAGTCTTGGAAGTCCAATAACATAATGTTTTTTTTTTTTTGTCCCACCTTCTGTTGGACAAGAAGTCAATAAAATGAGCCCACATTCAAGGTGAGGTGAATTTGCTTCCCTATTTCAATGGGAGAAATAGTAAGGAATTTCTGGCAATCTCCAATTTACTAAAGGAAGAAAAATATCAAATTGTAAGTAAACAGAATATCACACTATTAGTTATGGCAAAATGGTTGCTACAGGACTAGCCTACCTTCTGTAAACAACCATTAATAATTATTATTATAGTTATAATAATAATAATAAATGTAATGGATTGGAACCCATCAAATACCTCTGGCTAGAGTACTTAATTTAAATATTCAGCACTCAAGACAGTGTGATATTGGCATAAAGAAAGAACATTATTGAGAGCCCAAAACTGGAAATGCACAAATATTATTATTTGATTTTTGAGAAATATCAGAATTCAGTGGGAGAAAGGACAAACATAATTCAATCAGAAAAGAACAGGAATAGGACAATCTTTTAAATAAATGTTGGTAGAACAAGTTGATTCCACCTGGAAAAGGTAAATACCACCACCTCACACCATACACAAAAATAACTCAAAACTAAATATAGACAAAAAAGCAAAAATCATATTATAAACTTGTAAAAGAAAGGATAAGATAAAAATTTCAGACTTGTGGGGTGGGGAAACATTTCTTAGAATACAAAAGCACTAAGTGCTAAAAAATAAAAGATTACATTTCACCAAGATAAAATTTTGTTCTTCAAAAGGTTTCTCTAAGACCATGAAAATGTAAGCCACAGACTGAGAGAAAAATATTTGCAGTGCACATATCTGACAAAGAAAGTGTATTAATAATATGTAAAGAACCCTTAAAACTGAAAAATAAGAAGATGTAACCCAATTTAAAAAGAAACAATTCTGAACATACACATTGCAAAAAAGGACATATGAATGCTCAATAAGCAAGAAAAGAAAAGATGTTCAGTACCATTATTCTTCAAGGAAATTCAAGTTAATATACACCTACTAGAATTACTGAAATTAAATAATTTTCCTATGTTGCTAATGGGAATGTAAAATTACTCAGCTGTTGTGAAATCGTCCTCCATGGGTCTCTCCTAATACCACACGTTTTCTGGATACTTCAAAATATCTAGAAAAGTATCTAGTATCAAACTCTCCTACTTTTTATTATTTTTTAACCTGGGCCATTTCTCAGGGTTATGATTGCAATGAGCCACTTTGAGGGACGAGGAAATGTTTTTATCCAAGACAAAGTTTAGGTTTGCTCACCAGTTATCTTAAAATGAAGAGTTCCCCAAGATCACTCTTCCTCTCCTGTAATCTTCAGCCACCCATCTGGGCCCTCTGTGTCATCCCTGTGGGACGTGGACGATACAAAAAGCCAAGTCAAACATGATGCTCATGCTGATTGCTCTACTGTGGATGATAAAGTCCTGTTTCTCTGACCCAGAAGTTTTGTGTCTTCTGCTTGCATCCATAAGGCATTAATAAACTAACATGTTAGCTTATAAGTAGGTTAAAATCTCAGACCCTAACAATAGTCGCTTAGAGAAAGTTCTGCATTTCGTATTTCAATTTATGCATACCACATGACCAGAAAACCCCACTGTTAAACATTTCCCTAAGAAAAATAAATACATAAGTCCACAAAATAATTGTAGATGAATTTTATATAACTGGATTCAGTTGGTATATCTGTATACAAATTATGACTCAGCAATAAAAAAGGGCAAATCTGATGCAATGTGGACAAATCTTAAAAATATTACACTAAAACACAAAACATTGTGTCTTTCAAAGCCCGACACAAGAGAATGCATATTCTAAAATTCAATTTCTTATGATTTTCTAAAACTGAAAAGTAACTTGTAGTGACAGATTTTTATTTGTAAAGGCAAAAATTATGATATTTTGTTTTGGGGATGTTAAGTTTGAGATGTATCTTGAGATCACCAAGTGAAAATGTTGCATATTCAGTTATATGTTAATTTGTGAAGGAGCAACATTTTAGGGTAGAGATCAATCTGAAGCAGAGGCAAAGCAACAAGAGCAAAATGATGCAATTGTAGTTACTGAAGTCAAATGATGGTCACATTTTATAAAATCTGGAATGGTCCAGAAAGTTGAATATCCATGAGTCTTCTGATAAATTGGGAACGGAAAGGGTATCTGTTGCCTTTAGGGACACACATACGACTAATAACATTAAAGGGTGTTTACATGCATTGCCAGGATGAAATACAAAATGAAAAAGGTTGAGAAGCTGGAGGGAGCTCACAAAATGGGAATGGAGAGAACAAAACTATTTTTTTAAACTGATTATAAACAGTTGTTTAGCACTAGGGACATGGTAAATGGAGTGATAAGTAGCATTTAGGAAGGATCTTTAGCTATTTTATTTATTTTATTTTTTGAAGAGACCTATGCATGCATTGAAGCTGATAGAACTTATACAGGAAGGAAATCCAAGCTCATAATTTACATCTGAGGAGAAGGTAGGATATTTCTTCTTCTTTTCTTACTGTGGGAAGAAGGTAGCATTCTCTGCTAGCATACATTGATAGAAGGCTAAGAGACCAGAGAGAAGTTGAATTCAAATCTTCAAATATGATGGTCTGTTTTTGTCAGATTTCCCTAGGTTGGAGTGTGCTGTGGAATAGTCCCCAAATCTCAGTGGCTCACGGTAGCTTTTTTCTCACTGACATTGCATTTCACCTCTGGGTTAAATATGGTTTTTCTCCTCATGCCGTTTCACCAGATTGAAAGAGCAGCTTCTATTTGAAACGTCGTTCTCAGGCAAAAGGGAAAAGGGAGACAGCCAAACCATGCAACGGCCCTTAAAGCTCTTTCTCAGACATGCGGAAGTCTCCTGTTTTGAAAGGTGACAATCCTTCAAGCAGTGTAACAAAAGCAGAGGCTTGCACACAGAGAGAAGACAAAGTGCAAAGGCCTCAAGACCCAAACTGAATCTGCTGTTTAGGGAAGAGAAAACGCTAGTGAGTCAAGTGCAGCGATGGGGGATGATGGGATGAGAGATAGGAGCAAAGGTGACATCCTAATCAGTCATCCATGCATGGAAGGGCACAGACTGGCCCTTACCATTTGCCAAACACAGAGCCAGGCATAGGAAGAACATCATGGTTGAGATCAGAAGGCCCATGATGTGATGAAAGGGTGGAGGATTAGGACATGTAATCTTCCAATTACAGTTACAGTGAGGACCATGATGATGGTAATAGGGGAAGCCATGCAGTGCCCAGCATCCTCAGTGTGGTAAGTACAAAGAGGGAGGTGATGACAGGGTCACAGATACAACCTGCCTGCAGCATTATCTATGATAGATGTGTCCAGCTCTGGAAAAGCTTTCTAAACTATGGTAAGAAGTTTGGACTTCATTTAGAGGGTAATGGTAAGATACTGAATTATTTGAAGAAGTGAATAATATAATCGTAGCTCCATTGTAGAAAATAAAACCTCTAGAATAAATTCTTTTAACGAACAGATGGAAAAGATTAAAAGAATCTGGTCATATTTTAGGCAAGTAATTACAGTAGCCTGAAGTAAGGCTGTAATCACCACACTAGAGCAGAGTGAGTATATTTGAGAGGCATTAAGAGAATTGAAGCAATAGGATGTTGTGGCTGATCAGAAAAAAGGAGGCTGGTTAGTGATGAAGCAGAGGAGAAAGAAAATCAGGGATGATTACTACAAAACTTCTAGGAGGAATGGAGTTGTTGACAAAACATCTTCTAAACAAGGGAACACGAAGGACAAAGTATAGATATGGAGGTTATTTGAAGGTAATGATTTCAGTCTTGCAGCTTGAGATACCTGGTAGATATCAGGTAAATATCCTTTGTAAACCAAATAAAGCTGTAAGAGTGAGTCTGAACTGAGTGAAAGATTAAGAAGTCCTCAGCAATACCCTGGGATAAATAAGATTGTTTAGGGACTGTATGAGTTACCTGCTGTTAATTATGACAAGCCGTTGAAGGGCTTTAACCTAGAAAAATGGTTTCTATTTCAGAGAGAGTGTTCTGATAGCAGTATTAATGGGAAGCAGAATAACCAGGTGAGAATGTAATCTTCAATAGACAGAGTGAGAAATAATACAGGTTTTAACCAAGAAACTAGTCATGAGAATGACAGTGGGTATGAAAATACGTTAATAGCCTCAAGAGATGTTAAGAAACTTTGTAAATGGCACTTGGCAGTTGATTGAGTATAGCAGTTGAAGGAGTGAGAGGAGAAGTTGAGTTTCAGTTTCTTGATTATCATTTTTATAGTTACAATCAAGGTAGAGATGTATGAGAAATAGCCGGTTAAAGAAACAGCATTACTTTCAGACTATCTTTTATTTGAAATACACGTGGGGAAACCAGAAGGTGAAACCCCTTAGGAGATGGATATAGGATACTAAAATCTGAGTTAGAAAAATTTGAGCATCAGCACCTTACGTGTCATGCTAAGATAGTGAATGAGACTGCACAGGAATTGCATGCAGTTTAACGGAAAAAGAAGTCGAAAGATAAATTCCTAGAACACTAACACTGAGTTATGGGAGGAGAAATATCCTGCACAGGTCACTCTGGGAGACATGTCAATTGTTTAGCCAATATCCATTTAACTCATCTTTCTTCCTAATGAAAACCGAATTTGGAGAAGCAGGTAGTGCCCCTGGCTAGAAATATGAACCTTCCCAGCTTCTCTCATGCACTGAACTGACAAAGTTCAGGTCTGGCATAATTCAGGCCAAGGATACCTAAGGAGACATGGCTGCCAGGGTCTTAGGGACACTTTTCCTTTCTGATTCATTGAATAAAGAATTTAAAAAACAAACTAATTTTGTCCTTTTTTTTTTGTCTTAGACACACAAGCATTGTCCATGGCATTTCAAACCTGAGGTTCCCATAAGGCAACAAACATGAGAACAAAAGCCAAAATGATATGGAAGACGGAGCAGAAATAGGAAAATGCTTAGACCTCTGGCCACATTGCCAAAGGGCTGCACCAACCTTGAACTCCTTAACTCCAGATGTTAGGTTTGAAATCTGAAAAAAATTCTTGTTTATTTTGGTTATTGTTGCGTTTTTGAATCTCCTACAGTTAAATGCATTCTTAACGATGAAGATGCTGAGAAGAAACCTCACATACTGGAAGAGAACCAAGGGTGGATAGTTTCACCGAACAGAGGAGAGTATCCATGGGGTAAGAAGTCTAAAGTGAGGAGAGCCAAACGGAAATGTACTCCCAAGATAATTCACAGATAATGCTTCAGACTCAGTCAGAAAGCCACTCTTGCCCCAAGCTGTCAGAAAACTTTGGGTATAAAGGTCAAATTGCAGAGTTTTCAAGCATGAAACAGAGGTAAGAATCTGGAAACCATGAGAAATAGAAACTTTTTTTAAGCAGATTGTTTGAAGAAACAGTAAGGGGTAGGTTAACAGAAAGACTATAGCAGAGGAGTCAGCAATCTACTGGCCACCATTGGGCCACCTGTTTCTGTGAATAAAGTTCTACTGAAAAAAGTTATGCCCACTCATTTTTATATTGTCATAGCTGTTTTCATTGCAATCACATAGTTGAGTAATTGTGATAGAGTCCATATGGTCCACAGAGCCAAAAACATGTATGGATATAGAGCATCAGGGGAAGGTTTTGCTCTTTTTTTTTTTTTTTTTTTTTTTTTTTTAAAGACAGAGTCTCACTCTGCCACCTAGGCTGGAATGCAGTAGTGTGATCTCAGCTCACTGCAATCTCCGCCTCCCAGGTTCAAGTGATTCTCTTCCCTCAGCCTCCTGAGTAGCTGGGATTACAGGTACGTGCCACCATGCCTGGCTAATTTTGTATTTTTAGTAGAGACGGGGTTTCACCATGTTGATCAGGCTGATCTTGAACTCCTGACCTCCTGATCCACCCGCCTTGGCCTCCCAAAGTGCTGGGATTACAGGCGTGAGCCACCATGCCCAGCCTTGTTCTTGTTTTCAGGGAGAGAACAACATTGACATATGATATGGTTTGGCTGTGTGTAGGGACAGATCTCACGTTGAATTGTAATCCCCAGTGTTGGAGATGAGGCCTGGTGGGAGGTGATTGGATCATGGGGGTGGTTTCTAATGGTTAGCACCATCTCCTTAGTATTGTCTTGTGATAGAGTTCTCAGGAGACCTGGTTGTTTAAATGTGTGTGGCACCTCACGCACCCTTCGTGCTCCCACTATGTAAGACATGTCTGCTTTCCCTTCACCTTCTGCCATGATCATAAGTTTCCTGAGGCCGCCCCAACCATGCTTCCTGTACAGCCTGCAGAAACGTAAGCCAATTAAACTTCCTTTCTTTATGAATTACCCAGTTTCAGGTATTAATTTATAACAGTATGAGAAAGGACTAATACACCACACTTACAGGAATGGAGAAAAACTGCAGAAAAATGAGAGAAGTGGTTACATTATTAACACAATGACCTCAGAGGATGGGGTAGATGTGTTGGACGGGGTAGATGTGTTACCACAGTCCAGAGGAAGGATGATTTGTGATGGGGTACATGGGAAGTTGGAAGCTCCTTGTTTTCTTTCTGGAAAGGGGGTTTAAATATCCTATTAAAAGTGATTAGTAAGGACACCATGACACCATGATCTCAGGTTACCATCTCCAAAAATGCTGTCTGGGAAGTTCTAACAAAAGATTCTTTAATAAAGTAAACACAGGTATGATATATTTCTATGCTCCTAAAACTCCTAAAACACCCAAATCAATAAAAGTATTACCTGTTAAGAACAATATGCTTGGATTTAACACCAAATTTATTTATTTTTAGATAAAATTATATTTTATTTCATTATAGTTTTTCCTCCATGACTTTAAAACTCAGAAAGTTGTAGATCTGAAATAGACACCATTATCATTATTCAGTAACTAAAAAATAAATAAACAAATAAAGATCATTACAAGACTACCGGAATTTTGATAATAGAGAAAAGATAACAGGTAAAATTTGATCATGAGAATGAGACACACTCTCCTTCATGTTTTATGTATTAACATTACAAATAATGCACAAAGGAACCCTGTATAGACAGTCATGTGTGTTTAAGAAACATAGATTTAACAGATATCTTACTATTTCATTCAGGTTTTATGACAGATTGAAAGTATTTGCTCCCCTGTCCTATAGGAAGATCACACCTCCCACCCTGATGACATCAGGCTTGACCATGTGACCTGCATTGGCCAAGGAAATGTGAGCAGAAAGGATGTCTATTACTTTAAGAACCATCATATAACTCCTACTTTTTTCTAGGGAAACTTCAGTGTCACAAAGAGGGGACTCCTTCCACCTGGATCCAAAAGGGTAAAAGACACAAAGATCACAGTCAGTGGACCAGTGGAGAACTTTTCATGGGAGTGAGAAATACGCATCTGCTGTTAAGAGTCACTGACAGATGAAGATACTTTGTGTAAACCCATGGAAATATATTTTACTTGAAAATTATTTCATTAATCCTGATATTACTTAAACTTCCCCCTTCTTTTAAATTTTACACTAAAGAGGCCTACAGAAACACATACCAAGTAATGCAGTGGGATTTCCTTATGGAGTTGATATAAAAGAACAGAGATATCAGGTAATTCTAAACTCCCCAAAGACACCTGACCGCTTGACATGAACAAAAAATGTTTTATGATGTTAATTTATGGAGAACATGGGTTTTGATTTGTAAAAGAAGTTGGGATTTCCTTAATTAATATTTACTTCCCAGGAAGAAATTTTAAATCTGTGGTGTTAGAGGCTTTATATGACAAGATGGCTAAAATTATTCAGTTTGAAGACATATTGTTACATAATGACCCTCTGTGTGTGTAAATATATGTATTTATATGTATAAATACATACATACATTTATATGTGTGTATAATATATATGTATATATATTTGTATACATATATTTTTAAGGTGGAGTCCCGCTCTGTCGCCCAGGCTGGAGTGCAGTGGCTCAATATCCACCTACTGCAATCTCCACCTCCTGGGTTCAAGTGATTCTCCTGCCTCAGCCTCCCGAACAGCTGGGATTACAGGTGCCTGCCACCATGCCCTGCTAATTTTTGTATTTTTAGTACAGATGGGTTTCACCATGTTGGCCAAACTGGTCTCGAGCTCCTGACCTCAAGTGATCCACCGTCCTCTGCCTGTGAAAATGCTGGGATAACACGCATGAGGCACAGCACTTTGTATGGGGGCATATATCCATCATCACAAACATCACAAACATTTATTTTTGCTTTGTATTACAAACAATCCAATTATACTCTTTCAGTTCTATTAAAATGTACAATATATTACTGTCGACTGTTGTCACCTGTTACGCGATCAAATACTAGATTTTATTCACTGTAACTATATTATATGTGCGTATATATTGTATTTCAGTTTTTCAGATTATTTTGGATGATGATAATATTTTAGATTTCAGTCTCATGTTAGAAACCTGTATTAAAAAACATCAAGATATAGTTACTCGAAACTAATTTATTTTGATAAATATTACAAATGAGAATTTTTAAGATAAATTAACAAATCCTGTCAAGGTTTTAGATGTAGAATAAAAGTGTGAAAGATTAAAAAAAATAACTGTTACAGGGGATTATTTGGAGAGCAGAAGTGCAGATGAAAGATGCATTCACAAAAGAATCTAAAGTTGGCTGACCCAGAATAAAAGTAAGACTCTCAAACCATTTAGAATACTGGTTTAATGTTTTCTAGATGCAGTTTACAATCTATTAGCATCTCCAATAGAGATCTCTAGTACCTAGTATAGGTCAGTTTTTAAAACTCGGATTGAGGTTTCAATATCTGGGGAGGAAATAGTGGGAGAAAATTATTTATGTATTCTATTGGGCTATTAGAGGAGGGCTAATTATTGCGTTACTTAGAGCCTCAAGGCTTCTTTAGTAATATTTTATGAGTGCTTAAATCATGATATTCAAAAGGAGGGTTGAGTTATATGAAACAGCAAGAATGTAGACATGACATAATGAGTGTGAGAATTTGCACAAAATATTCAAATGACCTGAATAGCTATCCTAGTTCATTCCTTTAAATATTAAAAGCTAGATGTCAAGTTGTCTCAATTTAAAAACCACTTAAAAAGCTGTATCAGCCATTTCAAAAATAGGACCTATTATACATATAAAGCAGTGTAGTTCTATATTGGTTCATGTAAACTTCCTAATTAATAAAATCAACAACAGCCGTGACTTGAGTTTCCAGGAAACTCTAGATAAGTTCCTTAATATGTTGAGTACTTGTAAAATAATTAAAACATATTTTTGCTCTTTACAGGAGAATTCAGTTACATTGTTATCTTACCTCGAATACTGAATGTCATCAGGTCTATGTAACTTATTCAGGTTGAATCTTGAATATATCAAGAATATATTCAGAATATACACCCTGGAAATATTCAAAATAGCATTGGAATAAGATATAACTTATTCAGGGAAATCTTGGAGTCACAGTTGACTTTCTTTTACATGTCTTAATCCCCTCATGTAGTTGCTAAGAACTGCTGATTCAGGCTTCTTAAATTCCCTCACAGCAACCCCCCTGCCGGCACATTAAACTAGTACATGAGACAAACACCTGCAATGACCTGCTCACTGGAGACTTCTCGCCAACCACCCATGCATGCCAGCTGGCTGCTTCCAAAATACGATTTTGCTTATGTTGAATCCATTCTCAGGATTTCAGAGGCTCCTCACTGCCTACAAAATTCAAATTCCTCGGTCTTACTTTAGAGACACTGATATCAATTATTTCATTACTTTATCTGCTTCACTTTTACTCTCCCCTCTGTGAAAGTTTCATTCTGACCAACGCAGACTACTGGCCTTCTGGAATATTTGTTAATTATTAAACTTTACCCAGTATTTATTTCTGCATATTATTTTCATTAAAAATTACTTATATTTTTTGAAAAGAAATCCCATATTTATTCATTACCTAAATTACCAAGACACTAAATTATATTAGACATCATTGTGAAATCATTAATAAGATGTACTCCCTTATCAAAGTTTTTTTGTTTTTTTTTTAGTTTTATTATTGTTATACTTTAAGTTTTAGGGTACATGTGCACAACGTGCAGGTTTGTTACATATCTATCTTTTAATATAGAACTTCAAAACCTAGGAAGCTTCCTTAACCATTGATACTGCATTATTTCATACCGCTGTGTTTCAGAAATTTGTATTTCTTACTCACCAGCATAAAAATTTCATTTGGAGGCTTGTGGTTAATTAATTTCTGTCACCCTCAGTCACTTCCCAAAGTCCATCTGTAATATATAGCACATCTTATCTCCAAATAAATGTTACGGCAGCAGTCAGAAACCCACATCACTAATAGGGTTTAGCCAAATTTGAGTAGAAGCCTTTTGACTGGGAGGGTCAGATAGAATTCACTCAGTAAAGATTTTTCATTAATAACATCTTGAAAAGTTCTTTAATTCAGGATTGTACAACAATTATGATGGCATGAGAGTGAACTATCCCACCATGAAATTAAAGCTTTAAGTATATTATTATATGACTAACTTAACCCTTCCTCATAAAGCCCTTAGTACAGCACCTGCTGTATAACACTCTGTTAATATCAGTTTTCATCCTTGTTTAGGCCCATGCCACCTACATTAAAGGTGAACACTGTGTAGTGGACTAACGACAACAACCACCTATTGGTATTTCTTCACATGAACTATGAGAAAACACTTTGGCAGGTGCAGGCTAGAAAATTACTTTCACGCGTATTCTCATTTAAATTTCTAACTTTTGATGACCTTCTGTGAGTCTCTCCTTCTTGTCATAAACTTGTCTTCACACACACACACACACACACACACACACACAGAGAGACGCACGCACACACAAGCACACATACACAGAGTATCAAGGATATTCTGTTGGAAATTCGGAGTTCGTACTTGATAATTGCCTGTTAATATATTGTTTTCTGCTGGCAACAGTTATTGTTTAAGAGTGTACTTGTGACCTAAATACACGACTATAAGAGGAGGAGTAGGAAGAAAGAGGGATAAGCCAGAGCTAACATAAAATTATAGAAATTTACATCATCTAAAAATACAGTCTGATTATGGTTACTGATGAAGGGAAAAGATTTGGCAGAGGTAAGATGTTGGAGATCCACAAGAGAAGGATAATGACTGACAATGCAAGATGTCTGAAGCAGTAGCCAAGGTTGAAACAGATTGACATTGTACAAAGAAAAGGGGAATAAAGTGGAAGGAGAAGGGAGGATGTAAATTGATATGATTTAGGCATGACAGGGCCACAGTTGTATGCCCTACTAGCTGATAGTATTGACTGTCTCTGTGAAGCAGCATGTGAGGTATATTCTGAATACACAGGAAAGGAGAGCTTGGAAATAAACTTTTAATAATCAGGGAATGTATAACCCTACAGAAAAAGCACGTCAAATGCTGACCCAGAATAGAAACATATTTTCTCTACAGCACTGTGGGCTCAGGAAGGATTTAGATGGCAAGAATTCAAATTAGACCAATTCACATAATTACAGCATTGTGTTCAATACAAGGATGGAGCCTAAAAAGAGAGAACATAGGATTGATCTGATGTGTAGGTTTTAGGGCCAGGTAGAAATGAAGAACAAAAGATGATGGAGTCAATTATACAACAAGAGAGAAATGATAGGTATTTATGATATACAGGCTGAGAAGAAAAGAGAGGAATGACTGAAGAGAGGGATGTCTGAAGAAGTGATACCTGATAAGAATGGAGGAGTTACAAAGCTGGAGGACTTCATGTAAGGAGGTGTATGTGCTCTTAAAACATAAAGTTTATGGTTTATGTTTGGAGGATATTTATTTCAGATGAACTGAAATAACGATCATGAAATTTTAGTCTTGACACAGTTGTCAGCCAAATGTGTAACCTTGAATAGGTCCTGACATACTCTGCACCTGAGAATTTTGATCTGTGAAAATAGAGGAGACTTGGAGACCTCTGAAGAAATCCCAGTTGCAATATTGAGTGATTAAAGAATCAATAAATCATCTTTCAAAACAAAATAAAGGACAGTCTTCATTTAAGAATGCCTCTTAAAAAATTTCTAATTTGAAGCTCTTCTACATGGCTGGCTTTGGCTTTCTTGGTGTCTGTTCATTCAATTTTACCGCTGATCACTCTCTTCTCCTCAAATATGCTCCTATTTCTCTGACCTTTCATTCTTCAGCTCCTTGACAGGCTCTGTATCTTTAATTCATTCATTAAATATTGGGCAGCATCCAAATGTCTTCTATTTGCTTACTTCTCATTCAAAACACTCTCCCTGGATGATCTCAGCCACTCTTATTGTTTTGACTGCCACGTGCATACTGATGACCCTGGAGCAGACACTGAATGCCTAGATTCTTCTACAGGGCTCTGCACACATGTATTGTAAGTTACCTGTTAGACCTGCCCACCGAAATGTCTCGTACACATCAAATTTATCATATTTAAAATGACTCTTTTCCTCTACAAGCATTTTCCTTCAGGTACGATTTCTGTTTCTCTTAATGCATTTCCACACACTATGACACTAAGTCAGAAAACCAGGTCATGCTCCCCCACTTCTCATTTCCCCATCCACTAAATTTAATTATCTCCCAGTCGTAAGAGCCTATGTATTAAGGAGGACCTGACTCTGTTTTCACCTCAAGAAACCTACTTCTGCCTTCTTCATTTGGGTTTCATTTCTAGCCTGGACTTTGGTAATAGCCTCAGCATTGCCTCACTAAAGGCAATAATATAATAGCCTCAGCATTGCCTCACTAAAGGCAATAATATATTCTTCCTGTTCCCAAGTGATATGCCACACTCTGGCCAGAAGGAATTCTCATATAAATAAGGTAAAAATGCTGCTCACCTATGAAAATTATTTTGTTGGTACTCTATTCGTGATAAAATACATCTTCAGCTTTTTCTGTGCTAATACAAGATCCTTGAAGATCTAATTTCTACCAATCATTGCCTCTTCTCTCTCATACTTTTGGGTTAAGCAATGAGGCTTCTTGCAGTTCTCTGAACATCTATGCTGTTTTAGTTATCGTCTTGTTAGAATTGATCTTCACTTCTCTTTGAAGACTTTCTCCATCATCTGCATGGATGATCCCCATTCATCCTTCAAGAGTTGGGATGAGAAAACCACATCCTATAAATCTGTTCATGTCCATATGTCCTAGAACATGGCTGGCTCTTGCGAAGTATTTTACTCTGATGGAATGTGGGAAGCAAAGAAATATACATAATGTAGGTAGACATGAATATGGCTAAAGGTTCAAAGGAGGATGACTTGTTGGTTATTTTACCAATGGCTTTTATCCAAGGGCAATGCATTTAATGAGTGAGCTCTGAATCATAGAAGATTTTCTGATATGGCAAAGAAAAGAAAATATTGAGGGCCAGCAGATCTGATTTATCATTTTGTTGTGTTTACTGTTTGCCTCTCAACATGCATTCCCACTCTTGCATCAACATTGATTTAATTTTTCTTGAGGTAGAGGAACCAATCCTCCCTTTCTTAAGATCTTTGTATTTGGCTGAAACTGTCTACAAGTATAGGATCCTAGGTGAGCCAGTTAATATATTGTTTTCTATTGGCAACAGTGATTGTTTAAGAATGCACATGCGACTGAATACCCAACTATGAATTTCCTAAGAAAAAGATATCCACTCTTTTTTCAGTGGATGCCAAGGAAGAACTGCATACCCTTACAAGGTGCTAGCGACCATCTCAAGTTTATGAGGAGAGCCAGCCCTACAACAAAACCAACATCCAAGATGGAGAGCAGACAGCTGGACAGAAACTATCTGCATTGAAATCCACACATCTGCTTTGCCACTTGATTGATGGATGACATTGGCAAAAATGTTTGTCTTGTTTCTTCTGAAATCTGTAGATAAATTCATGATCCAAAGACATTAGGATTGACTTGTGCTGTCAGCGTAAAACTAATAGTTGTTTTTAGTGTGAAAATTCTCTGAAGGAATATGACTGCTGTTTGGTTGGCAAGAATATTTGACAAATTATTTCTTCCAGGTGAGCATGGCACTGAATGAAGAGGAAATTTGCACAATAAGAATTCAGAAGGTTACATTTCCTCTGAATTCTGGTTTTCATTGCGTAAGTGAGAACTCCACTACTTATGGGGACAGTATAAAAGTAATCAGAGTAATAGTGGTTATTATGAATGCAGGAAAAGGCAGATACCTCAAAAAGATGACCTGATCATGTCCACAAAACCTAATTCCATTGTTAGGGTAATTTTCTTGTTTACTAACCATGGTAATTGCCTAAATCAGAACAAAATCTGCTTATTGTTTAATAAGATAACAGATTTAGATTGGCATCTCAGAAGAAAAGATCAGTGAATAACACATCATTTTCCCCCAATTTAAAAGATAAAAACTAAAACAAATGAGAAGTCATGAAGCTGAATGTCCTGGATGTATCCACACCCTCTAGGAACAACTGAACAAATCTTTCCTGGAAACGGTGTTTAATTACTCAGAGCAGTGTCACATTAATATAGAAGCTGTGCATGTCTTCCGTATATACTCTGTCCTTTTCTGTGTGAATTTTTTAAAGTGGAATTATTAACTAATCATGCTGCTCCCATATTACCTGATTATTACCAGATTTCCCAAGTAATTCATCAAAATTGCCTGGGTCAAACTTCTCTGTTACTCTTAGTGCTGCCCATTCTCATTGGTTTTATCTATTTGTTTCATTTGTTAATGTGTTTTAGGCAACCATATTTACTTTCATTTTTATTTTACTACCTATTTTTGGTCTCATAGATTTCTCCTGTAAAGTTTTTGCACTTCCAATTTACATGACTTTCTTTTTCAATCATGAGTCACATCATTTTTCATATTTAAACATTGTTCTTTCCAAACGTTACTCATAGACTTCTTGGTTTCTGATCTACATGTGTAATGAGAATGTCACTAGGGTTGCATCCTTCAGTACTTTCAAGAATTCTGGTGAGAAAATTCTCAGTTGTAATGACATTGTATCAGATTCCCTTTCAAGTCTCTTTTAAATCTAATACACTTCTTGAAAACTTTAGAAACTGCATTGAACAAATTAAATGACCTAACTTTTCGGTGACTCAGGCTTCACATTTTAACCATATAATTGATGTGATTATTACTACGGAATCATTTTTTGAACCAGCTGCTGGAGCATCCATATTCTATAAATATAGGTTCAGTTTTCCTGAGAAGGAAAAGTTATAAGAATCAAATGTTTAAAAGGTGATTTATGAGTTGAAAATAATACACTCCCAATAGAATTCGAGATTCTAAAAGTGAGGTAAATACCTTAGTACACATAAAAATGCCAATATTAAGAAAAAAATTATAATTTTATATAGTTTTATATAATTTAAATTTTCTACTTTACAGTGTAGGAAACTTACAATTCATGTCATTTTTACAAAAGGAAATATTTATCTAAATTTCTTACCATTTTTGTCTCAGTTTCATAAAAGTCAACAGTTGTCTAAACGTCTTAGGATCCTTTTGTCCATTTGATACTAATGCCTAGGGTTGGTTTGTCCAACAGGCTCTGTCCTTCCCCAGTGCCATCAGTGAGTGGGGCTCTATGTCAGCCAACCGGGAACAAGAATAATGCCTGGAAATGCTTTTGTGTCAATTCAGACTCTGTGACACAACATAAAGGGAATCTTTTAACGGAGCACCTCCAAAAGAGAAGGGAAGTAGCAGTTGAAAATAAATGAATCACAACTTTTTTATTAATTCAAAGCACATACGGTTTACTAAAAGTAACCCAAACATAATTTCATCATCGAGAAAACCTAAGTATGTATTATATGTGAAAGCATAGAAAACCCCATACTTCTGGCCATGTCTTGTAACCAGCGGCTCATGCTTGTAATCTCAGCACTTTGAAAGGTCAAGGTGCTGGCCTCCCACCTTCAGGTGGGAGGATTACTTGAGTCCAGGAGTTTGAAGCCAGGAGTTTGAGATCAGCCTTGGCAACATAGCCAGACCCCATGTCTAAAAAAATAAAATAAAATAAAAAATTAGCCAAGCATGTAGCCCCAGCTACTTGGGAGACTGAGGCAGAAGGATGGCTTGAGTCCAGGAGTTCAAGGCTACAGTGAGCTATGATGAAGCCACTTCACTCCAGCCTGGGCAACAGAGCAAGACCCTGTCTCTAAGAAACAAGACAAAACAAACAAATAAACAAATAAAGGCATACTTCCTCTAGAGGGGAAAATGTCATTTTAAAAGCCTTATAATACCTGAAGATAAGTGCTAACTTCTAAGCAAAATGCTAAACATAGAGAAGTTAAGAACCAATTATACATCAAATCCCAATGAATGCAGAGTACATAGGTGGCTTCTGTGATAATTAATGAGTGTATTCCATGAAGGATCAGCAAAGCCCCAACAGGAGTAGCTCAGTTTAGCGTCTCTATCTCAATTCCAAGTGCTCTTTCTTTTCTATTAAGAGAATTCTCTTTCCAGCCTACCCTAGAAGTCATTGGTTTTGCTTGGAATGGTTGTTTCTGCATTCACTTCTACCTGAAAAACACTTTCCCAATGACCAAAGCAATTATCTTCTTCATTATTGCATACTTTCTGCAGTGAAAGTCCTTATAACTTAAATTCAAAAAGTACATTTGGAGACAGATAGCTAATACACCCTTAAGTTTTAAGTAGGTTTTTGTATTTAACGATTCTGTCTGAATAACCTGCATTTTGCCAGTGTTTTGTGAAAGACTGAATGATTCGTACCAGCACTCCACTCCCCCGTAGTACATCGACAGCTTTACCATGGCTTGTTGGTTGGTGGCATGTACTTCCCAGTCCTTGCATTTTGACTTCATCAAGTGTGCTTATGTAGTTAAGCTTCATTCATTCATAAGCTCCTCTCAGTGCCTTTAAAGAACATGCCACTGCCTGGGCTTCTCCAAACACTTCAGTCTGTGCCTCGTAATGAAACGTGATGAGCCAAGCTCAGCCAGCTTGCAGCCTGAAGCAGATCCATCCTCCCAGCTCAGCCAAGTCAAGAGTAGCCAAAACTCAGCCAACCACAGAACAGAGAGCTCCAGAGTAATATTTGTTGTTCGAAGCCATGAAATTTTTGAATGGGTGATTATGCAGCATTATCGTCATGATATTTGAAAAAGAATAACTTATCACTGCAAGTTCTTGATCACGTTTTTTAAACGAACTTTTTAATCTATCTCTAATAAATCAAGGTATATAAAAATATTTCTTTCTTTCAAATCGTCTCTCTGATTTAAAGTGCCCTCTGCATTCTATCAATCATCTTCTAGTTTTATTTCTCATTACATTAAACTACAATATTAGTTACTAAATTAGCTTTGAAGGCTGTCTCCCTTTCTTCATACTCCTATGTATGTTGTATGTGGCTCATTCCTCTATGAATCCAGTCCAATATCTTAAAGGTAAAATGATGTGATGATGTCCCGACTTCTGAAGGGCAGAAGATAAAGCATTGAATTGTTTTACTTTCCAGGAGAAACCCTCAAAAACACAGGAAAATGAATGGGAATTGAGAATGAGAAATTCAAGTCTGCACTGCCTGACTTCAGGTTTATTTTTCTATGAAAAAATTATAAAAACATTATTTTTATTTATTTATTTATTTTTGAGATGGAGTCTCATCCTGTCACCCAGGCTGGAGTGTAGTGGTGCTATCTCAGATCACTGCAATCTCCACTTGCCAGGTTCCAGCGATTCTCCTGCTTCAAGCTTCCCCAGTATCTGAGATTGCAGGTGCCCGTCGCCACACCCAGCTAATTTTGTATTTTTAGTAGAGATGGCATTTCATCATGTTGGCCAAGCTGGTCTCGAACTCCTGACCTCAGGTTATCCACCTGGCTTAGCCTCCCAAAATGTTGGGATTACAGGCGTGAGCCACCACGCCTGGCCTAAACACATTATTTATTTGAATCACAGTCTATAGGCATATTTGTAACATGTAGCAAAAAATATTTCTTCCCGATGCAGATTTCTAGCACAATGTGTGGTTGGCATCCCTCACAAAACCCCCACACCATTTTCAGAATAGTATCGTATCTGGGGTATTGTAATCGAGGCACATCCTTACTCTCATTCCTAACAACTCTTTCTTTTAAGAAACTGACATATTACTCATCGGTGAGTCTATGTTTGGTACTATCTTGTGACTGGATTGCTACTATTTTTCCTTTGGAAGAGTTTGCCATCACCCCCATGATCTGAGCCACAACCACAAGACCCCATCTGGAAAAGTGATGTGCTGCCATTTAGTTTCATTCCATGAAATTTTCCAAGGCCATTTTGCATTTCAACAAAGTGTGACTTTATGTCGCTCACACATATAGATGAGGGTTTTTTTTTTCTTTTTAGAGATTTCACTGATATTCCAAAAAATATTTCTAAACTCTTCATTTTCTTCATTATTACTCAGTTTAGCCTGATAAGATTAGTAAAAGCTAACTTTCCATCTCATAAATTTAAAAATATATAAAAATTATTGATGTTTCTTTTAAAAATATGAGATAGCTATTTTTAAGGCCTAAGATTTCTAGTTAGTTTCAGCAAGCACTCAGTACCTCGTTTAATTTAAATAACATTACCCCAGAAGATAAAAATATAACAAACGATATTGTAAACAGTTTAAGGGTATTTAAATGATTTATAACTTCAAAAATATCCTATTTGTCTAACTTTATACAGGAAAACAATAAGAAACATGATTCCTATCAATTTGTTTTAATACATTTAAAAGCAGATTCTTCTCCATCACTAAAGCATGTTTGACTTTGAATAAATGGCTTAAACTGAAAAAAAAAAAAAACTTCTTTTTAAAATTGAGAGGTTACACAAGATTTGTGGAGATTCAGTAGAATCACAGGGAATTACTTTCAAAATCACTGGCATTTATCTACCCAGAAAGTCAAAGGCAGAGCCCAGTATCTGTGCTTTATGATAACTCCCTTGGCAATTCTACGGTACAACTCTGTTGGCAAGCCTGTTGGATTTAATCATTTCTGAGCACTCGGTCAAATATATTATTTTATGATTCCTAGTTTACCTTCTAATAAGGGGACGGCTTGAGATGTCTCTTAATTCCTTCACCCTTAAATATAGGTCATTTTGCAGAATTTCAGTTTTCCTTCTTGGGGGACTCAAGAGAGTCCAGGCTAAACTCATGATGTAATTTAACTGCTGTGTCACTTGAGATAAAAGAAAGCTGAGAGATTTAGAAAACTAATCTAAGCCTGGAAAAACCATCTCAGGAGTGATAGATATCCAGAAAGATGCAGGGTGGAGTAAAATTTTAAGAAGATTCTCTACCAAATTTTAGGAAGCACTTTTAAAGTACTCTAATGTGGCAAACCGCTATAATTCCTTCTTATACAAAAGGAACAAAAGAAAAGTGCGGTCGCTAGATACTATTTGATAAATAAGAAGACAGAATTAAAGGAGATATTCTTTTGGAGATGATTTCTCTTGCAGCATTAAATCTTTGACACTAAGACCATTTTCTATGCATACATTCCAAATCTAACATCCAGAGAAAGACGAACGTAGGTGATATTGTTTTAGTGTCAATTTTTATGTTTCTTTACTCCTTGAGTATTTTTTTTTGTAAAAGAATGGTAACAATGACTTTAATGAGAGTATGAATTCAATACCTGGTTAATTTTACTGTTTGGTGAAAAAACAAAGGAGTCTCAGAATGTTATTCCTCTACAAAGGCAAAAGAATGTTTAGCACCACGTTTAGTTGGGCTCTGAGGAGGGACTCTACAAGTAAGCTAATAAAAAATATTATGTCTGGATAAAATTTAGCTAACTCCTTATAGGATGAGTCTGGCAGTATCACCACTTACTAACTGTTAAAAGCGGCTTTTCAGTTTTATATTCAGTTGAAGGAAAAAAGAAAATGATAAAGAGTCAGTAGGGACCCAACACCTACCAAGAGTTCCAGGACCTCCCGTGCCAAGAGCACATTCATATTCATGCATTACATTTAAGGGCTCCCAGAGTAAATATTTTCCATGCCCCCCACAGCTATATTCCCCATAAGTAGACAAATTAGTGAAGGTGGATTCTGGAGCTGTACATAAATATTCAACTAGTGTCTGTATTTATGCCCCAGCTTACAAATAACTAATGGTCGGCTGAGCCAAAATAACCATATAAGCGAGACATGTAGAAGGATTGCTGATTTCATTTATTATACCACCTGTGAACCTCCTAGGGGAAGGGCAGTCTAGTGAAATATTTTGGTGTGCTGACACAATTTTGTACTTGTTTATGAGGCTACACCAGCCTATTCCTAATTTCCTGTTGTAATTCTCTGCTTCAAAGGCCAAGTCCACACATGGGAAGAATATTTTCTGCAAACAGTCTTCTCACAGCTCTGCTGTCTCTGTCTCTCCAGTTGCCTCCCTGGGCATTCTCTTCCCCTTTATGCTCTTAACAGTCATAAGGGATTCAAGTTAGCATTTGAGTCAGAACAAAACCAATAACTATAGAGGTTTAGTTGGCTATGTCAATTACCTGGTTCTGATTCTTCTTGAATATGTAGGAGAAAAATTATCTTTTCTAATTCATGAGCTACTAATGACACTGGGAAGAGGTTTTACCCCAATGCATTTCATCAAAAGATCAAATGGAGACAAACTAATCTTACTGTTGAGCTCACAGTCTCCCTACAATCCTGTTTCCATCCTAAAGCAAAGTCTTGATGTAAAGCAGACAACCTGGAAATATTAGTGCTATCCCTCAGGAAGCAGGGACAGCATCCTCTCCTGGAGGAGTAGTTATTGCATTTTTTAAGGATTCATATAAAAATGCTCTAATCCTAGCTGGAAAGCTCAATGTTACTAACACTGGGGCAGGCAAGGTAGTAGCTTCTGTCATTACATCTATCAAAGAATACCTGAAATATTGCATATTATTATGACTTTCTACTTTAATTTATTGTTTCTTGTTCATTATATACAATTTCAATGTCGATTGGATATGTTCCTGTTTAGTATTAACATTTACAGCTTGATATTTTGAATTTTGAATGTTTGCTTTACCTCAATATTAAGAAGTATTTTAAAAGATGTGTATTTTTGACATCAAATGCTTAGATTTCCTAAAGGGCAGCCAGAATATATATGCCAGTCAAGTGGAATCCATTACTCAACCAAAGACAAAAATAGAGCAGTAAGAGATGCCATTGCCTTTTCTGATGATATTGGACAAGTTGGAAAGCTAATGGCCCAAATGAGTTTGAGTTGGACCAGAAAACTGGAATCAATAACATCTGGATGTTCTCACTCAAAACAATTTCCACAATTCCCTAACTGCTGATGAACGACAGAATTCTACTATTAAACAATGATCAGTTTCACTGTACGTCAATGATTTTTCCACTTTTTGTCAAATAAATTCTGGTATCATGATAAACAGCAAAGAATTTAATACTGCCTGGCCACTGGCTTAAAAAAATTTTAGAAAAAAATGAACATGCAAATAAAAATGGTAATTAGAGTCCAAGGGGCACATTGCTTAACTAATTTGTTTGTTGTGCTTAAATATTGCAAAGGTTTCTGGTATGAGCATCATGTTGTACCATATGTGATCCTGTTTTGCTTACACCAAAATAATTGTGATTGCCTGAGCTTTTGAATCAATCTCTTCCTTTTTGTATAAGCCCTGATCATCACATTATTTAAAATGTCAGTATGAGTCTACAGGCTAACATTAAGTATATTTCTTCTTAAAGTGATTTTTTTGTCTTGTAATGTACACATTTTTATCCATGTTTGAATATTTAAGGGGCACTTTCCAAAGCCACTCCTGAAGAAATTCAACTTTTTTTGTTTTATCTAATTATCTTATAAATTAATACAACAAGTGAGCTCATTAAGTGCAAACGAGGAAGAGGGAGAAGATGTTGCTAGAACTTAATTAGCAAGATACAAAGACACCAATTAACATCTATAGCTCAGGAAAAAAAATTTTTTTTCATGTGGTAGCATCAGAAAATAAAATCACAGCTGGTTACACATAGTAAGTAGAGTGCAGATGAATTTCAGTTGTCTGTGATATTAAGCCCTCAGGAGTAAGTAAAAAGGGGGCTGAGGAAGCAAGAAAAATTATCTAGGCTGGCCAATAAAGCACCATTTTGTAAATTTGAATGTCTTCTATTTGAGTGTTTAGATGACAGTCTATATTGAAGGGCAAAATTCTATACAAATTCCAAGCCAATAATATTTTATTGTTTCAATCCTTTCTACAGGTATGTTCTCTAAATCACACTGTAAATATTTAACTTATAATGATCACTTCTGTTGATTTTATCAATAATTATTTCATCAGACCAAATAATTTGTATGCTCAGCATGGTAGCTCATGCCTGTAATCCCAGCAACTCAGGAGGCTGAGGCAAGAAGGTGGCTTGAGCCCAGGAATTTGAAGCTGCAGTGAGATATGATTTTGCCACAGCACTCCAGTCTTGGTTACAGAGTGAGACTTTGTCTCTAAAAATAAATAATAATAATAATAATTTTAAAAGAATCTAATAACTTATGTGTAAAATAAACTTCATAAGACATAAATCTTCATAGTTTCCGTATTTGAAGGAGTCATGAAATTAAAAGAGAGTTTTTGTTTTAGTTTTCTAAGGAAGGGCTACAAGTAGTTCAAAACCAACATATATTAGTATGACTTGAAATGTATTTCATTTCCATTTAAAAGGAAACTGTGTAGTAACTCAAATTTTGTGCTTCTCAAGATAACTTAAACTGGGTTCTTACACTTACGTCTAAGTTTATAATTAAGGCAGAGGGGTTAAATCCCAAATGTGTAATCAGCGTGTTCCAGTAACTTTCAAAAAATAAAGGAAGTTTTCGAAGTATTCATCTAAAATAATGTTGTGCCAATCCTTCCTGGGGTAACATTTTTTCACTTTTATTTGAGGACAATTTCAAGCTTACAGAAAAATTGCAACAATAGTACACAGAGCTACCATAAGTGCTTTTCCCGGATGTACTGACTGTTGCATCATCTCCGTGTGCGCTGTGTGTGTGCAAGCCTGTACATCCACACACTCAGAGCTCCCCTAAATCCTTTTCCTGGGTGTACTGACTGTTACGTCACCCTCGTGTGCACTGTGTGGTGTGCATGCTTGTACACCCACGCACTCACTCGGAGCTGCCATAAATCCTTTTCCTGGATGTACTGACTGTTGCGTCACCCCTGTGTGCACTGTGTGGTGTGCATGCTCGTACGCCCACGCACTCACTGCCAAGTGCAAGTCACTGACACACGGACCCTACAACCCTTAGTACTAACTACAAGGGCATCCTCTTTGTTAACCACAAGCTACCGTTTCAGGAAACAGAATGTTGATAGAAAACCTTTATTTGATCTACCTTCCAGATTTCAGTTTTATGAATTGACCAAGTTAATGTCTTTGATAGCTTATGTTACATCACATAGAGGATTCGGTCGTAATGTCTCTTGAGTCTCCTTTAAACTGGAATGGGTCCTCAGCTCTTTGTTTTTTTTCATGGCATTGGCATATTTGAAAAAAAGTTTAATAGTAAAGTGTTCTTGGTTTACAGTTTGTGTGATGTTTCCTAAAAATGTGGTTCATTTTCCTCATATTACTACTTAAGTGATGTGGTTTCCTTCTGAGTATCAGAACCGGAGCCACGCAGTTATCCATTGACCCTTCATTGATAATGTCAACCATTTTTACATTACTCTTGTCTAGTTTATTCACTACTTAGATCTATGAGATAACTTTAAAGATGGCCATATTTCGTCTGATGATCATTATGACTTTAAACAACACATCATATATTCTAATGAGTCACAGTGCATAACCTACATAGTAATCAAATTAGATATATTTAAGTTTTAGAATTCTATTGGCAAAACCTACGATATCCTAATATAAAAATTTTAATTCATATTAAGCTCAACAAAATTTCCATTGTTTTTAATGATTATAAAATGCAGAAACATTAAGTAAAAATCCATGGTTTTAAGATTAGGTAGAACTTTTTTAAATGTTCTGTGTACAACCTGTACCAATTTAAATTATGTTTGTTATTTCCTATAAGACCATATGAACAAACTCACACACTTATCAAATAACTGACTACATTTCTCTACTTTCATAAGATACTTTATCTACATTATTGTTAATAAGAAGATGGGCAAGTAACTTATTGCCTGGTTAGGAAGATAAAATAATTGTATATATCTGTGCAGTATGGAGTAAAAAGTGTATGTAATGAAAATAAAGGCGTGGCTAGTATGTCATTCTTTGGCCAATCTATTTTCGTCATTGAAACTCAGATCAAGGTCAAGAATCAGAATGACCCTAAGTGCCCTCTGTGTCACGTTATATTTTACATGATATATTTTATACATTCGGCTTCTAAGCCTGCTTAAAATGATTCTGGGACCTCATGTCACTTATCTCTGGGGTAAGAGGCACTGTTATTTCAGTCCCAGTATATCCCCGTGTTATTTTTTCCTTGTTTTGCTGAAATATATTCTCAGAAATCTATTTCTCCAGACATTTATATAAAGACAATTTCCTTAGTTCTTATAATTACAAAATATCATTTTTTGTTATTTTAGAATGATAATTTAGTTAAACAAGGATTTTTTCTTTTTTAGAATTTTAACTTCGCAATTATTTTCCCTCAGAATTTTGCAGATACAGACTCCTTTGGAGTCTAGAGTCTAGAATTGCTAATTCAAAAGTTATAGCAAGAAAGTTCCACTTCCACTTAAGATATGGAACATGAAAGAGCATTACTAATACCTTAATAATTTGGGGGAAAAATAGTGGAACATACTACAAAATCATCTCTATTCTTGAATCCAACAGAGAGCTGATATTGCAAGGAAATGAAATAGCCTAAAATCCAAGGAAAGACAGGGCATGCAAAGGGAGACAGATTGATACTTGTAACAGAGCATGGAGGGAAGATGAGGCCACCTTTGTCCTCTTCCATTGCATAAGAGCCTGCTCCATGACAGGGTGTAACTGATAGAATATGGTAGAAGTACAGCTATACCAGTTTCTCTGCCTAGACCTTAAGAAAATGGCAACTTTACTTTCTATCTTTTGGAAAACAATCTCTCTGAATCCTCACCTGCCATATGAGTTTGACTCTCCCAGGAGAGATGGTATTGTTAAAAGGAAAATTTCAGCCAAACTAATTTAAAGGAGTTTAATGGAGCAATGAACGATTCATGAATTGGGCAGCCCCCAGAATCACAGCAGATTCAGAGAGACTCCAGGGATGCCTTGTGGTCAGAACAAATTTATAGACAAATAAAGTGACGTGACATACAGGAATCAGAAGTGAGGTACAGAAACAGCTGGACTGGTTACAGATTGGCATTTGCCTTATTTGAACACAGTTTGAACACTCAGCGGTGTATGAGTGGCTGAAGTATGGCTGCTGGGATTTACCAAGACCCAGCTATTGTTATAAGTGCTAACTCCTAAGTTAAGTTTAAAATTTTCTCTGCCTATTAATTTAGGTTGCGGTTCATCCACAAGGTCTCAAATACAGAAGTACAAAGTCTTTCTCAGGCCATATTTAGTTTGCTTTAACAGTATAAACCATGTGACTTGCTAATATTTGACATTCTTTGATCTTAAAAAAATAAATTTTGTAGGTTTCAGCCTAATATAAATTTTGAGAAATATTAAGAATGTGCACCCTGGAAATGGTTGACTAGTAGGAATTCTAATCAGAAGCCTGAAACAAGGAAAGGTAAAAACATGCCATCTATTTTTCTCTCTGATGAGACCAGAGGTTGGTTAAATAACGTATTTAATAAAACCAAAAGTATTTTTCTCTAGTGGTCTAGCAGTTAGAATTTTTAAAAAGTATTTTAATTGAAGAAATACTAACGTTAAAGATTTGTGAGATGCCTAGAATTCCATATGCACTCCTATTTTTCCTTTTTTTTTTTTTTTTTGGAGTCTCGCTCTGTCACCAGGTTGGAGTGCAGTGGCACAATCTCCACTCACTGCAACCCCCGCCTCCCAGGTTCAAGCGACTCTCCTACCTCACCCCCCCGAGTAGCTGGGACTACAGGCACACACCACCATGCCCAGCTAATTTTTGTATTTTTAGAAGAGACAAGATTTCACCATGTTGGCCAGGATAGTCTCTATCTCTAGACCTCGTGATCCACCCGCCTTGGCCTCCCAAAGTGCTGGGATTACAGGCATGAGCCACCATGCCCGGCCTCTATTGTTTCAAAAGAAGGTTATAAGGACCTAGGAAGTTCAAGAGCCTGAACACTTTGTGATGTCATCCAAGTCTTTGTATCCAATCACTGATTCAATTATTTTAGTGCAAATATCTGACCATAAGATAAGCTGAATTCTGTCCTTTGAGTATTTTGTGCTCTGGCTTGAGTCAACATTTTATGCTGTGTACAATTAGAGGACATAAAAGGCAGAGAACCTGGACTTCATTATACTCAGTACAATTGATTTTGTCCATACTTGATAATACATGTTTGCATGTACAGTAGAATTCTGTCTGAGATTGCAGGGAAAGAGACCTTTAATTCTCACATAACTCTACATATAGAAGGCTAATGATATTACTAAAAATTACCTAACACTTACGAATGAAAAATAAGCTTAAGTCAGGGCACATGTAGAGCACTTCTCTTCTGTCAACTGATAAAATGCAAGGGGTTTACTTTGGGGTCTCAAAACATAGCTAACAGTCTTGACTCTCAGGCTGCTCACTCAGTTACTATTAAATATCACAGACAACCCTATAGTATTTGGCCAAAAATTCCAACTTGATCTCTTCTTTGACAATGAGCTGCAAAGCTAGACTGATCAGCGCAACTGTTCAACTATTCACCTTCCATTATTCGCCTTGTTTTTTGGACCCAATGCTCATTCTCTTTTTGCACACCTATGAACCCAAAACCTCTCTGAGATTTTAGATTACTACTCACTTCCTCAGCTTCTAACTCTCATGCATACTTCCCATGTGGCTTACTACTTCTTTTTTAATTCTTGTCTTCTTGCTCTTTTATATAATCCGTTTAAAACTTAACAAAGACTTGGAAAGATAAGTAAAAAATGCATATGTTTAGTCTGCCATCTTGAATTCAAATTTGCATTAAACAAATATAGGTTAGTTCCATGAGACTTACATTTCAATGCACTAGGGACAGTCATTCTTTACCAATTATAATACTCCCTGATGTGGTTTGGTTGTGTCCCCACCCAAATCTCATCTCAAATTGTAATCCAAATTGTAATCTTCACCTGTTGGTGAAGGGGCACAGTGGGAGGTGTTTGGATCATGGGAGTGGTTTCCACCTTGCTTCTCTTGTGACAGTGAGTGAGTTATCACGAGATCTGATAGCTTTATAAGTGGCTGTTTTTTTTCTTTCTCTCTCTCTCTGTCTCACCTGCTGCCATGTAAGACATGCCTGCTTCCCCTTTCACCATTATTCTAAGTTTCCTGAGGCCTCCCCAGCCATGCAGAACTGTGAGTCAACTAAACCTCTTTTCTTTATAAGTTACGCAGTCTCGGGAAGTTCTTTATAGCGGTGTGAAAACGGCCTAATACACTCACCAAATATCCACCAAGTATTCAGTATTCTTGAATACTTACTATGCCCCAAGTGGTCCCGTGTATGTCTTGTATCCATATTTCTATTGCTTAGTAGTCTGAAATCTATGTATTCTCATAAAATGAAATTATGCTTCAAAATTTAAGCAGACATTTGAAATTATTGGAGCCCAGAGAGAGGTTCTCAATCTCAGTCCAAGAGAAAAAGCTGAAATCTCATAAAGGAGGATTTTAAATTGAGTACATAAAGACACAAAAAGTTTGGCAGGTAAAAAAAGTGAAAATGGCAGAAAGTCTGGAGACAAAATTGTTTATCTGGTAAATGAAAAAAACACTTAATATGGCTAAAAATCAAGATTTATGGGGGAAAACTATAGCAGAAAAGACCAGATACTTGAACATTAGAATAATACTAAGATTCTTGTTTCTATCTCTTACCTAAGGGAGGAGGCCAGCTGAAACTGGAGACCCTCGGTATCCAGGGACCCCCAGTCTGCACCAGGGCATTCTGTTACACAGCTGTCTCTAACAACAGGAGTCTAGGAACACTGAAAGTGTATTGTATAATTGTTAAGATATTCACACCAGAGTGACTGAAGATAAAAAGAGGAAGAGGGGATGTTCTTGAAAATGCTGTGAGTGAAGGGATCGAATGATGTGGCTGGCTTAATGAGGGAAGAAGCAGCAGGCAGAAAAAAAACAAAGTTCGAGGCTGAATAGAAGGCATTGGGGAATAAAAGCTATGAGAGATGATGCCATTTACTGATTGCAGATACTAATCTTTCATAGTTCAAAGATGGAGAATTTCCAGGTGTTAACAAGGTCCTGTGTGTGGCCATGAGAGTGTGTGGCAGAGTGCCTGGAACTGAAAAATATCAAGGAGGAAGCGTTAAGAGGCCAAGAAAGCATTGGTGTTAATACACAAGAAGAAGAATCACACTACAGTGGGAATCCCTTGGTGTTCTGCATACTGATAGGTGACACCACAGATGTGACACAGTGTTGACGTTAAATTATTACTTGTTAAATGAAAGAAGAGAAGAAAGTGTTATTTGGATTGTACATTAGAGGAATAAGAATCAAGAAAGTCACTGACTAGAAATTAGAAGCATGGGATTATAAGATATTCTGCAGAAAATAAATATTTGACAACAAAATGTAAAATAATGATGCAAAAGAGAAAAATAGCAAAATATAATTTCAAAGTTTCTATTACAGCATGGAAGAATTGTGGTACCACTGAAAGAAATTAGATGGTAAAGAAGGCAATCTGGAATTGAGGGAACATTGCTAACTCAATCTTTACCAACTGTGCTTGTGGTTACACAGAAATGGATGATATCAGAACAACTTGAGTTAGACAAAATAAACAAGGGCAACATGTTTGTATTTTTAATCTTCTGTTTTGTTTTGTTTTCAGTGGAAGATAACAAGTAGGCAGTCCTAAATTTCCCCTTAAGTATACACACAAGGAAAAAATGAAAATCATATTTTTTGTTAGTCATATATTCTCTCGCTTAACTTTCCCCAGTACCTCTATGAAATGAACTTGTTTACACACCTTAACAGTTGAGGTTACTAAATGGTACTCGTCAGGTTCACAACTGTTAAGTAGCACAAATGGGAACTAAATAGAATATGTTTGCCTCTAAATGCCATGATTTTACCTCCCTATCATACATAAAAGAATTTGTAATTTTAGAAACTCATAATATAAATGCTTCCAAAATAAGTAGCACGTAACTTTTTGTGAGATCCTCAGAATTCAGGTTGACTAATAAGTTCAGAAAGGCAGTAGCTAAGAACATGGACTTTAGAATTGCAAAGACTCGGCTTTAAGTTTAAACTCTGACTTTTTTTTTGCCATGTAATACTGGGTAAATCACTTAACTCCTCTTAGACTTAGTTTCCTCATTTGTAATGAAAGACAAATAAAAATCCTGATCTCATGACAATGTGACAAATGAGGTAATGCATGTCAATTTATTATCACAGAGCTAAATCAATATTAGCTATTAATAACTAATGAACTAAGTGTATTATTTTTAGTTCTACAGTCTTAATTTTACACATATTTATACAAAATATTTCTCCATGGTTGTATCATACTAAACATTCCTACACTTCCGCTAAAAAATTATACAGTTGACCATTGAACAATGTGGAGGTTATGGCTGCCAACTCCCCCAGCCCCAGCCACGCAGTCAGCAATTTTTATGTAACTTAGACTCCTCAAAAGCTTGACTACTGACAACCTACTGTTGAATGAAAACCTCACAGATAACAAGCAGTAAGTTAACACATATTTTGTATGTTGTATGATTTATATTCTGTATTCTTACAATAAAGCTGCAGAAAAGAAAATGCTATTAAGAAATCCATAGGGAAGAGAAAATATATTTACTATTCATGAAGTGGAAGTGGATCATCATAAAGGTTTTCATCCTCATCGTCTTCATACTGAGTAGGCTGAGAAGGGGGAAGAAGAGGAGGGTTTGGTTTTTCTGTGTCTGGGGTAACCGAGGTGGCAGCAAATCTGCAGATAAGTGGATTTATCCACATAGTTTCCACCTATGTTATTCAAGGGTTAGCCACATTCAGGTTATTGCAATTACAACATCTTGATCTGTACAAATTAACCACTGAACATTTTAGGCTCATCTGTTATGCTTTAATATTGCAATGTGAACATTACAAGACTCAGGATGCACCTCGAATAAAATAAACAGCTATTAAGATGCCAAATTAGCGACAGAAAACGTAAAATCTGATTAAATTTTCTTTAAATTTCTTCTAGATTACTCTTTACAGTCAATAGAATTAATGGGTTACTATCAACAAAAATCATTGGATTCCCTTAGCATCAGAATAAAGAATAACCAAATTGTGTGATCAAACTAGGTTAATACTCACTTTGGCAAAAATTATGTTAACTCAAAATCATGTTAACATCAAAGCTATACAGTGATGTATAAAAACTGGGACTCCCATGAAACTAGAGTTAATAATACAAATGCACAAAACAGGAAGCATAACATTTGAGTTGAAAAACTCTTAGAGTAAAATGTTTAAATTATCTGATTGGAAATGTTAGAGAACAGAAATGATCATTGACATTTCAGTTTTGATATCAACATAAATGATAGTGGTGATGGTGGTGGCATTCCCTCCTGGAATCAATTAGGAATGTCTCTCCTGCTATCTGCCTGGAGAGCCATCTTTCATCAGGGTAAAGATCACCCTGTCCTGTACAGGCACCATTCTTTAGAGAAGCTGGATAATACAGCTGGAGCAGAATTGAACAAAAGTGCATTTATATGAATGGATCATGTTATCATTTTTCAATTTAAAGGACCTACTTTCCCCTGCACCCTGTCTCTACTCTTCTTCTCTGATTATCTGCAACTACCGTTCTCCACCCATTCAACTGCATTCGCAAACTTTTCTAAGGATATAAGTGAAGCTGAATACATAGTGAATTTAATAACAAACGAGTGGCCCAAGCACTATATATTTTACCTCTCTGTCTTAGACTGGGTGGCCTAAAATGCAGGAATTTATTTTTCATAACTCTGGAGACTGGGGAGTCTGAGTTCAAAGTGCTGACAGAGAGGGTTCTTGGTGAAGGCTCTCTTCCTGACTTGCAGAAGGCTGCCTTCTTGCTGTGTCCTCAAATGGTGGAGAGAAAGATCATATCTTCCATCTCTTCTTACATGGACACTAGTCTCATTCATAAGGGCTCTACCCTCATGACCTTATTTACCTCCCAGAGGTCCCACTTCCTCACATCATCACATTAGGAATTAGGGCTTTAATACATGAACTTTGGGCCCATAAAATATTTGGTCCAAAGCACTCTTCATCAACAGTAGCAGTTCCTCCAAGGGAAGGTAACTAAATGACATTGCAACTGCACTGTGAAGTCACTGGCAGAGTCAGGCCAGTTTGTACCCTGCCAGTGTGACTAAATCAAGACCTCAGGCATACAGGCAAGAAAAATGCAGCCTATAAGGCCACACAAAGAGACAGATATCCAGACAAAGGGCAGTGGCTTCAGGATCCATAAAGATCTAGTTATCCCTATGCAGCCCGTGCTTCCTAAGCCCAGCAACCCTTTGGCATTGTGAGGTTTCATCTAGCTTCTACAGGCGGCGCTTCAGGTGCAGAGGAGATCTGCAAAAGCTGCTATGAAGCGTCCCCCACAGTTGTGCCTGTCCTGGCGCAGAGTCCCACGTGTGCCCTCTCTGCTTATGGCAGGGTCTTTAACTCTCTAAGTCAATAGAACAGGATTTTCTCTTCTCAAATGTGAGCCTACCTAGACAGACTTGTAATTCTCTGACCAGAAAAAAAATATATATCTAGCATAAGGATAAGGATAAGATCACTTCTCTCTGTGTTGCGCCTTTTTGTTTTCTTTTTTTTTTTTTTTTCCTCTTTTTTTGGACAAAGGGTCGTGCTCTGTCTCCCAGGCTAGAGTGCAGTGATGCAATCATAGCTCACTTCAGTTTCCACCTCTTCTGGGCTCAGTGATCCTCCCACTTCAGTTTTCTAAAACTTCGATTACAGACAGATGTGCACCACCACGCCTGGCTAATGGGGTGTGGATTTAAACTCTTTTTATTTACCGACATAATTACAAATTTAACACGTGAGTGTTAACACAATTGCAAAAACTCTTTAGTTTTCATTTATTAAAATATAAATTCTAATTAAATGATTACAGCATGTATGGCATAGTAGGCAGAACAAAAATTTTGAAACAAAAATCTGAGGAGGTGTCTCATCTGTGTCACCATATTGCTGGGTGACCTGGTCTCATTGAAATTCTCCCTTGTACTGTTGTGAGAATGGCTTAAGAGAGTGGATTAGAAAACACCTTCTAGAGTCTAGAATGCTGTTAAAAATTGAATTGTCATTTTATTGTTTAATGTACCTTTTTAGATTGATAAAGAGCAATACAAATACAAATGTATGGCTATTGACTTTTCGCCTTCATTTGTTCACATATGCTCTGACATACACACTATCTAACAATGTGTGTTCAACTTGTGCAGATGAGCTAGAAAAAACAAAAGTATTTTCCGTTGATGCCCTAACTTCTGTGAAATCTGAAGATATTTAAGCACATCCCCCCAAAAGTGCACGGTCACGGCTCTGGCATTTACACAGCATCAGTGGCTCCTCACTCAAATCCTTTGCGAGTCCTCCCCCGTGGTCTACTTGTCATCACAGGTATTAAGATTACCCACCCACAGGTGACAGGTGTAACCATCCGTGCAGCATGAATCTCATCGAAACTGATATTGTATCTACAAAGCAAATAACATGAAATGCTTTTTCTCATACAGTCAAATGCCTGTGTATGTATTAAATTAATTGTGTTCATTGATAATTCTTGCTTATGCAATAACTGTTCTCAACTTTTATGTTCTCCCACTTTCTGGAATGACGAATAACATCTCATGCTTTCTCCTGAGAATGGCTTATCACAAGATGAAATCCACATGTAGAAACTCAAATTCATCAGAAACTTTTTCTCTTCTCTGATTTGTTTGTTAAATCATGTGCTTGTGAATTCATCATTTGCAGTTTCTAATTTGAAGCACTAATTGCATCTACTTTGAATTCTGCATAAAATCATCTTCACAAAAACAGTGCAATTTACTATATTTGTATGAGTTTTCCATCACCTTTCCTTTTCTGATTCATATATTTTTAAAATAATGCACAACGTTTTTAAAAGTGTATTTCTATTCAATAACAACATTTACTAGACTTTATTATTAAAAGAAAAGGTTCCAAATATTGAGATATTTAATGAATGCTTTATATCATTAATTAATTTGTATTATGAAAACAAGATCCATGCATTTACTATCACTAACATAGTACTTGCTATGAGCATGCCACTTTTCTTTTTCTTTTCTTTCTTTTTTTTTTTTTTTTTTTTGAGATGGAGTTTCACTCTTGTTTCCTGGCTGGAGTGCAGTGGCACGATCTCAGCTCACTGCAACCTCTGCTTCCTAGGTTCAAGCGATTCTCCCGCCTCAGCCTCCCGAGTAGCTGGGATTACAGGCTGCTGCCACAATGCCAGGCTAATTTTTTGTATTTTTACTAGAGATGGAGTTTCACCGTGTTGGCCAGGCTGCTCTAGAGCTCCTGACCTCAGGTGATGCACCCGCCTTGGCCTCCCAAAGTGCTGGAATTACAGGCGTGAGCCACCGTGCCTGGCCCTAGCATGACACTTTTCTATGTGTGTTCAACAAATCTGAAAACAACGTGATGCAGATATGATTATTGTATAAGTTTCATAAATGAAGAAGACTGAGATCCAGAAAGATAAATTAATTGTTCAATGTCACATAGCTAGTATTTCACAGAACATGAATATAAACTTACACAGTCTGTTTCCGCAATTCGTGCTTTTAAGAAATATGTCAGTGGTTCCCAAACCTTAATGCATATAAGAATCATCTCGAGAACCTATTAAAATAGAATTTCCTGGATCGCATGCTTGGATATTCAGAGATTTAAGGTAGGGCTCATGAATGTGTGTGTGTAACAAACTCACAGATGTCACTGTTGCTGCTTGTCCAGGTACTATGCTTTGAGACCCACTGAACTACCTACACTGACTCTCTCATGAGGATAATCAAAGATATCATCACCTGAATCTGAATAGTGTTCACTATTTTCACTGAGAAAACACTAAAATATTGTTCTGTTTTGGAAAAGATAAAACTTCACCAGCCAATATATTATATCTAACATAACATTTTAGATTCTATATAAAAGCATCTTTCAGTAGAGGTTAAGAGTCATATGGCTTTGTGTTTCAATTATTTTCTGTGGATGTTATGAGAGTTTGATAATGAGCAAATTGTGTATCTTCCTGAAACTCCATTTTGCACAATTGTAACAGGATCATACCATCGACTACACTGAGTGGGATTAATTGAGATAATATAAACATAGCATCTAGCTTAAGGACTTGGTAGCTGCTTAGTTAGAAGCTATTTTTCTTCTCAGGCTATTAAGAAGGAAAATAATCATAGATTATTCAAATGAATCAATAACACATGGCGAAGACGAGGGGGAAATAGCATAAGGAAAAGGGAGAAAGACCTTGGAGGTTATATACCATATTGACAAACTTCTTGTTTCATCCAAGTGAAAGTTCAATTGATTTTATAACAAAAGTAACAATATTTCCTGACAATCTTTCCTGCTAATAGCTTGAGTGAAGTGATTAAAGGCCATTATACTCTCCCGAAATAGTCCCCTTCCAGTAAGAACTCATTAAGCACTTTAAACTGTGGAACATGATTATAGAGAATAGAATACTAATTGTTAAAAATAAACGTCATGCCTGAACTGACTGAATTAATTTCTTTCAATATGTTGATATATAAAGATCTCTAACCACATGTAATTCTTAAATGTCACAATTCCTTTTTCTCTGATCTTTAAAATTTGCTACCTATTTCTAATTCCATTTTTTTGTTATATGTTAGTGGAATATGGCATTACTTAAACTTTTACTGTTAAATCCAATATTGGGCAAAAATAGTGCAGGGAAACATTGTGGCAGGAACAACATGGCCACTATCAAAGCACAATCTGTACTTTCAACATGGATCACTTTATCAACTTCCAGCTTTCTTTCAGTAATCACAAAGGATGCTGTCACGGCAAAACCACTTAAAGTGCTTAGATTTCCTCTGATTCCATCTTGATATCTCCTGGTTAAAGACTGACTAGTGGGAGAAGGCAAATTCCACTTGCAAGATCTTCTAAAATGGAACTTACAAGCATTGAAGAGTTGTGTTCAAGAGAATAGGCCAAACTAATATGTAATAATTAAAAGGCAGAATAGCAATTACCTTTGGGATGAGGCATGAGAAGGCCCGGGTCGGGTAATGCTCTATCAATGTGTTATTTTATTGGCATGCTAGTTACATGGCTATATTCACTTGAAATCCATTGAGCCGTAGGCTTCTGATTTGTGCACTTTTCTATATATACTTTAATTTTCAATAAAATTTTACCTAAAAGAATGTATGGTCCTAAACTCAGGTATTCTTCTGGGTCCAACATTCCATATTTATAAGGCAGGCAAGTAAAACACAAAAACGACTTGCTTGCTCTTAAAAATGTTATTTTTGGTCTGCTGTTCAGAGCAGCATTAAAAACAACTTTTCTTGAACAAAATATTTTTTATTTCATGGTCTACGTAAATACACATTTCCAAAGATTGTAAACCGATTCTTGCTTTATGATGGCTCTTGGTTTCCATGGTTTTATACAAGTCAAAAATCACCCCTGGATAAAAATCAGAGACTAAATTCAGAGGCATGATCCAGGACAAACCCATCTAGTTCTAGAAATATAAAAATCTCCATCTTCTAGATTTATTTACGTTATTACTATGCTCCAACAGCATCATTTTGGTTTCTAAAGACTTTAGAATAATTTGTTTTTTCTAAACCAATTTATATCATGTCAAAATGAAATAGCAGTTTTATAACCACCTGGAGGATCAAGCAATCCCCTTCCATAAATAAAAAAGTAATCTGCATAAATATGTACTAAGATATCCCTATAGACTTTTAAAATCTCGTATATGGGGGAGGGGAGTGAGTACAAACCATTAAAAAAATGTGAAACAAGTTCCAAACTTTGCATCATTTGCCATATTCTAATTGTCTAATAAATTAATATCAATGCTAAAAACAGATTTGTACAAATATTCATTTGGGATTAGAGCCAGCTAATTCAGATAAACACATATCTTTCCACTGAGCTGTATGCTCCAAAGCAGAAATTTATAAAAGCAACTCTCAGCAAATATGAATAACATATTTGGAAGAGCCAATATAATAAATTTGAAAACTCTGAGCTATGTTGCAGTGTACTGCTCATCAAAGAGTATTTTTACATTAGTCAGCCCTAAATGTATTTCCTTATTCTGTGTAATAGATTCATATTAAGCAGACAGATATGCAATAGATAAAGCAGGAACGAACACCTCCCCATTGACAAGCCGTCAGAAGGGCAAGGGAAATATCCCAGATGAGAGGGAAGAACAACAACAAAAAAGTCAACAACAACAAAAATGTCAACAACAACAAAGTAGCCTCTGAAATAAATGTCTTCGTTAATCCCTTTCCAACAATAAATCGCGTTCTGAGTGTTCAGGCTAACACTTAAAGCCTGAATCAAGCGAAAAGCTATTCTTGCAGCCACCATAGTCTGCAAAATGTTCTGTGTATCTGCCTTGTTTATCTTTCCATGTTATCAGCTAGGTCACGATGAGTAAATCTATTCACAAATTGGAATTTGGGTGTAATTATACAATGATCTTGAGCAAATTTGTCTCGATTAGTAATCATTGACATTGCATCCTACTATCAGAGCTTTGATTGTGAGTTTTAAATACTTCAACAACCAGACTCTCTGTACCAGTTGCACCTTTCAGTCCTGTGAAACCTGTATGGATGTTCATCCCATATATTTCATATACGCTTATATCTACTGTATCACATGTCATATTTCTTGTCTTTGTACCACCTCTATTTCAATTAAAATATTTTTCCCTACTTCAAAACATTTGTGGTCTTGTTTTCTCTGGGAAATCTTTCCAGTTACCCTTCATTCCAGTAAACAAAAGTAGCAAAAGAGACGACTTTCTCAATGTGATTTCAAACACATCAGAAAGTGCTCAGTTTTCCAGAAAACATATGGCTAATGTTTAACTTCAACTTTTTAAAAGAAGCTTACCTAATTTTGACAATTTTCTTTGTTAATATTAATCATTCATTCACCCTAATGAGCCATTATTATGTGATAAGTCCATTTTATACAAAGAAAGTAGAATATGTTTCTTGCCTTCAGATTCTTCACAGCTCCAAGCAGAATTCAGATGTGTGAACCAGTAATTGTAATAAAATATTTCATAACTATTAGAATCAATGGGAAATCAATAAGGGAGCAATTAATTTTTCAGAGAGGGTGGGAAATGTATCAGGAATTTCACTAATGAAGAACTGCTATAAATGATTATTAAAGGATGAATTAAAATTTACAAAGATATGAGATAAGAAAGGCTATTCTAGGAAGAATAAAAAAGTAAAAGCGTTTAGTTATAAAATTGGGGAAAAGGGATGTTTGGTTTACAGAACTGTAGCAGTTCAGAATCACTGGATATGGGGGGGCACGAAGAAAAATGACAGAAGTTGGAATTCAATTATCATGATCTTGTATATCATTGTACATTCTTGGACATTATCCATGAACAATGGGCTAGCACAGAGGGTTATGGTAAGGAAATGAAGGATGGGAGAGAAATGTCAGCTGGGTAGAGGGAATATTGGTGTTACTGTTCTTTTGCATTCATCCTTCCAGGCTGCTAGATTTTGAGGAGTTTTCCTCAGTGTGCAGACTCAGTGAGAGTTGGGGCCAACCATTCCCCCAAGTTAGAGAAAGCATGAGTCATGTTAAGGAGCTCAGCTTATTAGCTCTTCTCTGAGGATCTGATACTACTAGGGCTTTTGTTTTCATCCTCCTTATGATGAAGACTTTATCACAAACTAAATTACAATAAACAACTTTCATCTGGATACACCATGATGGAGTTTTTTGCTTTGATTCATACGTTTTTCCATAGAGCAATCTTTCTCCTGCTTGCAAATTTTCTCAGAGACCAGAGTACAGTAAATAGCTTGGCTAATTCCCTGCATTAATTCATGCATCTAACCCATATTTATTGTGCTATTATATGCCAAATACTATTCCAGGCTTTGGAGAGAGAGTAGTGAACAAAACAAGCAGACATCCTTGTTATTGAGCTGCCTTTTTACTGGGGAAATAGGCAATAAATAAAATAAGTAAAATATGTTTGTTAGATTGGGATAAGCGCTATGGAGAAAAACGAATCGGAGAAGGTAGACAGGAAGTGTATTTAGGGGGATACAATCTAAGATGGGGGGCAAGGCAAGTTGTATTGAAAAGGTGACATTCAAATAAAAACTTGAAAAATATGAGAGATAATTGATGAGGATATCTTGGGCAACTGCATTCCAGGTGGAAGGAATCGCGAAGTGTCAAGGCCCTAGACAGAAGCATAGTTAGGTGTGGACAAGCTAAAGCTACCTGTTGGGAAAGGTAATCAGAGAATGAAGGCAGAGATGGGGAATACAATTAGAGAATGAAGGGTACAAAGGCAATGTCATCTTTCTAGCTGCTTTGGTTAAAAAAATATACTCTTGAGTCCCTTTGTTCTCCCTCACTACACGTGCAATTCTCAGCAGCACCATCGGCTTGTTTCTCAATATAAAACCAATTTCCACATTTCTGATAACTCGACTTGCTATTACCTTGATTCTAGCCAACACCACCTTCTGTCTAGATTACCAAACTATCAACCAGGAGATTTCCCTTTTGTGCCATTACCCCCCGCAGTGTATCCTGAAAACAGCAGTGGATTCACAAAACCACAAAGTGGTTTTGCATTTCTCAATGTTCTTCTAATAATCAACAAGAAGTCATACATGCCCCTCTCCCCACTTGCTGACTTTATTCCCTTTTAGGAGCACCCGTGCGGCCTTTTTGTTTTATTAGAACATGCCAGGCACACTTTCGAGCCAGGGACTCTTGCTTCAGTTCACCCTGTCTGGACGGTATCTATCAACTTGGTAAGCTCAAAGCAGGAAATATTTTTAGAAACACTCAAAGTTTCAAGTGTAGAAAACTCTTATCTAACAGTTCTAAAGGAATAGGATGGGGATCATGGGTAATTACAATCCATGGGTAAATTTTTAAAAGCTTCCTTTGGCTTTTTTTATTATCAAGATATTTTCCTTGTTGAACTTGTGATACAGATAAGAAATATTTAAACAACCAGTATCCACTTAAGTCGATTTAAGATTAATGAGGAAGCAGAAACAGTAGGGCATAGATGCAGGGACACGGGAAAAAGATGGTGAAATCTTGGAGGTAACAAACAAGCTTTATTTTCTTCATAGGGTTTTTCTTAGTATAATTCTGCCTATGACCAGATCTCTTTTTACATTGGAATTGTGAATAGGATGCTTATTGTACTTCGCTGTTTTGCTAAATACTTCAAAAATTATTTACAATTGCCAATATACTTGTTTCTCTGGACGTTTCTAAACCATTGGGTTTTAAATGCTTTACTTAAGGTCATAGACTTCAAAGAACGTTTGACAAAATGATTTCATAGTTGAAACAACCTCTATAATGCTTCCAGCACTGAAAAGCATAAATTCATTTTAGAGTACAAATTATTCAAGATTTTCTGATATTGCCCTGATTATCAATTATACTTAAATAAATTACCGGCCGGGTGCAGTGGCTCACGCCTGTAATCCCAGCACTTTGGGAGGCCGAGGTGGGTGGATCAGGAGGTCAGGAGATCGAGACCATCCTGGTTAACACGGTGAAACCCCGTCTCTACTAGAAATACAAAAAATTAGCCGGGCGTGGTGGCGGGCGCCTGTAGTCCCAGCTTCTAGGGAGGCTGAGGCAGGAGAATGGCGTGAACCCGGGAGGCGGAGCTTGCAGTGAGCCGAGATCGCACCACTGCACTCCAGCCTGGGCGACAGAGCGAGACTCCATATCAAAAAAATAAATAAAAAATAAGTAAATAAATAAATTGCCTAAGTTTTTATTGTATGTGCAACTTTCCATTTATTGTAGTGAATATGTTAGAGTGTAGCAGGAAGAGGCAATATATTCAATACTGGTCTTTTCCTTTATTATTTCACTTATATTTAAGCAATGGAATTGAGGATTCATTGGCATTGCTATCATAGCTTACTATAATAAGCGATTGGCATCTCTTCAAACATAAAAAATCTATTAAAAATGGCTGCAGCAAATTTTAAATAACTGTACGTGCGTCTCATGTTTTCAGAGAAAATTTAGAAAAATCTCAGATACCTGGTGTTAGACCTTGGCTAGGAAATACATTTTTAAAACCTAAATCTAAATCATTAAAAGTAAAAACTTAATTAAAAAAAAAAACTAGTCTTTTTTTTTTTTTTTACAAATGGCATTTTCTTAAATTGTACCTAAACTTTTGCCAAAGCACTCCTAAAATTATTTTCTTATGTAAAGAAATAATAATAATAATAATAATAATGAATTAAGCTCTAAGGAGAAGTTCATTTATAACTCATTTTCTTTATATCCACATGCCAAAGTACTAGATTGAACACATGGCTGAGCTAAGCACTGGCCCCGCTGTCGCCATTGGCCCTGGCCACTGTTGAAAGTGCCTTTGTCACTTTGGCCTGGATGACTGTAGATGTGAATAAAATATATAATGCATTTTCTCCAAGCAATTAATTCTTTTTTTTCAGTTAGTGTAGACAGAGTCTATTAAGCAATTAACTGTGGTTAACTCAATTATAGAAAACATAACTCATCTGATTTAGAAACTTAACTGACAAGGCAAGTGAACTTTGGCTAACCTCAGTGGGACAGAAATGGAGAGTAGTAAGGCCATGAGGACTGATCATCCTAGAAGAAGAATCCACACAGGAACAATTTTTGGGGTACTCAAACATGTGGTCAAGTGTTTATGATTTTAGTATGGTTTGGATTGCTAAAATTATGTTTTTATTTTTTCTTACATGAAAGTTTATCTTTACCAAGAAGTGTAAAAGTTTCTTTCTTTTGGAAAAGCAATAGATTTCACATATTCACATTACTTGTTGATAAAAGTTACTATATGTTCACCAAAACCTCTACTAGCTGATCATTTTCACAGTGCGCAGTCTACGATAGTGTGCATTTTCTGAAATGTTTAATGATAACATCTTACTCTTCAGTTTTTACTTAGAGAATTCACTCTCCCAACACTTTGAAGAGAAAAGAAAAATTTTATACAATAAAACGTATTATTAAATCTGTGACAATTTTAATATCCCAAAAATCCTTGCATAAAGATTATTAAATATCACGTTTTTTGTAAAAGATTTCTAAAAACTAAATTAACTGATTATTTTTTGTTTGAGGCATAGTATTTTCTTGATGTATTAATTTTAATTTAAGCAAAATCCTTAAAACTCTTTTTGTGACATCCATAGAAAGTTTACAGGCTACAAGGAGAGAACAGCTACATACGAATGACAAACATCCAAGTGGAACCTAATCATTAATAAAGTAATGTTCACCAGTAGTGTATTATAATTTTTGTAGTACTCAATGCCTCAAGTTCAATAAACAAGAATTAATACCAAACAGATAGAGTTGATATTAGTTAGGATTAAGGGGTCTCCATACTGATGTTCTTACTACCCAAAATAGTTGTGGTAGACATGAGAAGAATTATAAATAGTGCACCAAAGACAGGACAAAAAAGGGGGTGGATGTGGTGAGAAAGAGGACAATGGGTGTCTGGGAGAGGGATGGAGGAGGGGCTAAAATTGAAGACAAGATGCTTGCCATAACTCCATGGCTAAATTGTGAACTACATTTTCAAGGTAAGGATTTTATATCTTTTTTGCATTAGCATCTCCAGAACTCATCAGAGTACTTGACAGATTACATGCAGTCAGAGTGTGAGGCAAAAATGGGCAGCCTGTTGACTTTAAAAATAGCATTACTAAATCTGTTGGAATATCGACCAAACATCGAATTCATTCTTGGGGCATTTATAAGAATTCTTCCTTATTTTTGGCTTGAATTTCCTTATATCCCTGCTTTGAATCTTTAATATAAGCTGGCTTCTTCATGCTCCCTCCTTATTTTACTTTCCCTTTACACTTTTTGTGACAAGATCTTTGATATATTTAACTGCATAAGCTTGCTTGTTCAATCAAATGGGTTTTTGCTTGTAGAGATTTTCTATGTCCAAGGAAATTCTAACTGATTCAAGATTGGCTTCTTCTCTTCCTTAACTTCTATTTCTTGCCTCTGCAAAACTATGAGGTAGTTACAACATAACTTTACATTGGCCTTAAAGTGATATACTCAGGCTAATCTAGTTAGATTACTCGGCCAGGTAGCTCATGCATTTGGGACTCAACATTCAGGCTACAGATTGATTGTGCAACAGAAAAATCGAGAGTGGGTTAATAGAAAGGGTTCAACAACACACTAGCAGAAGGAATGAGGGGTAGAGTCTAGACATATAAGCAGAAAGTCAAATTAGGCAGATCACCCCAATATGGAAAGAGAAAGGTGCCATGGAAATTTTTGGTTCTGCCACAGACCAGCTTTGAGCATTTGTTCAGTCATTATTGTGAACTTCAATTTCTTCAATGACACACAAGGCAATGGATTAGGAGTATATAAAGTATAATTGTTTCCAAATATAAGCTATTATAAATATTGACATCTTGCAGTATACCCAGTATTTTAATTATGAAAGTTAAAATTATATAAACAACATATATGTGGTAGTATTTTCTCTTACCTTTATTATAAATTGATCAATATAAAAATAATGGCTAAATAGATTATAGCCTCAAAGACAGTAAATGATAATTTCCTTTCCCTAGAAATTGAAATAGTCCAGTATAAAATTTGCTTTTGTTAAAAGCTTAAAATTTAGGAATATAAAATATATTTACTGTCATGTGGAGGATGTAATAGCATCCTGATTCATTACTTGAGCTTTGTCCAAAGACTTTTATGTCTTCAAATATACTCTGTGATATTTTACTTTCTCTGGTTATGTATAAAGCTAATCAAGAAGCGAATATAATAGCTGCTACTTTAGGATAAACTAAAGATAGGAAAATAATTATATTTTATATAGAATGTATCAGCTATCCTTTAAATGCCTATAGTGGTATCAAAACTAACACATGCTAATTTAGCTAGGTATCAGCAATAGGCTGGCAATTAGTAAGGGTGCTTTGAAGCAATCACTGAAGCTACAACATAAATCTGTGGCAGACAGCACAAACTACATTCTTATGTTGTTAATCACTCTTCTTAATTTTCAGTGCCAGAAAGAATGGTCCTTTTCAGGCTATCTATTGCTGCATAACTAATCACCCTGAGAACTCGGTGGTTTAAAAATTACAATAATTGCATTAACTTTCAGGGTTTATAGGGGACCAGAACTAGGAAAGAGCTTGGCTTGGTGTTTCCAGTTCAGAGTCTTTCCTTGTGATTGCATTTAAACTACAATAAATTTAATTAAAGTTTAATTCTTAAAAATTAAAGTTTAAAATGTCCCCTGAACCACAAAATAATTTTGGCATAATGATGGCCAATTGACTCTTTCACATATGAATTCTATCATTGCCCCTCTATTTTCACCACATTTTACCTAAGAGATACCTGTCTAAAATAACTGGTGGTACCTAATTGATGTTTTCCTAATATATATTATAAGTGCTCTAATATATAAAGTTGCATTGTGTTCTGAATATGTTAGCAAACAACATTAAGTATCAAAATAAAATGTAGGGAATTGCTTTCCTTTTTTTTTCAGAATGTGCAGGCAAGCAAGAAAGACACAGAATAACATTGAGAGAAATAGAGATCATTGTGCAAGGAGAAGCCTATGAATAAAAATTAGCTGGAAAGTCAGTCATTATGTCAGAACAAACATCTTCTAAGAAGAAAATTCTGATTGATTTCCACATAATCACTCTGATTGTGGAGTCAGCCTGAGCCACACATGAGCCAGCTCTTCCACTGCTGTTGACTGCGCCTGCAAACAACCAAGAAAACATAAATCAGGGAGAGGAAATGACTAAAGTATGGATTTAAATGTTCCTATTTTTACAAGGCTGTAGGCTCCACATTTTTGTTGACTATTTTAATGATACCAGCAACAATTTGGGGCAGCCATCCTGGTAATGTCTCTTAACCTTTTCTGTCATTTATGGGAAGCAGTTTGCAGGTACTTCATGATCAGAGAAAGAACTTGACCAATTTATTCTTTAGTATTTAGTTCAAAAGAGAGCTATAAAAACTGTTTTTTTTTCTAGTTTAAAGGGATGCTATTTTGAGAAAAAAATATTCTCAATAAAATTTGCTACTAAGGTAGACAAAATATATACAAAATTTAAACACATATAATAACATATACAAAAGTTACACAGCTCAATTAAACAATCTCAATATGGAGAAAGGCAAAAGATGCTTCTCAAAGATAAGTAACCATAAACTCACTGACCAGCTAAGTTGGTCCATATTTTATCCGCTCATTTATTCACCTAACATTGACATTTACTGAGCACCTCTATGTGCTCAATACAGTAGTACATGGAACACTTAACATAACTTTAAAGACATATATGTATATATATATACACACACACACACACACACACACATATATACTTTAATAATAATTTTAAAATGTAACTCAACCTTGTTATTAAAGTGAGGCAACTTAATTTTATATCTTGGTGATATGGTTTGGCCATGTCCCCACCCAAATCTCATCTTGAATTGTAGTTCCAATAATCCCCACGTGTCAAGGGAGAAACCCGGTAGCAGGTAATTAAATCATGGGGGTGGTTCCTCAGGCTGTTCTTATGATAGTGAGTGAGTCCTCGCGAGATCTGATGGTTTTGTAAGGGGCTTTTCTCTCTTTATTCAGTATTTCTCCTTCTTGCTGCCATGTGAACAAGGACGTGTTTGCTTCCCCATCTGCCATGAATGTAAGCTTCCTGAGACATTCCCAGCCTCAGGACTGTGATTCAATTAAACCTCTTTCCTTTATAAATTACCCAGTTTGGGGTGCGTCTTTATTAGCAGTGTGAGAACAAACTGATGCAGTAAATTAGTACCAAGGGAGTGGGGCTATAAGGATACCCAAAAATATGGAAACCACTTTGGAACTGGGTAACAAGAACAGGTTGGAACAATTCGGAGGGCTCAGAAGAAGACAAGAAAACTTGGAAAAGTTTGGAACTTTCTAGAGACTTGGAGGGCTCAGAAGATAGGAAGATGTGGGAAAATTTGGAACTTCCTAGAAACTTGTTGAATGGCTTTGACCAAAATGCTGATAGTGATATGGACAGTGAAGTGGTCATCTCAGATGAAGATGAGGAACTTGTTGGGAACTGGAGCAAAGGTGACTCTTGCTATGCTTCAGCAAGGAGACTGGCAGCTTTTTGCCCCTGACCTAGAGATCTGTGGAACTTTGAACCTGAGAGAGATGATTTAGGGTATCTGGCAGAATAAATTTCTAAGCAACAAGGCATTCAAGAGTAATCAGAGCATAAAAGTTTAAAAAATTGCAGCCTGAAGACGCAATAAAAAAGAAAAACCCATTTTCTGGAGAGAAATTCAAGCACACTGCAGGAATTTGCATAAGTAACAAGAAGCCAAATGTGAATCACCAAGAAAATGGGGAAAATGTCTCCAGGACATGTCAGAGACCTTCATGGCAGCCGCTCCCATCACAAGCCTGAAGGCCTAAAATGAAAAAATGCCTTATTGAACCAAAACCAGGGCCCCCTTGCTCTGTGCAGCTTCAAGACATGGTGCCCTGAGTCCCAACTGGCTCAATGCCAGCTGTGACTAAACGGGGCCAAGGTACAGCTCAGTCTGTTGCTTCAGACAGTGCAAGCCCCAAGCCTTGGCAGCTTCCACGTGGTGTTGGGCCAGTGGATGCACAGAAGACAAGATTGGAGGTTTCGGAACCTCTGCCTAGGTTTCAGAGGATGTATGGAAATGCTGGGATATCCAGGGAGAAGTTTGCTACAGGCATGGAGCCCTCATGAAGAACTCTGCTAGGGCAGTGTGGAAAGGAAATGTGGGGTCAGAGCCCCCACACAGAGTCCCCACTGGGGCACTGCCTATTGAAGCTTTGAGAAGAGGGCCACCCTCCTTCAGATCCCAGAATGGTAGATCCACCAAACAGCTTGCACCGTGCATCTGGAAAGGCTGCAGGAACTCAATGCCAGCCTATGAAAGCAGCGGGGAGGGGGACTGTACCCTGCAAAGCCACAGGGGTGGAGCTGCCCAAGGCTGTGGGAGCCCACCTCTTGCACCAATATGACCTGGACGTGAAACGTGGAGTCAAAGATCATTTTGGAACTTTAAGGTTTAATGACTGCCCTATTGGATTTTGGACTGGCATGGGGCCTGTGGCCTCTCTGTTTTTGCCAATTTCTCCCAATTGATATGGATGTATTTACCCATTGCCTGTACCCTCATTGTATCTAGTAAGTAACTAACTCGCTTTTGATTTTACAGGCCCATAGCTGAAAGGGTATTGCCTTGTCTCAGATGAGACTTTGGACTTGGACTTTGTAGTTAATGCTGGAATGAGTTAAGACTTTGAGGGACTGATGGGAGGGCATGATTGCGTTTTGAAATGTGAGGACACGAGACTTGAAAGAGGGCAGGGATGAAATGATATAGTTTGGCGTGTCCACACCCACATCTCATCTTGAGTGTAATTCCTATTATCCCCATGTGTTGTGGGAGGGACCCGGTGGGAAGTAATTGAATCATGGGGCTGGTTACCCTCATGCTGCTGTTTTCATGATAGCAAATGAGTTCTCATAAGATCTGATGGTATTACAAGGGGCTTTCCCCTCTTTGCTCAGCACTTCTCCTTCCTGTTGCCATGTGAAGAACGACGTGTTTGTTTCCCCTTCCACCATGATGTAAGTTTCCTGAGGCCTCCCAAGCCACGCTGAACTGTGAGTCAATTAAACCTCTTTTCTTTATAAATTACCCAGTCTCAGGTAAGTCTTTATTAGCAGAGTGAGAATGGACTAATATACCTGGTAAAGGCTGATTTTAAGAAATTCAAGCTAATATAAAAAAACTGTATATATGTGACATGTTTCACTAACTTCTTTGTTAACAATAATGCAAATATCTAAAAGGTTTCACATATTTGCTCAGAATGCTAAAAATCATAGTGTATTATATAAAAATATAAGTGTTTTGACCATTGTGCATAAGTATTCAATAAACATTTTGAAATCTATATACTTTTATAATTTGAAAATAACCTTTGTCTAAGTTAGTTCAATTTTCATTTTATCTTGTAAAAATTTTAAAGATATAAGAAAAAGATATATTATGGATGAAATAATAACTTAAAAAAATCAGGTACTATAAGCAATTATTTCTGCACTATGGCAAATATTCAAATCTGCTCTCACATACTTTACACAATGGCCATTTCTGAATCCAAACCTAAAATAATCCTTCTTAGGTCTCCTTTCTCTGTGCAGGAAAATAAAGTCATTGGCCTTTAGATGTTGTGTATCTCAAAACAGATGATATTTTAGGATATCTAAAAGACAGTTTTATGGTAGGTAATTCCCTAATTCCAAACTGAAGCCAACTCATTATTTTTCAAAACCCTTCCCCATCACTGTCAAAACAAGAACAAAGGTTTTATTACTCTCAGTTGTTCATTTTCTTTTAAAACTAACTGGGACTTTCATATTAAAAAAATTGTTGTTTTAAACTTACTCATACACATTGTACACATTTATTGTGTGTGTAAGCATAATGACCTTTTGTTTGCCATTTGTAACAATAAACAGACACTTAAAAAAATTCTCTAACTTCATTGTAGGACCACGTCTTGGACTCTTCTGGCTGCTATAACCAAGTATCATAAATTGCACAGCTTCATTAAAAACAGAAATTTATTTCTTATAGTTCTGGAGGCTAAAAGGTTTGCGATCAAGGCACCAGGAAATTTGGAGTCTGGTGTGGATCCTTACCTAGGTTCACAGAAAAGCATGTCATATTTCACCTACATCTTCCCATGTTGGAAGGAGAAAGGGGTTTTCCTTGGGCTTCTTTTGTAAGTGCAGTAATCCCATTCATGAGGGCTCCACCATAATCACCTTCTAAAAGCCCCACCACTTAATACTATCACTTTGGAAAATCAAATTTTTATACATATTTTGAGGGGACATGAACATTCAGACCACAGCATTCTGTCCCTAGCCCTCAAAATTCATGTCTTTCTCACAAGCAAGGACATTCGTTCCATCCCAGTAGCCCCAAAAGTCTTAACTTGGTCCAACATCAACTCAATAGTTCAAAGTCCAAAATCTCATCTAAATATCATCTAAGTTAGGTATGAATGAGACTCAAGGTAAGATTCATTTTGAGGCAAATTGTTCCCTAGCTGTGAACCTATGAAATCAAACAAGTTATGTGCTTCCAAAATACAATGATGGGACAGGCACAGAACATGCATCCCCATTCTAAAACATAGAAACAGGAAAGAGGAAAGGGGAAAGAGGCCCTAAGTCCACAGCCCAACAGAGAAAACATTATAGCATAAGTCTCAATAACAATCTTCTTCGGTTTGATGCTCTGCCCTTCCAACCCACTTTGGGGAAAAGTCCCTTCTGAGCACCCTGGGTGGTACTCCCTTAGCTTTGCCCCCCAGAGTTTGGACCTCCAAGGCTCTGGGAACCCCTGGCTACATGACTTTGCCAGATGCAACTTACAATGCAGCTCTCATGGATTGGAGATGTGTGCCTGTGGATCTTCCAGCCAAGAATTTTATGCCCGTGGCTCTCCAGGTCTGAGGTCTCAGGGGCAGCCCTACTCTTGTGGCTCTGCTGGGCATTGGCCTATTAGAAGTTCACTGTGGTGGCTCTGCCCCCCTAACAATTCCCTGCCAGAGTTCACCAGAACTGAATCTGGGGCTACCAAGGTGCATGGTAACAGAGTAAGGGAGGTAGATCCACAATGTGAAGCAGCACGGGGTCGTGGTGGTCCCTTCTTTAAATTGGAAACCACCCTGCTGCCCCGACTTTTGCATTTTGGGTCTGCGATAGGGGTGGCAGTTCTGATAGTTTTTGAATTGCTTTTAGGATTATCCTTCCATGGTCTGGGACAACAGGTTCTAGATTCTGTTAAATGACTGAGTAATTCTGTTAGATTGTCCTTTGGTCACACCCTTGGTCTTCTCTTGCAAAGATACTTCCTCATTTTTTACAATATGGATAGACTAAGAATTTTCCAGATATTTAAGTTTTGCTTTCCTTTTGATTAACAATTCCATCCTCTAATAATTTTTCTCTTCTCCCATTTTACTAGGAGCAGCAAAGAGGAAGGAGGCTACTCTTTCAAAGTGTTGTTTAGAAAGTGCTGCAGCCAAATATACAATTTCATCACTCACAAGTTCTACCTTCCCCAAAATATCAGGACAGGAACACAACTCAGCCAAGTTATGTGACACTTCATAACAAAGATAGACTTTTCTCCATTTTCCAATCCCATTCTCCCCAGTAGGATCTGGGAACACATCAGAATGGTCTTCACCACCCATATTTCTACCAATAGCTATTAATGATGACTTAGGTGGTATCTAAGCTTGAGGCTTTCCCTACTCTCCTTTTTTACTTTCTGAGTCCTTTCCAGAATTGCCAATCAAGACCCATAATTAAATGGACTAGAACAAAACATTTATTATTTTAAAATATCAACTCTGAACTAATCCAAACATTTGTTTATGTTATTCATACATAACATAAAATATATTTATTTTTTATTGAGTTAAATATATTCTAAAGTTCTAAACATTTTTGTTAATACTGTAAAATGTTCAAAATTGACTTCCTTGGGTCATATTATTAAAATCTCTGCTTTCTACTCACATTCTCACTCTGATAAGAACATTAATATTATACAATTGCAAAACTATATATTTTACCCCCTCTGACAGGCCACCTTGGGGCCTCTTGGGGTTTGCTTGCCTTCTGTCAGAGCGAGAAAGCTTTGCCGGCAAGAAGCAATGGAACTGAGGCTGGAGTGGGGCATGAATGAAAGCCAGCCCTCTGCTTCCTTGTGAAATCAAAAAACTGTGGTTTTCCCCTTTTTTTTTGCACTTATACAGCATTGCCCTTTGTTAACAATCTTTCTCCTGATTTTCCTTTGTTTAATCATTGCTTATTTCCCATCAACACCAACTTACATAAACTTGGAATTGGTGTTCCACCACTGGGAAATATTTACTAAACTCATGGCTAATGATGGTCTCTTATTTTTCTTTTTAATCTTACAGCACTCACTGAAACAACTCTCTATAAAGATACTTTCAGCTAATTCCTAGAGATGAAGAATCTGAGTATCAGAAAATTTAAGTGACTTGTCCAATGTCATGCAAAATATTTAAATATTTGCATTTGATCTATAACCCATTTAAACATTATGAGGTACATAAAAGTATACTGTAAATGATAAATTATCATGCAGTTGTATAACCAAAGTGTCAACTGGAGCTTCATTCCTTCTCTGGAAACTCAAATGTGCTTGGTTCACACACTCAATTTTAAAGTCTTTGAAGTACAGAGCTTCCTGTAATTTCTGCTAATTACCAGCACTTTCCCTCTAATGACGTATTCTGCATCAGGCTCCTGCTTCAACATGTGCTGTTCTGAAACAGCCAGTGTTGACTCAAATTCAGAATCACATTAGATTATCCCCCAAAATGTCATTCACCCAAAAGCAATAGGGAACCTCGCAAATTTTACTGAAAAGGTTACAAAAGCAGAGTGGTTTTAACCCCAAAGTTCACAACATAGAATTGCTATGAGACAGTCCAGTTCTCCTAAAAGTAGTTTCTAAGTTGCCCCATTACCAATTGGTAACTATTCAGCAACTGGGTCTCCTGGGGAAAAAACACCCTTATTTGTAGAGTCTGCCAATTAATGTGGTGTAAATATTCCACTGTAGTCATTTTCAAACTATCAATGACATCACTGAACTCAGAGCTGGAATTGAGAAAACAAGTGAGTAACTGGATCTTGCAAGCCATTGTGGACTAACTCCAGCACATTGCAGCCCATTACCAGAGAACTTTCTCAGTGAGCTTCTTCAATGCATGTCCCAGCCTCTCTTACTTCACTGGTCTTGCCCTGAATCATCACTACTAGCCTCATCCCTGGAGAACTTTAAAGTATTTCTTCCCTTGAATATGAAGCCTCTTAGCTTTTTTACACTCTATGACAGGTCTAAAACCTGTCCAACAAGTTCTTTGATTCACCTCCCTCACATGGGTAGAGACTCAATCAATCTTAGTAACTCTCTTGTGATCAGTAAACTGCAGCAGAAATGTCTCATTGTAACTTCCAAAACTAGTTATAAATAAGCCACACATTTCTGCCTTAGACTCTCTTGGGACATTCTTTCAGGTATATGCCAGCCACTGGAAGAAATTCTAAAATCCTGAAACTGCTGTGCTACAAAGACACATGGAGGTGATCCACTTGTCATCCCCGGCTGAGTTCCCAGCCAACAGCCACCATTCACCACCAGCCACATGAAGAAGCCATAGGATGGCCAGTTTAAATAGACTCCACATAATTGCAGCACTAGCCAACATCTGCCAGACACACAGGAAAACTTCCAATTCTGCCCTGCCTAGCCCTTTCCAATTTCCTTCCTCAACAATTATAAGCAAAAGAAAATGTGTTTTTTTCTTTAAGCTACTAAGTTTGACCTTCTTTCTAACTTACCCAAACTCATAAGAAAATGAGGTTGGGGTTATTGAGAGCAAGTATTTCTCTTGGTAATATCATATCCCTTCTTGAGAAAATGCAGAATAAAGAACAAGTTTAAAATGTGGTGAAGAAAAGTCAGCTGTAAAAAAGATCAAGTTTCTAATTTTGAAACTGGTATGATTTCACAGGGCAGCCTTAAATACCTTCTTTGACAAACCTAGATATGCTCCCTATTTCCCACCCCAGGTTTCTGCTCAACCAAATCCTTTACCCTATCTAAATGTTTCCCAGGAGTAAGGAAGAGGATACAAATGATAGGATGAATTCTACTGCAATTGCTTAGGCAGAGATATGACAGGGAATGAATGGGGATGATAATACACAATTACTTTTTTTTTTTTTTTGTGGCTGGAGAATCCTAGACCAGATAATGCAAGAAGGCTCTTCCAGCTTGAGAATTCACTGACTCACTTTCTTCTTCATAGATTTTCTGGTACTAAGTTTTTCAACCTTTGCTTTCCTGAATTCTATCTGAAGTTTTTATAAAGTTTTGAATTGACATTGCTTTCCATCTTCATTCACAAAGATATTTCCTTTTGTTCTAACTGTAGAACTAATCCCAGTCTGTAAAACACCCAGACTAATGGAGACGAAAATTCTCTTGTGTTGCTTAAGGAGAACTGAGTTGCACATAGAATGCCATCCACAAGGGGCAAGAATACCAGCATGACTACCCACAATCTTTCATCTAATATGGCATACATTTAAACTGGAATCAGGCCAGGTCCTACTGTTACCACTTTAACCAGGGACCATAAACCAGTGTGTGAAGAGTGAGGAGTCACATATTTGTGTGGTAACACTGTGCCTGCAGGATGCTTGTGATAAGTGGCAGAAGCTTCATTACCATAAAATGACAATGAGAAATTAATTCTAATTATCCTGATCATTGAACATTTAAACGAAAATGAAGACACTAAAGGTAACTAATTGCTAGGAAGGCCATTGCTGAAGATGAATTATGAAAGATTTTAAACAAAGACGTTGTAAAACAATGGGTTCCAACTGCCCAAATCTTGTCAGTTTGTTTATTTGTACTGATCACATGGAATTTACACACCAGAAAATTGGGAATGATTTGGTTGTTAAAAGAATGTGAAAAAGGTTCTGTGGAGAAGTGCACCCTCATTTATGTTTCTGAAAATAAGAAGTCACAGTTAATTATTTCTAAACTAGTAACTTTATCAATTTTCAGACCCAAATATAAATTAGAAACAAAGAATATGAAGAATGGGAGAGTTACATAGGAAACTTACTTCTGAATAATTGTCAGCTTCATGAATGTAATTTCACTGAACAGTTAAATAGAGCAGTTCTGGAAATATCATCATTTAAAAAGATGGCAATGGAAAAAGAAGAAATGATAATCTAATTAAATGACTCTGTAATTAGTAAACAAGTTAGGAAAATATAATTTTACTGACCAGAAAACCTAAATTTGGTAATCTTTTCATACTCTAGAAGAGTAATGCTCTTATTTGCATTTCCCCAACCTGTTCTTCAGAAGTAACTCAAGAATTACATTTTCATCTTCAAGAAAATGAAAGAAGGCTTGACCAAGCAAAAGTTGTGTTATTCAACAGCTAAGCAGTAAGATAAAAAGGTGAACTTTTGGAAATTTGGTATGCATCAGTTCAAACGTATTTCCTACCTGAATCCAAACAGCTTTCACATTGTAAAGATTCAGGCTCATGCAGAAACTTGTTTGTGAAATAAATTAAAACAAAATAAAACAAAACAAAAGCAGCTGCTCTTTATTGGGATATATCTCAGCACATTGCATTGCTGAATTTAGGTTGAGCAAAAAGTCAAATATTGGAACTGTTAATAAGCATTATGTTTATTTGAAATTACCTGTGAGCTAAGTTGATTAGGGATCCCTTGCTTTGAATTTAACGAATTATTTATTTCTTTTAAACTGACAAGAAATAGCTGCATTTTCACTAAGGTCTATGTCAAATTCTTGAGTTCAAATGCTTTTTATACATAAACTTTATGTTTTTGATACCACCCTCGCTAGGATTCTTGCATTACTTCCTGGTTACTTGTAAAACCGAGACTCATCTAGTTATATTATTTGAAGTTAATAAACCACTGAAGGACCTTCAAATATTGTTTATGATTCACTAACAGTGATTCCCTCTTTCCAAGTCACTGCATTTTGCACTGGCCGATTCAAATATCCACACTCCTTACCGTTAGTTGAAACAAATGAAAACAACATGTGTAAAAAAGCTATGGAACATCAGCAATACAATGTATTTCAACCACGAGTATGAAGGAAGGGGCCATTTCTATCTTGTCTACTATTGCATTTGGAGTATATTAGTTATAGTCTAAAATCATATACAAAATTATCAATAATTGCTTCTTAATAAATGAAGTCTCAGTTCATTGTCCCAGTGTTGTTTATTTCTTATGTTACTCTTTCATTTATTCATTTAATTCTTTACTTAGACACTCAATCAGGCAACAAACATATATCTCTTGAGTGGGCATGGCCAGTCAATTACAAAAGAAATTTATTACATTTGAAGAGCTGCATTATCAGGGATCATCAATACAATGCTCAGTCAAGTACGAATAGAATATCTTAGCCTACAGAAGTGAAGTGAACCAAGATTCCAGTTAGAACCTGATCTGCCGGAGCAGAATATCCAACTGAGTCCAACGTGGGGCATTTTCATCATTTTAACAATATCATACCTATCTGCAAATGGGCTAAATAGTGATATGAGACAGATCTACACAAGATTTAGTTAACTCCACTTTCAGGCAGGGTCAGCAAAGAAGTTCAAGAGAAGTTGGTGCCTGGGACAAAGGCATAAACATGAGTCTGTGCTCCTGATTTAGAGTGTAAGGTCTTCAGTTGAATCCAGCCTTTGTAGGCAATATTTATTCATGTGATTGCATTTTTATGTGGTTTTTCCTGTTCCACATCTTCACCACCTGGAAAAACTAAGAAAAGGCAGAGTCTTGCTCATGATGACTTAAAAGCCTGGGTGCAGAGAAAACAGATTTTTCTGGGATCTCCTTGACTCTACTACTATAGCTGGAGGAGTTGGGCCTAACCCAGGGATAAGTGGAAGAGTTAGCGCACACTTCTATTGCATGCCGGGCTCTATGGTAGGCACTGAAGATGCGGCATTAAAGACATCCCTGCTTTGGCCGGATGCAGCGGCTCACGCCTGTAATCCCAGCACTTTGGGAGGCCGAGGTGGGCAGATCACCTGAGGTCAGGAGGTCGTGAGGCCAGCATGTCCAGCATGGTGAAAGGTCATCTCTACTAAAAATACAAAAATTAGCCAGACATGGTGGCGGGCACCTGTAATCCCAGCTACTCGGGAGGCTGAAGTGGGAGAATCGCTTGAACCTGGGAGGTGGAGGTTGCAGTGAGCTGAGATCACGCCACTGCACTCCAGCCTGGGCGACAGAGCAAGACTCTTTCTCAAAAAACAATAAAATAAAATGAACAAATAAATAAATAAATAAAGACACCCCTGCTTAGGGAGGCTGAGGCGGGCGGATCAGAAGGTCAGAAGATCGAGGCCATCCTGGCTAACAAGGTGAAACCCCGTCTCTACTAAAAATACAAAAAATTAGCCAGGCGTGGTGGTGGTCGCCTGTAGTCCCAGCTTCTCGGGAGGTTGAGGCAGGAGAATGGCGTGAACCCCGGAGGCGGAGCTTGCAGTGAGCCGAGATCGCGCCACTGCACTCCAGCCTGGGTGACAGAGCGAGACTCCGTCTCAAAAAAAAGAAAAAAAAGACTGCATAGACTTTGAGCTAAGCTAAATGAAAGGAAAAGGAAAAAGATTCCAGGGAAGAAGTTTTGAAGTGAAGGTTGATTGACTTAAGTAAACTCCAGAGTAACTGACATAGAAAAAGAGGCTAATAGAAATTGTAGGACTAAGGAAGAAATTTGATCGCAACTTCTGACAGGCTCTGAAGGTGCCTGTCCTTAAAAGAACAATACTTTTAAGTGTTTAGGCATTAGCTATAGAAGAAAATATCCCAAATCTAGGTGGAGAATTCAAAGAAGAATGGCTACTAAGTGGTGAAACATATATTTGAACCTAGGTTTTCAAGCAACATTCTCTATTCTGTCTTTATAAGCAAAGCTGCAGTCTCTGGAGTCAGACAAGCTTGTTTCTAAGCTCCTGCTTCTCCTCTCACTGGCTATGTGGGTTTGTCAATATTACTTAAAATTTTTTGGTATATGTTTCCTCAGCTCTAAGAAGACACAATTATAATTACTTACACAACTGCTATGATAAATGTCTGCCTAGTCTAAATAATTTAACATAAGATCTAGTCTATACTAAGTGCTCCAAAAATGTGCTCCTGTCTTAATTTTTATGAAGTGGCATTGACAATTGGCTGGAAGCTAACGGAACTAGAAGTATCCATAGATTTAATTAAATATTATCTATAATAGGCTTTGATGTTTTGTTAGCCCCAGGATCAATCTTCTTATGGCAACAGGAAATTCACATATGGCTTGAGGGAACGCACCATCTCCTCTGCATAGGTCAAGCTGACTACATCTCCAGCCCCGGGAGATGGAGACAGGTGTGAACAGAAGGACTCTAAGAGGACATCATTTTCACAGACTTGGAGACATGTAGCTGAGTTCAAAGCCCATACTGCTTGCCACACAACAGCAAATAAGTCAAGAGACAAGATGTTGCAGCAAGGAAGCTGACTTTATTTTGGAGGACAAGCAAACTGAGAAGATGGAAGATTAGTGTCCTAAAGAACCATCCTAATAGAATTTTAGGAACATTTAAGTTTGGGGAAGAGGAAAGAGGGAAGGAGTTGAAATCACGAGGCAACCAATGACCACATATATCTGGGCAGCAATGAGGGTCCAATGGAGTGGACTGTGAAGTTCTTCATCCTTGGTCAGGTCACAATGCTCTTATAATCTTTAACCTAATGTTCTTAATTATGTGTACGCCCTTCTTGTTTCCTCCGTGGTTAGTTTTGGGAAGGAATTATTACAAACCTTGCTTTAAAGTGAAACTATAAACTAAATTCCACCCGTAGCCAGCTTGGCCTACATGCAGAGATAAGCAAAAGCCGTTAACCTAAAGGTGGGCTTAGGAGCAAAATGGGGCCAGTCATGCCGGGCCTCCTTTTCACTGCTTCAATGATGGAGCTTCAAAATCAGCACTTTCCAAGTCTTTGGGCATCATGATTGGTTCTAAGGTGGGCTCTTTCACAAGTTAGTCTAACTCGGGGCTTTTGTGACCCCATTCTGGGGTTTCAGTTATGTCCATCAGGAAGTGTCACCCTCTTTCTGAGTAGGAACTGGAGCTTAAGTATAGAGCTTACATAGATGAAGCTTAATCAATACATATAATATGAGTTAAATTAGACTCTGATTATGATCTTTGAGGCCTTAGATAAGCCACTCTTGAGGATCTACTCCTGAACTGTTACTCATACATGCCAATAAAGTATCTTTTTATGCTTAAGGAAGATTGAGTTGGGCTTTCTCTCACATGTCACAGAAAACATCCTAACTCACTCATGGACGGCACACTCTGTAATTACTATTGGTCTTAATAAATCAAGCTTCATCCGGGTTGGAAACCATCATTCTCAGCAAACTAACACAGGAACAGAAAACCAAACACCACATGTTCTCACTCACAGGTGGGAGTTGAACAATGAGAACACAAGGACACAGGGAGGGGAACATCACACACTGGGGCCTGTCGGGGGGTGGGGGACTAGGGCAAGGATAGCATTAGGAGAAATACTTAATGTAGATGACAGGATGTTGGGTGCAGCAAACCACCACGGCACGTGTATACCTATGTAACAAACCTGCATATTCTGCACACGTATCCCAGAAATTAAAGTATAATAATAATAATAATAATAAAAGAAATCACATTATCTTTCTCTCATCTTATTCTTCATTGAATATGGTCCCAAAGTGGGCTGTGTACCCTAACCCACATTTGTTATTGCCCCCTTGCTGATTTCTCTGATTTGTTTTTCTTTTAAGTGGAATAATAGATTAAAATCATGCAGTAATAAATGAAATAGATTTATAGTGACATTTTAAACGGAATTACCATTATAATTGTCTTTAAGAAAAAGAATTCTAGGGCCGGGCGTGGTGGCTCACACCTGTAATCCTAGCACTTTGGGAGGCCAAGACGATGGATCACCTGAGGTCAGGAGTTCGAGACCAACTTGAACGACAGGGTGAAACCCCATCCCTACTAAAAATACAAAAACTGGCCGGGCATGGTGACTGGCGCCTGTAATCGCAGATTCCCAGGAGGGTGAGGCAGGAGAATCACTTGAACCAGGGAGGCTGAGTTTGCAGTGAGCCTAGGTTGCACCATTGCACTCCAGTCTGGACCACAAAGTAAGACTGTTTCAAAACAAAACAAAACAAACAAACAACAACAACAAAAAAAAAAAAACGAAAAAGAATTCTAGGCTTTGGGTTATAGCCCCTTGCTATTTTAGGAACACAAATGGCCATTTATACATATGTATTATTTTCCTTGTTGCCTAAAAACTGTGTCCAAAGGCTAGAAAGCGCTGGGACATTAACTTTAGTGAGTAAATATCTGCTTCTTGTTGGCGAAGGACCTTGGGGCTTTAGTGGCAGGTAGTATGTAAATGTGAAATTGGTCTGGAATGAAAAGAGCTTAGAGCTCTCTCAAAGAGCAAAGCTATTAACCTGAGGGTTCTCATCGAATTCTAGCTCGGGCAGGCTTGCCATGCAGATTTAAACCAGTGCCTTCTCTTCTGAAAGCAGCATGACTCAGGTGAGCAGATTGCATGTCGTGTTCCGGTGCTGCACTGCTAGTTGACATTTACTGTGCTCCGACATGACTAAGGCAGAAGTAATGCATTCATCAACATGCTGTATAGAACAGAGGTTCACATTCTACCCATGGGGCTACTGGTGCTTGTGAACTTGAGCTCTAGAGACAAGTAAACCGATGCCTAAAGCCCACAGGCAATCTCTCTGTGGGAGTAAGGGATTCTGGTTCTCTGGTTTTAGATCGACTCCATTGCTCTTCTGTCCTTAGTAGTGTATAAGGCGAATCAAAGGCATAGAAAATGAGTTGGATTTAATAACAAGCATATCAGATAGTGTTAGGAAATTAAATAGCTGGCTAATAGTTAAACATTTATAAGCACACTCTATTTTTTCTGCATTTAAAAAAAGAGATACTGATCAATGAATGCAAAAAGAGACACTGATAAAAGATGTAGTAGGAACCAGAATACAGAAAGAATGAGTGCTCACGTAGATTGATTGAGAACCAGGAAAACCTAACATATATTTCAAAAAAAGAAAAAGTTGGAATTATTCGGCCAGGGCATGAATTATAATATAAGAAAAAGCTATTGAATTGGATCAACTTGTTTTTATGATCTTAAGTTGTATCAGAAGGGTACAGTAATCTCTTGATCAAAAGTGGTTATTTAAAGATTGAGTGACTAGTCCTGAGATATAAAAAATGAGAATAAACTTGAATGATTTCAGAACGTCTTCCAGAAAGTTTAGAAATATAGGGAAAAAGAGAGGTGGCATCATAAACTTAAAATTAGATACAATCAGTCTAAAATGGCAGTAAAGCATGTTCAGACATACAGAATACATTCCCAAAATTTGGATCCTAGATGGTCTGAAAGGCAGCGGAATCCCAGGGGTGAGCCCAGAGTCTTCTGTTTTTCAGCAGCTCTAGACCTTTTGAATAGTTTCCAGGGTAACAACTAACAGCTCCCTCATCACGTTCAACTTGGTGGAAACATTACTAATGTCAATGATAGGACACTTTCTTGTCTACATAATAGCAAATTCATTGATTTGGTTTTAAACTACTGCTCAGCGGGGCACAGTTGTCTATTTTTGAGTGAACAGCTTTAATAAAACTTTTTATTAGGTTTTCAAATATGCAGAAATGTATTGCCTAAACAAACATTTTGGGGGAGACAATTACTTAATTATAATGACAGTTAAGTCACACTGGAAAAAATTACCAACATTTTTCTGCCAGTAATTCGAAACACACATTTGGAATTTTATGGTATATTTAATGAAAATAAAATTTATATAATAATACCAAGAATATCCCTGTAAGTGATGAAAAGCAGAAGAATATTGCTCTCATTTTCTAAGCCAAAAGGCTTAGAGTTCTACAATATAAGAAAATGTTACTTTGCACCAGCTTTTAAAACAATATAATTATTTATTATGGATCTAAACTAATACAATTTCTCTTCCAAAAATATTTCAAAGTATTTCCCCTTTGGAGAAGGTATACTTTAAACTATTTTTAAAAGCTAGGAAATGCAAACATATATATATATGTATATACAGGGTGGAGTTTGTGCATTTCATGAAGGAATTCAGAGTAAGAATATAAAATAAAAGAGTGTAATGCAAGATATGGCAACAGATTTCTTAATTTTGAAACAGGTCAATCAGCTCTACTATATTCTGTTTCTACAATCGATAGCTCTCATTCCTGCTCCTCATCCTGCAAATGTATCTCTCATGCCAAGCAAGAGCCAGTGGGAGAACATAGATCACATAGCTGGTCGGTGATGCCCCATCAGCCCTAATGGAGAATCCAGTCAATATTCATGCACCATGTAACAGCTGATCAGCCACAACATTAACCCAACCATAAAACATAACATTTAAAAGCCAGATAAAAATATTTTCCCCATTTTATTTTTTACTGTACTACAAATATTGTCAGGAAAACAATCCATTAACTCACTGCTCTTCTAAAAGGATCGACTTAGTAGCCCATAACATTGTCCCAGGTAAATGATGCAGGTTTTGTGTATTGTGTTTGTATATAGCCTGAGGGCCCTCACGGATGAAAAGGGATCCATTTTTTTCCACTTTTATTTTAAATTCTTTTGTTCATTTTATCAACAGTCAAAGGTTTGGAATGTAAAATTAATGAGCAGGTCTGTAATCTTTCAGTGAAATCTTAAAGGTCCACTTTTCCACAATCACAAAGAGATGGAAAGGAGGCCAGGCTACATTTTTCTTCCTGAAGCATGGTTGATGATTTAAACTCACTAAGAAATAAATTTTTTTTTCTTAAGGAACAAATAAGAGCCTTGTGCTCACTCTTGCTTCACATTTGAATATGACTCTCATACTGTTGTTCTAAATGAAATTTGTCATGCATCCTTAAACAGATGGATTTTGAGTTTCTGTTGTGGAAATGTATTCATCCAGTGTTAGTATGAGCTAGGCTGGTATTTAGAAGGAGCCAAAGGTTTTGACTCTTGGGAGACATAAGACATAGCTTGCCCTAGCTCCCCAGCTCAGGGAAAGAGGAAGAACAACCTTTAACCCACAGAACTGTGCATAGCCCCCACTAGAAACCTCGGGCTCCTCTTCTGTCCTCAAGTCCATGCATTCATTAAAAACTCACTTGCAGCCGGGCGCGGTGACTCACACCTGTAATCCCAGCACTTTGGGAGGCCAAGGCGGGTGGATCGCAAGGTCAGGAGTTCAAGACCAGCCTGACCAACATGGTGAAACCCCGTCTCTACTAAAAATACAAAAATTAGCAGTGCATGATGTCATGCACCTATAATCCCAGCTACTCAGGAAGCCGAGGCAGGGGAATCACTTGAACCCAGAGGCGAAGTTTGCAGTGAGCTGAGATCACGCCACTGTACTCCAGCCTTGGTGAAAGAGCGAGACTCCATCTCAAAAAATGAACAAACAAACAAAAAAACAAAAAAAAACCTCACTTGCCTTTGACTGCAGTCCATACCCACCTTGTGTCTCACATAGGGAAGGCCTAGAGATCCCTGATAGAGCAACTTAGGGTCACGTGTCTAAACTTGGACGTGGTGATATAAAAGTGGAGTCTTAGTCCACATTAAAAATGAGGAAGCTACGGCAGAGAAAGTTCAGTGACTGGCTGCAAGTGACAACATGCATTACTTAGAGTTCAGCATAAACCTTGCCATCCCTCAGTGCCTATTTCTGATGTTTCCCAAAGAAGCAGATGAAAATGATATTTTTAAAAACCCAACAAATTATGTTTCTCTGGGTGAAATAGCTTTTAGTATACTTCATTTTTTTTGCTACGTTCTTTAACAAAAAAGCAATAAAAAAAAACCCTTCATAACAACAACAATAAAAAAAAACACATAAAAAAAGGAAACCAGAGCCAAAAGCATGCATCAAAATATGCAGCTATTAAATATTACCATTTTAATTTGGGAAAAAATAATGAGGGTTTTGCAATAGTTTCAATGCCTTAACTTCGAGATCAGATAAGAAATAGCAAAGAAGAAAGAAAGTGAATTGAGATGGTAATTTCCCGGTCAGTGACCTACATATGCCAGGACTGAGCACTCTAAAAGTGCAAAGAAAACCAGTGCCACTCATTGGAGAAAAATGCACATAGATTTTAAAATGTTGGTAATCATTCGTCACACATTTATTAAAGTAATTAACATTGAGGAAAGTAGTATAGTCCATGTTGTAATTTTTTTTTATTTCTTGACCTTACACTTTCTTCTCGAGAGTGGTAAGTTTTATTTTGACCTTTTACTGTATTATTCTTAAAATTAGCTCATCAGCCTTCTATTAAATAATTCTTTTATTAAGAGAGGGTATAATTATTAATGCAAATTGTGAGGTTGAAAGTTGAGATATGTGCAGCCTTTTTCAAGAGTTTATCCTTTGAAATGTTCAAAATAACATATTGACAGAGGTGTGTGCTTTAAAGAGACTTTAACAAAACATCTGTCATAGGATTGTTGCTATAGAAACTGGTTTATTAAACATTAAAGTTAATAAATTCAAAAACCACTTAGGCTGGCATGAAAGAAAGAAGTTTATAAATGTAATTGAGGTACAATAGGAAAATAGCAATCTCACAGCAGAGGGATCTCCTTCATGTCGCCTTCTGAGATCTGAAAGATCAGCGGAAAAATGTCATGGTTGATATTTGGGGTATGGGAAAGACATAGAGAAAGTGAGTTGTTAGACACCTGGGATATTTTCAAACACTTGTGTAGGTATTTATTTTTCTCAAACCTTTTAAAGGTTGCTATTTCCAAACTAGGTCAAATCAGGGTCTCATTATAACTTTTGTGGGAACTAAGTACTTTTGTTTTCATTGGGCTCTGGCATCATATTGATATCAACATTGAACATTTTTAAAGGTTAAATATTTTATTTTTTCTGTTTCAGACAAAAATTTAATAGATTTTTATTGTATGTATTAGAGTTCTCTAGAGTGACAGAACGAATATGGTAGATATATATATATATATATATATGTATATATATATATATATATATATATATGTATATAGGAGTTTATTAAGTATTTAAGTATGAACTCACACGATCCCAAGGTCCCACAATAGGCCATCTGCAAGATGAGGAGAAAGGAGAGCCAGTCCAAGTCCCAAAGATGATGAACTTGGAGTCCGATGTTTGAGGGCAGGAAGCCTTCAGCATGAGAGAGATGTAGGCTGGGAGGCTAGGCCAGTCTAGGCTTTTCACGTTGTTCTGCCTGCTTAATATCCTGGCCATGCTGACAGCTGATTAGATGGTGCCCAGCCAGATTAAGGGTGGGTCTGCCTTTCTGAGTCCACTGACTCAATGTCAATCTCCTTTGGCTACACCCTCACAGACACAGTCAGGATCAATACTTTGCATCCTTCAATCCAATCAAGTTGACACTCAGTATTAACTATCACATGGTTTCTGAAAATTTAATTTTATTTTGATTTGAGAATAAAAAAGCTTTCTCTTTGACGCTGAAAGTTTTCTTTTTCTTTTTGTTAAAATATATTAAAATATTTATATGGATTTCTAAAATATTGTGAGCCCCAGGAACTGTGGTTAATGTGCCCGATGGGTAAGTTGTCCTCTTCTTTTCTCACAAGAGTATGCTTTAGTTAGCAATTTCATCCATGGCTTCAATACCACCTATATGCAGACAATTCACAAATGTCTGTACACAGGTCAGGCTTCCCTTGTGGGATTTTGATCTGCCTTTCCAAAAGTTCAATACCTTCTGAACATCTTTTAAATGTCTCAGTGGTCTATCAAACTCTACATACATAAAAACTGAAAGCATGCCTGACCCAACAGCAAATATTCTTCCTAGAATACTTACCTCAGTTCATCAACCATAATCCTTCCAATTTGCCAAAACAGAAACAATTGCAATAACCCTAAATTATCTCTGATGCTGAAAGCAGGATACATTTGTATTCTTATGTATGTTTATAGGCATCCATGTTCTCCAAATTGTCTAAATTGAATACTATTAGATAACAACAAAAATAGTTTATTAAAACGAATATATCTGAGAAAGTAAAAATAAAAATATTAGTCAATTTCTAGGAAAATTATTAAGAAATATCGAACTCTTGTCTTCTGCTAATACATTAATATAAGAGTAAATGTTGAAAAACCCATATTGGTCACCCCTTATTCCAATATAATTCTGGTTTCAATTAAAATGAAGAAATGATCTATCTTTTAATATGATGTAATATCTATGTGAAAGTAAAGAAAAAAACTATGATATTTCCCTTATTTTGTAGTTTTTAAAATGTCACTGTTATTGAGTTAATTGTGTCCCTCTAAGATTCATATGTTGATTTCCTAGCCCCAAAGGCAATTGGAGATAGGGCCTTTAAGGCGATAATTAAGGCTAAATGAAGTCATAAGAGAGGGACTCTAATCTGATAGGACTGGTGTCCTTTTAAGAGGAAAGGAGACCAGAGATCTTGGAAGGTCCATTCTGGGACACGGTGAGAAAGTGGCCCTCTACAAGCCCAGAAGTGCCCTAATGAGAAACCAACCCTGACGGCAACAGAGATCATCAGGCACATTAACCACAGTTCCTGGGGCTCACAATATTTTAGAAATCCATATAAATATTTTAATATATTTTAACAAAAAGAGAAAAACTTTCGGGGTCAAAGAGAAAGCTTTTTTATTCCCAAATCAGAATAAAATAAAATTTTCAGGGACCATGTGATAGTTAATACTGAGTATCAACTTGATTGGATTGAAGGATGCAAAGTATTAATCCTGGGTGTGTCTGTGAGGGTGGTAGATATTATCATTACCCCAATTTTACAGATGAGAAAACTGAAGTATGCAAAAGTTACTAACTTGCATGAAATTGTCAGGGTACTAAAAATTAGAAGAACTAACTTCAGAGACTCTCAAGAAACTCAATGTTGGCAGGTTCCTTCCAGTACTTCTGAACAGTGCTCTCATTTTCCTCCCGGAAAATAGGCTCCTGGAGATGTGGAAAGACAGTCCCAGAGCCACTCATTTGCAAGCAGGCCTGAGTTCTGGACACCATGGGCTCTTCAAACTTCCTTCTAAATTCATCTCTGCACCCTCTGAGGAGGAAGATGAGTTCCAATCACGCGGAAAGAGGAATGGTAAGTTGTTTTGGTGAGCTTGGTAAACCCCCTGCTCTTAGGCTGAAGAGATGGTGCTGTATGCCTGGCATAGTCATCAGTTTCTCCTCACACTGTGGTTGGGATCCTGTCTCTATGGCTTTATGGATGTCCTCTCTGTTCTTTGTGTCTACACAAGAGCTACCCAAGTCTTCTTACATCAAATCCCGGTAAGATCAAATACAAAACTCGTGAAAAATGAATACTGCCACTGAAAAGCATGCACACACCTAAGATTACTTATTATAGAACACTGTGCACTCCTCAGTATCAGATTTCTTTATGTTCGGGAAGTCTGGTAAGATTGTTCACTAAAATCTCATTACTGTTCAGTGATTTTTGATAAAAAGAGCATCTCCTCTGAGTGTCAAAACAAAACAGCATCTTCCATATGTGTCAAAATAAAAGAAATCGGAGGGGTAGGGGGGAGCGATAAATTCATATTATCACAGGGGATATTTTCAAACATAAACTCATTCATTAAATAATCATTGCAAATCACTGAAGCTATGATAACAGGCCTCAGTTTCCATAACAATATTTTTATTCATGGCTCTGAAGTTCTCCTGCACATTTTAATGAAGTATATGAAAGAATTGCGGGCATCTAAGCAGAAATCCCACATTCTGCTACCCGCCACGCACTGTTTATTTTTTAATAAAACTCTCCGTATGACAACAGGCAAGGTTAACTGGGTAGTTTCCTATTTATAGGGCAATCAACACCACGGCGAATATGAAGACTGTTTCCTTTCATCTTTAGCACTGATGCAACAAGTCAGCAAAAAGCTTCTGCCCCAGTCCTGTTAGGTGTTCTGAGATCAAAAGCACTGAGAAAACAAATATCAGACATTCACATAAAGCATGCTATTCTCCACTTCACTGGGACTTGCCATCACTCGCATTTCACGTTTCTGCCTTAAAATTCTGTTGCTCATTTTTCCAAAAAAAAAAAAAATTACGAAATTCTATAGTTCCTTTTCCTACATGTGGCTGACATGTCTAATAGCTATGTGAAGAAATGTTCAAAGCCCTCAACATAATGAAGAACATGTGGCTAATTATCATTACTTTTAATTTATGGCTAAGGCTCTCTGTCTACAAAACAACCAAAAACTAATTTGAAAATGAAAAAGGTGAATTATCGATGTGGTTGTTATAAAAGATGACTAACCACTAGCATGTCTTGATTAAATGAACTGGTTCTTTTTTCTTTTCATTTTTTAATTTGGCTTACTCTGTATACAAATAGAAGAATCAAACCCATATTAAGGTGGTAAAACTGCTCAGACAAATGTTTCCTTATCCAAATCCCAAGAAGTGCCCACTCCACTCTTGGCTGGAGCAGACTGACAGCTCTGCCTGACATGCAGCCTGCTCAGCCCAACTGTGGTCACCACAAAGTTGAACCCTGCTGAACTAATCTGAAGGGTGTTGCTTTCTGAAGAACCATCATTAGCCAAATATGAGATTGCCCTCAGCATTCAACAGCCTGTTGACATCACAGCACACATGGGCAACGAACCACTGAATCAACCATTCTGAGGGTATGGCTGAGATAATGTCCCAAACTAAGCATTTAACCACTAGAGGAGGGTCAGTGATGGCTAATAAGATGAGAAATCTAAATGAGAAAGGGAGGGAACATCTTGATTGCAATCTGCAGTTCAGTTATATTCATTAAAAAAACCTATGTTTATGTTTGAAATATGTCCCATTCAATGAAATTGAATTTTACAAGCAGTCATGGGTTACCAATTGGCCTAAATAGAATAATCGTTTAGCAGTTAAATTAGCTCTTTTTGTTTGACCTTGTCCCTTAACTCTTTTTCAGTCATTTATTTGATTGGCTTATGGAACCCCTACTCTGTTCCAGGCTCTCCCCTATACACTAGGGATTCAGAGGTGAAGGAAAACATTCTTTTATTTTTTTTTTCTTGAGTGATCTCGGCTCACTGCAACCTCCACCTCTAGGGTTCAAGCAATTCTCCTGCCTCAGCCTCCGAGTAGCTGGGATTACAGAAGCCAGGCTAATTTTTGTATTTTTAGTAGAGACGGGGTTTCACTACATTGGTCAGGCTGGTCTTGAGCTCCTGACCTTGTGATCCGCCCGCCTCGGCCTCCCAATGTGCTGGGATTCCAGACGTGAGCCGCGGCGCCCAGCCCTGGAACACATTCTTGTCATGAAGTTTCCATTCACGTGGAGAAGACATGCAATGAACAAACACATTCACATTACGCCTGGTGATGGTAAGTGTCTGAAGAAAAGCCTACAGCAGGATTCAAGGAAAAATAGTAGCTCAGTCCAGCATAGTACCAATGTTATTTAGCACAGGGTGATGAATAAAAATCTTTCTGGTAAGATGATTGTCTAGCAGAGTTCTGAATGAAAGAGAGAGAGGAAAATTCTGATATCTGAAAGAAGAGAGTTTCATATAGGAAAAATAGGAAGTCCAAAGGCCTTCACCTACTCCCTGTGTAACAGAAAGGACATGTTTCTCACAGGGGCTGGAGAGAGAAGTCAAATTTGTGTACAAAAGTAATTAGAATGATGGGAAACTTCCACCCAGGGGACAGTATAGACAGTGCTAGGGTGAAGACAAGATTAAAAGGATTTTATTAAATTTGAGGTATAATACAAGAATTCATAAAAAGTCAAGCATTGAAAACTTGAGGATGGGATCCAAATTCAGAACGATAAATAATTTAAAATGAGACCAGACATAACATTAATTTCAATGGGAACAAATTAATAAGAAATGAAAATAACAATTAAGTAATTTGATTAAGTTTCTGCATTCCTCATAACAATTCTGTGAGATTGGTATTTACTATTATATTCTCAGTTAAGAAATCACGAAAATGACATTATGGAAAAAGATCATACCAGTCCAAACCTTACCCACGTGTGTGCGATGAGAGATGGTGCAGATTTTTTTGCTAGTCCTGCCATGGATAAATGACTGTCCAGCCTTGGTGACTCCCTTCTCCACTGGAATCTACTTGAAGCAGCTTTCTGGGACTTCAGGATACACATGGGACTTCAGGATACACATAAGCAGTGCTACGTCTGCTGTCTTGCAACACCTGCACTGGAGTCCTCAGCTGAGACCTAAGAAGTACCAGTAACCTGAGACTGCCATGCTGGTGAGGTCATGTGTAGCTGTTGCCATATCCACTCTGAGACTGCCATGCCGGTGAGGTCATGTGTAGCTGTTGCCATATCCACTCTGAGACTGCCATGCTGGAGAGGTCGTGTGTAGGTGTTGCCATATCCACTCTGAGACTGCCATGCCGGAGAGGTCGTGTGCAGGTGTTGCCATATCCACTCTGAGACTGCCATGCCGGAGAGGTCATGTGCAGCTGTTGCCATATCCACTCTGAGACTGCCATGCCGGAGAGTTCATGTGCAGCTGTTGCCATATCCACTCTGAGACTGCCATGCTGGAAAGGTCACATGTAGGTGTTGCCATCTCCATTCCCAGGTGAGCCCAGACCTCCAGCATCCCTGTCAAGGGCCAGACACACGAGTGATGCCATCCTTGGTCCCTGACACCGGCCTGCCCACCAGCTATCTGTCTCTGAGTGAACGCTGTGAATCCCCGTAAAACAGAAGAGTCTCTCAGCTGAGTGCTGCCAGTTTCTGACCCACAAAATTGAGAAATGTGCAAATAATTGTTCTTTAAGTCTACCATGTGCTGTGGTCATTTGTAAGATAGCAGTAAATGACTGGTTTACCAGGTAACAAGTGCATTCAAACACTGCTTTTCAAATTCTAAACGTTGGCCCTTTTTTCCTGCTTCTAATACAGAAACAACAAATTTAAGGAAAAGGGAAATCATGTAAGAATGGTTAAAAAGTTACTATTGTCTGTGATCAGGCAAGCTAATCACAAGTCAAGCAAATAATCCCAGAAGAAAGAAATCATGAAATTGTACGTCTAAATAACCTTACACTGTAGCATAGTCATGTAGACTTGGAAACTGAAGCACTAGACCAAGAATGAAGAACTGAAGAGAAAGAAAATTGTCAGTGTTTACAGGGCACTAACCAACAGAGAGAGAGAGAGCGATTCCAACCTTAGGGAATGACCCTAAGAAACAGTTTCTCAAAATCAGGGTGAGTCAGAAACTGAACTTTCTGTAACCCTCTGTAATATCTGTAAGAAAGATTCATTTCACTAGCAGCTCTGAAATACTTAGGTTGGTTCTCAAAGCCAACTGATGCCAGGAAGCTAGTGGAGGGCTTAAAATCCTCCTCAACAGCTCATTGGAATTCTTTGAATATGATTCTGTGGATCAGCCTACTTGGACTCAAGTAAACTGGAAGATATTTTAAAAAATTAAATTAAATCAGCATCTTAGAATTCATAAAATCAGAGGACAGAATTCCAGAGCAACACAGGGTTAGCCACACAGAATTATAACTACACTGGGATTATACAGTCAAATTATTTGGCAAATAATGTATTTAACAGCAAATCAATTACTCTTTAATTTAAGTAACTCACTTTCATGATAGGGTCAAAGAGGAGATTCGATGTTTTAGAGTTTGGAAAGTCTAGCGTAGCTGTTTGTTTTTGCTTGTGTTTTGTAATTGGGTTGGCATCATAGACATAGCATCTCTAGAGGACCAGCTCCACAACTTCCCAGGCGTGGAGAGAACTTGGGAAGAATTCAAAGGAGAACCACAAATAGGTTTAACACATTTTAAGAACTGCGAAGTAAGACCTAGCCTAGTAGGAAATGTAGTTCTCACTCTTAATAAACAAGAAAATCAGAAATATGGCTAGGCATCAAAAAGAAGTTATCTGTGATACTAGATGCTATCTTTGCACTCAGGCCAGGACCCATGATGAAGCCCCCCGAGGCCCCAGAAGAGGCTCAGCCCCTACCTCCAGCTCCAATTTACCTGGATGAATGGCTCCTTTGCATTACCGTGGCCCAAATACCAAAGGAGGTTTTCAGGAGGCAAACTATGTAGGGAATTGAAAGCACCACCCAATTCATATCAGCCCACTCAGTTTTGGATCACACCCTTGGCAAGGCAAGACAAGGCAAGGCGGACTTACAAGGCAATGGGAATGCACTGATGCAGTATCTTGCTGTAGGATAATTAGGTGGAGTATATTTTACAGGAAGACACCAGCTCCCACGTAGCAGCAGGGTTGTTTTTATGATAGCAGCTATTGAGTTGCAGTAACTCCTTCCTGACTTTCCTCATGGGCTTCCGTGATCTCCCTTTGGACTGTGTTTGTGGCCCAGTTCTCTTGCCAGCATTTCTCTCCTGCTACTCAAGTGACCTCCTTCTCAACTGTGGCTTTGAGAGACTCACCCTCTTGGCTCTGTACATCTAGGACAGCGTGGAAACAACCTTAGCTGCACTTCCATCATTGTGCCCCCCTGATCTCGGACAGTGCTTCTGCCCACTCAGCGGTTTCTGTGTCTGGACTTTCCTTTTCCCTGATTTTTATCTCTGTCCAACCCTTTACTGTATGGTCCAAAAATAAATAAACAACTGAAAATTTATGGACCACAAAAGGAATATCTGCTGGAGAGATCATTTAAATTAAGCCAAATACCCTGTTAACTAGTTTCAAAAATATACTGTTTTTTTTTCTTGCTTAAGTCACTTTTAGGGAAGACTAAAGTTATAATGACTTTCAGCTTTTATCTTTGGCATTTAAAAATCTTAGTTTCCTTTAAAGCAAAATTATTTAATTGAATTCTCATAATTGAGAATTTTACTTTATTTGGATTCCATTTGATCCATTCTATCAAAACGATCTGCCCAAATTTCGACTGACATCACTGCCCAGATTGTTCCTCTTTGCCTTTTCTTTGTACATCATCCCGATGTCAAGTTGACCACAAATTCCTGCCCATGGTCTCTGACCTCTTTCCCCCAGCTCCATGAAACCAAGTCCTCTTTCACAATGACCACTGAAACTGGTGTCTTCTTGACTCTCTCTATTGCAATCTACTCTTTTAATAGCAGAATTATCCTTCTCAAACAAAATGCAATCTATCACTTTTCCAATTAATTTTGGCTGCACCTGTTCTTCCTCTAGCTCAAAAGTAAAGTCTAGATGTATTGGCATACATTTGGAAAACGTTCAAAGTCTTTTACCCACCACCCCATTTGGACACATCCTTGGCAATCTCTTCCATAAAACTTACACTTCAACCACATCAAATGTTTTAGTCCATTTATGTTTCAATAAAGAAATACATGAGCCTGGGTAATTTACAAAGGAAAGAGGTTTATTTGGCTCACAGTTCTGCAGGCTGTACAAGAAGCATACCAGCATCTGCCTCTGGTGAGGATCTCAGGAAACCTACAATGATGGTGGAAGGCGAAGGGAAGCTGATGTGTGCAGAGAGAATGCAAGAGAGAGGGGTGAGGTGCCAGGCTCTTTTTAACAACCATCACTTCCAAGAACTGACATTGTGAGAATTCACTCATTAAGGCCAGGGTGGGACCAAGTCATTCATGAAGAATCCACCCTCATGACCCAAACACCTCCCACTAGGCCCCACCTCCAACACTGGGGATCAAATTTTAGCATGAGGTTTGGAGCGGTCCAATGTGCAAACCATTGCACTAATCTTCTCCCCTTACCCAAATATCAAAATATGTCAAATTCAAGACCATGCATGGTGGCTCACACCTATAATCCCAGCACTTTGGGAGGCCAAGACAGGCAGATTGCTCAGGAGTTCAAGACTAACCTGAGCAACATGGAGAAACCCTATCTCTGTCAAACAAACAAACAAGCAAACAAAATATGTCAAATTCAAATAAATTTCCATGTCTTTGGTCAAACTATTTCTTTTTTTAGAATGTTAAGACCCAAATTCAGAAGTCCTATCTTCTCTGAAGCTTTTACTAGCTACCTTTTGCAGGTATCTCTCATGTTTCTAAAGCATTTTATCCACACAGGCCAGAGCATTCATCACACAGTGCTGTAATCATTGCATTACAGAAGTCTTGTCATCCCATGACTGTAAGAATCTTCATAATGGTTAGCGATCTTCACAGTGTAGCACAGAATGCACTATATTGCAGGGGCTGGATAAACACGTGGTGGTTGTCTTTTTACTAACTTTGATATATTCAATTATATATGGGCCTCATTTCTTCCAAGCAATATAACAAGTTTTATGGAACAGCCTATCAGTGCTATTTGTCTTAAACAAGCCTGAGCCATGTCATCCTAAATTTTATTAACCCCTGTGCATAATGCAGGACTTAACATTTACTAGTGGTTAAGTATCGTTTTTCCAAAAAAGGGAATGAACGAGTTTTTGTCATAATTTTCTAAATTAAAAATTATGTTTAAAAATAACACTATAAAAAACAAATTTCTCCATTAAATATGTGCTTCTAAAACAACATTGAGAATATATTTCTACTTCCAAGAAATTGTAGGTAAATTCATGAATGTTTTTACAGGTAAATGTTAAAGCAAACAGTTACCTTTTCAATGTTTTACTTTTCTCTACCCACAGTGTAAGCTAATAAAACTTATTTCCAAGTGAATTTTTCTGAAATTTGTATGCAGAAATTGCTTCTTATTTTTTGAAACATAATCAATTATGTTAAAGCCTGGCCAACATGGCGAAACCCTGTCTTTATTAAAAATACGAAAGTTAGCCAGGCATGGTGGCAGGTGCCTGTAATCCTAACTATTCTGGAGGCTGAGGCAGGAGAATCAAGGAGAATCGCTTGAACCAGGGAGGTGGAGGTTGCAGTGAGCCGAGATCATACCACTGCACTCCAGCCTGGGTGACAGCATGAGAATTTGTCTCAAAAAATATATATATATATATAATTTTAGTTATCTACTGTGAAACCATAACGGTAGAAAATATTGTATGATTGTTGTATCTAAAATACATTTTTAAGTAGTACCTGGACATAAAATAGTCCTAAAGGTTAACATGTTTATAGCCTGCAAAATAATCTGGAAAAAATTAAGGATGCAAAAATACTAAGGTTATATAATAGTTCAACTTTACTAGGAAATTTTAATTCTGGCAACAGCACAAATTGTTAATTTTGTAATCTCAATGTATATCTGGGAGTGGATGATGGATTACTGAAATATGGACTTCAGTAAATTCCATCAAATATTTATTAAAAATTACTTGATTATAGCATCATCTGTTTATCACTTTGAAGCCTGGGTACACAGTTCCTTGTTTATATTTCATTTGAGACAATATTCCTTTAAAAATTACTTCAATTCCACTGGTCTTTACCGTAGCCCACCTACAGACATTGCAACAAAGCCAGCTTGGCAAGCAAACTCCATTAGGAAGAAAAACATTCTTCTTGACATTTATGGGTTTATTTTTTAAGGAGAAATTAGAAAAGTTTCCAAATATGTAGAAATCCATTAAAAGAAATGGAGTGCTGGTGGCAGGAGTCGCTTTTATAGTATTGCCCTGTCGTTGCTTCACTGCTCTCACCACGTAAACCTTATTTCCAATTAGACAGAGCACCACAAGAATCAGAGAACACATAAACATCCTAAACACATACTGAATATGCCACTTCATATTTGCCACCAGCCTGTTACAATATATCTATCAACTACTCCAAGGAAGTAAGCCATGCTGCACTGCAGAGACGTCGAATAATGTCTCACTCAAACATCAAGTGCTTTAAAAACATTGCACATCCCTAATGCGGTAGATAAACATTTTATCTTTCTGCTTTTGATGGCATATAATTTTCAGCCTTTGATCTAATATAATTTAAGGTGTGTCAAGATGGATTTTGGCAGAGCAGGCTAGTAAAAAGAAAGGTTTAGCACTTCGGTTCCTGGAGATGCACATCCCAGACAAGGACTTTGGCAAGAGTGAGGACTGTACAGCCAGTTTGACTACAGGAAATAAAAGAGGTGCTATTTAAGGGAAAGAACTTGGGTTAGAATGGAATTGCTGCTGTAAAAGATGTTCAACTCACATTGCCATATGGGTTTTTTTGGAACCATGCCCATGTATATTAGCTATTTTCTTGGCACTGGGAACTGCATTTGGCTCTGCGACATGCTTTTGCTGCTTTGAAGTTTTCTGAAGGTAATGTCATGTGGCTACACCTTCACAGTAAAAATCATTGATGATTTTAATAATAGGATCTGGCTTAAAAATATCAAACATTTAATCTTTTATCCTAGAGTCTGCATCTATATATACAATTTAATACAGTTAAATATTGTAATTTGAGATCGATGTCTTCCACTAACTTACATGGACAGTGAGAGAAAAGACATGTCTTTTTAGTTTGGGAATTTACATAAAATAAATATAATATTTATCAAATTTCTGTAAATTTGAGAAATATTTCCATATTATAAATTGCTTCTACACAACTATGTAAAAATAATTCTTAAGTGAATTCAGTATCATACTGCAATTGGTATTAAAGGTTTACATTCAAAGGCAATACACATTCACTCTACCTTTATTCACTTATTCATTCACAAAAATATTACTGAGCCTATAGGCATGTACCAGTCACTTGATTTGTTTTGGGGGATTTTCTTACTTGTTTTGGGCCATTCTAATGAAAAAGCATAAATTGGGTGGCTGATAAACAACAGAAATTTATTGCTTACAGCTCTGGAGGCTGGGAATTCCAAGATCAAGGTGCTGGTAGATTTGTTGTCTCTTAGCGGCCAATTTGTAAGCTCGCACAGTGGAAGGAGAGAACTCTGGTCTCTGCTGTTTAGGCCGTAGCAAAGATTCATAATCAAATTTTAATGAAACAATTAGATCCAACTCTTCTTTGCTGGATTTTGTTAGTGCCACAGCTTTTGGTATGTATGGGCCGCTATAATGGAATACCAGAGACTGGTTGGCTTATAAACAGATATACATTCAAGATTCTGGAAGTTACGAGGCCCAAGATCAAGGTGCAGGGTCACTTGGTGTCTGGAGAGGAGAGGGATCACTTCCTGGTTCATAGATGGCCTTCCTCTTGCTGGGCCTTCACATGGTGGAAGGACGCAGCAAGGGAGTGTTCTGGGGTCTCCTATATGAGGGCACTCACCTCATTCATGAGGACTCTGCCCTCATGACCTAATCATCTACCCAGGACCCCATAGGTTGAAAAACACGTATGAATGTTGGAGTGAACATGAATATTCATTTGATGGCAATACAACTTATATAGTACCAAATGTATAGAACTGTTTAAAAAATATGTGGAGGTATTAAACAGTAAAAATAAAAGGATGGATTTTGTAGAGAGATTTGGATTTACATTCTCAATCGGTATTTGGATGGTATGAAAAAGGTCATTTAAGTCCCCAGAACTTTAACACAATCACCCCTAAAATGAAGACACTTCACAACACTATTCCTTAATCTGTGCTGTTGATAACTGTGGAGATATTTGTATTTTAGTTGTTTTTAATTAAAAACTAAAATCAAACCAACCTTAAAAAATATATGTAATTCATGAATAATAGTACATGCGAAACAAGATTTAAAAGGTACAAGGGGTAGAAAAAGTATGAATCCCCCCAACCTTGGCTGCTTTTCTTCAGCACCTCATTTCTCTCCACAACGACAATTATTTTCTTGAGTATCTCTCCAGAGATTACCACAAAATCTATACATGTGTCGGCACATACACATACATTTTCTGTATGCAAATGGCTATGCACTTGCAAAAATTACATCTGGAATACAACTCCACGTGGATTTTTAAGAATTGCCTTTTCCTTTCTAATGGATGCCCAACATTTCAATGAACTGCTATCTCATAATTATTATCGAAATGCCTACTTATTGACCTGGATGCTATTTCTATGCTTTTAGCAATACAAATAAGGCTGCAGTAAGTATTCTTGCTCCTATTTAATTTCTAATGTGATTGTTGGATTATTAGACAATATAATTGTGAAAGAAATTCAAGCATTAGATTCAGTTATTATGTTTCAGCTTGTGAAGTTATTTCATTCTCTTTCATCTTACGTTGCTGTTGATGAGAAATCAATTACTGATTTAAATATTTCTCCTATCATGCTAATTTCTTATGTTCTCTTTCTTTTCAAGGTTACATTAAAAATTTTCAGTTGATTTTGGTGTTTTGCAGTTTTACAATCACCAACATTTCTTTGTATTTATACTACTGAAAAATTGTTCCAATCATTGAATCTGAGTGCAGGTGTCTTTCCTCAGCTCTGGAATATTCTCAGGCACTATTTCTTCAAACATTATTTCAACCCATCCTTTTTTCTTTTTTTTCAAGGACTCTGATTCAATATAAAGCCTAACCATTCATTCTGTCCTCCTTGTCTCTTAATTCCTCTGTTTTATTCTGTATAATTTCTTTGAGTTTCTTCTAACTCGCTCATTCTATCTTCATCTCCTTCTAATGTACTGTTAATTTCACCCATAGGCTTTATGGTTTCAGGTTTTTAGATTTTATTTATAGAAGTTTCCTTTGATCTGTTTTAAATATTTTAGATAACCTAATACATAGTCCCTTGTTTGAGTTTATATACTTACCATTTTCCCTAAAAACATAGTATTTTTGTAGACTGTGTCTACAAATTTCAATATCTGTAAACTTAATGGGTTATTTCTGTTTATTCCCATTCACAGATAAATCACTGCCTATGCTTGGTGAACCTGTAGTATATGCTGCCCATCATGTTTGAAAACTGATTTGAATAAGCTGAAGCCTATGATGAAATTGCCTTATTCCAGAGATTGATTGACTTGTCTCTGTCACACTCAGGTTAGTGATATTACCAACCTGAGACCCTTAAGCAAAATTCATGGTTTGAGGGTAGCTGAACGTCCCAAGGCAATGTGTATCTTGTGTTGCAAATCCCTGGTTTGCTTTTGATTCAAACATACCTGAAAGGAGATCCTGAATTTCTGCTTAATTTGGGTATAATCTTCTATTATATTCTCCAACTTTTGAGGGCTTCTAGCTTTAATTTCTATCCTCCTGATCTGACAAGTCACTCTATATAAAAATTCAATTTATTCTGAGTTGGAGACTAACCCCATGGCAAGACCAGTTTCTTTGTTCAGTTTTGGCTCAGCAATTCCTTCCTATCTTTCTACCTAAATTCATCTACTCCTTCTCTGTCATAATTCAAAAAATTAAAAACATATAAATAAATAATAACTGATTTACAAGCAATGTGTAGGGGGAAGAGGAATAGAAGTTGTCTGTATTACTAATGTCTGCACTCCAAGGAAGCCAGCTCAGAAAGCCCCGCCGTTACATATGTTAAAAACAGAAAGAGAATATAGAGCACTAAAATGGTGGATTTGATGGGGCAAGGAAAGCATACCAAATTCTATGCGAATATTTTCTTGGTCTGTGTTATAAAATTGTATAGTTTTACTGTGGACTTGGATAACTTTCTTATTTTTTATTATAATTTTCCATTTTCTGTTTGACCATTCCCATACCTCTGAACATTTACTGTAATTAGGAGAGAAAGTAAGAATATGTTTCTGTAATGAACATATTCCCTTTACCATCCCTTACATAGCTGAACCAAATAAATGCACAAGCCAAGAATGTCCTCCATTATATGATAAACACCATAGAAACGGGAGCATGTTTATTTTCTCCACTACCCTATCCTTCACGGGTGTCTGGCACCATGTAGATAATCCCAGTAGATATTTTTTTAAGTAAACTTGAGAGAGAAAGTAGGGAATGTGGACAATTAATATCTGTTCAAGAATAGAAAATTGAATACCAGCAGCAGGATAGAAAAGTTTTGTGTTGACTTTATTTCCAGATCCTGTTACAAAATCTTGAATGCATATTTTATCTATATGTATGTTCTTAAATAGAATTCTTAGAGAATGATAGTTTTTAAAATCCCTGGCAATTTATTGGCTATAATAAAATGATGATAATCACCATGTCATTTTGGAATCTGTGTTTTTTATAAGAGGCCTTATGCATGATACGTTATATTTTCCTATTTCTTTTTCACTTGAACATTCTGCTGTGGGATTTATCATTTCTACATCATAGATGAGGAGTCAGGAACACAGCACATGCTCTATAGTATCCAGCTATAAGCCAGGATCTGACCTCAGGATTTGTGTCTAAATTGCAACTCAGATTCAAATGAGAGAAATAGTTAGGCATTACAATAAAAATCTTTGTTTAAGAAAATATCACACCGCCAAATATATACATTTTTTTTTTTTTTTGCTCTTTCTAGGCCTTGCTGGTATGGTTGGAGCAGACTACCACAAGGAAAAACATGGGTGGACAGTTTGGTTTGCTCAGTAATTTATCAATCTGTTTATATGTTAAAGGTTTTTGTTATTAATTTACACATTCCTTTAGAAATAAAAAAAGAAGGAAAGAAAGAAAGAAAAAGAAAGAAAGAGAAAGAAAGGAAGGAAGGAAGGAGGGAAGAAAGGAAAGAAAGAAAGGAAATAACTCTTCTAACCTGGGATATCATCAAATGTCAGTCATGAATTTGCAAGCCCCAAGTAATGCCTTAATGTAGCATCATTAACTACTTATCCTAGATTATTATGCTGAGGACATTTGCATTTTTTTCATTTTGGAAAAAAATATTTTGAGTACGGACAGTCAAGAATTTATCTCAGATTTATGTTATTTTCCCAAAAAAGGTAATTTCCACTACGTTTCAAAATCAACTCTTAGAGCTCCTCAGTGACTGTGAAAATGGGTGTGTGTCTGTGTACTGAGTGGCACTGGCCATGTGTGCTAGTTAAGATAGCTGTCAGAACTTTAACTCCTGGGCTGTTTTGCTTCCCTATGTTTAAATTGGCAACTTTAGTGTTGCTTTACTACACTTTTGCATCTAATTGCCTAAAATTTTATATTAAGCAAAAAGTAATTTCTTTGGAAATATATGCATTCAAAAATATAGAGAGAATGATATAATGAAGAAAGAATTTGCAAAGGGCAAAAAGCAACTTCAGCAGTTAATGTTTAGCTTTTTTGAATTTTATTTCCCACTAAAATGACTTTCCCCTTATGACTAATTATAATTCCAGTTAAAAAAATGTATTACTGAAGGGAATTTTGCATATTTTAGCCTAATCTTTTAAAATAATCTGATGACTATTCTCATTCAAAAAGTTTGAAAAAAATCTTTAAATTTAATGTAATAAAATTAGAAAGAAATGTAGGTTTTTAGAAGAGTTTAGACTAGAATTCTCTGATGATTCATTCAAAACAATAATTCTGTTTTAATTGGTTTCTCAGAATTCCCAGTGATGTATTCGTTTCAAGGGAAGCCGCGTGAGTTCTTTTTGTTTACTAGTGTACCACTTAGTTTATTAAGAAGTTTTCAGGTGACCTAAAAGAGCTAATGCAGCTACCAAAGTGATTTCCCCAAAACTGGAGAGTAATCAAGAGAGAAGGTATATAGACCTCATTAATCAAAATGGATATGCTCTTACTTAAACATACTTAAGTCCGTAAGAAATACTGAGCCCCTCTAATACAATCAATATTATGCTAATATACTGAACATGAACTACATTGGAAAATTTACAAAGTTAAATTAGTGCCGATATCGAGATTTTTTTCCAAATTGTTTTTTTTCTTAAGTATTTTTAAATAACATTTTTTTTTGGTTCACTTGTTTTTATTCTGTGTCTGCATAACAAAACATACAAATCACCATGAGGAATATTCAAAATTATTTCAATTTTATATGAAATCATCAAGGCTTGACACTGCTTTTTTACAGCTGCTTAATACAGATGACAGTTCTAAAGTGTTTATTTCATAATATTTCATAATACAGGCTTGAGTTTAATTTGATGACTGCAGTAATCAGGGTTAATAAATTAAATTTAAAGCAAAACGCTCTACTAAGATTTCAAAACTTTGGCTGCAAGTAAAGAAAGTTAGTATCCACTGCCCTGGATCTTTTTGATAGGCAATCCAGCTGTATTTCTTTTATATGACCATAGATTTAGCAAAGACTTTGGGGGTTATTTTGTCTGCGTTCCCACTCAATATAGGAATCTTTACAATTATATCTGTGATCCATGGCCACTGGCTCATTCCTTATTTCCAGTGATGAGAAAGTTAACTTTTCTTTTTTAAACACATGGTTCATTATTAGACAGCTCTATTTTTATGATTCCTTTTTTATTATTTCACCAAAATAAAAGTCATTATCACTCTTCTAATGATATATTGTGCCTATACATTGTCAACAAGCAAACTCTAGCTCAGTTATTTCTACTGATGTGAGAGAACTTTTAAATCGCCCTTATTCAAATACATACAGAGTTAAGAAAATAGGATAAAATACATTATTCTCTATGGATACACGAAGTCAGTCTTGAGAATTTAAAATACCACATTCTCACTTCTACCAACCTAATAAGGCACAAGTCAACAATTTTGAGGGACAGCTCATCTGTTTTGTTGCGAGGAATTTGATTATCCATGGAGTGCAGGAAACTAACAGAAGTTGTAAGGAATCTAGACTTGATCATTGACTTTTTTTTTTTTTTTTTACTGCAATGGGAGAAAAAGCAATTTTCCCTCCCAACATGGAGACTGTGCTGGGAATATGAGCACAGAACTCTATCAAGCTCAGTTCAGTTCAGAATTTTACTTTAGCCAGCTCGCCTCCAAGAATGTGGCTGGTAAGCACCTATGGAAAAACTACAGAGACCCTCTAAAGACATGAAGGAATTGATTTCAAGGCCATCGTCCAGGACTTTTGTCAGGTAGTTTTCTCCATCTAGTTGTTTCTGGTGCAAGAGTTTTGAGTCTGAGTTCCTGGGAGACAGAATCAGGGGTCGATGGCATCTCAGCATTTGAAAGGAGCTTAACGAGGTAGAACCGGGCACCCGACACCCTCTTCTCACACCTTAAATAGAAAAGCTCCCTCTTCATATTTTTATTTATATGTTAGGCTTCCAAGCAAAAATGTGTTTCAGAAGAATGCTGCTCCATTACACACTTGAAACAGCTCCTGCATTTTCCTAGGAAGACTTTCTCTCTTCCAGATAGGGGAATCTTCTGCTACCACTTAAGTTCAAGGAACCCGAGTCAGAAACTGCATATAATTTCTTTTTTTTATTGTTGGTTTAATTGTCCAAATATATTCAAAGGAACAAATGGCATGGCTCACTTTCCATTATGTATACTTGTATTAGGCTGTTGTTGCATTGCTACCAAGCAGTACCTAAGACTGAGTAGTTTATAAAGGAAAGAGGTTTAATTGGCTCACAGTTCTGCAGACTGTACAAGCATGGCACCAGCATCTGCTCAGCTTCTCGGGAAGCTTCAGGGAGCTTTTGCTCATGGCAGAAGGCGAAAGGGGAGCAGGCACGTCATACAGCCAGAGCAGGAGCAAGAGAGAGTGGGGAAGGACAGCACCAAGCCATGAGGGATCCATCCCAATGACCCGAACACCTCTCAGCAGACTCCATCTCCAACACTGGGGATCACATCTCAACATGAGATTTGGAGGGAACAGCCAAATCATATCAATATTAATAATTAATTTTCACTTTATTACAGTTTTGATAGAATGTTATACAGAGATTTTCCTTTCATGTAAACATACTTTATAGATTCTCCTTTCCTCTTAGCAAAACTGCAAATGGTTAAGAAACCATATTTTAAAAGTAGAAAATCCAGAATCGTTTTTATAAGCAAGACACCTGGAGGCTTAGAATTTAAAATTAAGAAAATAGTAGAAGCCAACAAACAAAAAAACAAAGAGGTACCACGTACAAAAACTTCCCTATTGGAAGACCAGGACAAAGACAATAAAGATACATTTATGTTAAAATATTTGGCTTCAGATTAAATATGGAGTGAATATTCAGGGTGGTAGAAAATTCAGTTTTATCTGAACCCATTCTTTTATCCTTAGCCATTGCTTTCTATTGTTTAAAGACGACGTTATGCAGGATAGACTGACTGGGGAGACAGAGCAGACCCGGCATGAGAATTTCTTCCATGCAAGCCTGCATTCTTGTCATGTTTCTGTGGGTGCTTTTCAGAATACAGTGGAAACAAAAACAGCAAAGTGACTCACTCCATGATAAATGAATGTACCCAAAAACATGAACCTGTAATACCAGCCAGAATGACGGACTCAGGCTTGTCAAGAAAAACATGAAAGAAAATAGGAAAGGGTTTCTTACGATGCCAACTTAATCAAAAGCTTCAAACATGATAATAAAAGCATTTGATGAAAAAAAAAAAGACGATAGCTGTTTTCCTGACTGGAATGAGATAAAGTTTGGAGGAAATCTGGATTCTGCAATTAAAGGGTGTAGCCATTTAGTTATGTTTGTGCAGCAAAATCAGGTCTTTTTAGTGAATTATAATGCTGGTACTTACCTCTCTGTTTACATAGCACTTGTAAAATAAATAGAATTACTATTTTTAAGAATATATCATTTGAGCTCAACTAGAATTGGCTCCGGGGAATATGCAACCATTCATCTCTAAAGTTGCTTAGTTGCATGCACTCCTGGATTTAAAGGAACTATTCCTCTGTACATTGATCTCCTGTTGGGAGAGGAGAGAATCAGTTGAAGACAAAGGAATTTAGTGCACCTCGAGAGATACGACTGTAATGAAGGTAACTGATGAAGCATTTCTCGTCCTTGCTTCTCAATTTGAGGAATTGGTTTGAGCATGAATTGGGAGAAAAGCTAAATTAGAAGTTGAAGTCACTGTTTTCATGGTAGATTTTTGCAAGTCTGTTAAATAAACAGTGCTACCTTAAGGCACAGGTGTGGGAGAGAAGGGTTTTCCCATTTTCTGTATGGGATCAGGTATTGCTTGCCATTCATTATCTACTCATTGGCTTTGGGACCCTGGGAGCCAGCGGCACTTTTAACTAAAACAGGACTGTTCCTATGAAACCTCAAAGAAACAATGGAAAGACAGAAAGTAAGAGCAGCCAATAGGAGACACTATCCAAGAAACTGCCAGCACAAATAGAAAATCTGCAGGGGCACTGGAGCCCTCTAGACACATTCTGGTTGGTCATGTAAATAGAATTCTATGGTTTTAACAAATGTCAGTACCTTTCTGTGTAGACGTTCTGTGATAGCTAATTTTATCTGTAGCACCCAGAAATGTGGTTAAACCTCAGACTAAGTGTTTCTGCGAAGGTATTTTTCAGATGAGATCCACATCGAAATCAGTAGACTCATTAAAGCAGGTTGTCCTTTATAATGTGCGTGACTTATCTAATCAGTTGAAAGCCTTAAGAGAAAAAGACTGAGGTTCCCTGAGGAAGAAGGAATTCTGCCTCCAGACTGCCTTTGGACTGGAAGCGCAGTGTTAAAACCTCCCTTGTCTTCAGACCTGCCTGCCTGTCCTGAATATTTCAGATTTGCCAGCCCCATGATCACATGACCCAGTTCCTTAAATTAAATGTCTCTCATTCATATGTGTGTGTGTGTGTGTGTGTGTGTACATATGTATACATACACATCCTATTGGTTCTTTTTCCTCTGAAAAACCTTGCCTAATAGAAGTACTATGCATCAGACTCCCGACACGCTTCATCTCTAGCTTTTAACAGCCTGTCAAAATATCTATTATGTACCACCACTCTCTCTTTATGGACAAGTAAATTGATGTTCAGAGAAACTAAGCAACTTGACCAAGTCACTGGAAGTCACTGGTCTAATAAATGCTGGAGTGGAATTCAAGCTGTAGGTTTTTCACTCCAGGATCTGTGCTTTCCCTATGTGCTACGTTTAACAAATATTTTACAGAACAAGTGTTTGTATCTCTGCAAAAGTCCCTAAAATGCGTATCTTTATTTTCACATAGGCTATAAATATCCTTTATTAGATTATTCTGCGTAAATTATTGTTATTCATTCCAGAAATTTACCAAAAGATGCCAAAATATTAAGCAAAAGCAAGTTAACAATATAATCCAATAAGGAGATGATATTTTTCTTCTATATTAGCAACTGTATATGGGAAAATTCTGCTATGAGAATCTAATCAAAAGCTGCTAACAGACTGCAGAATGGGTACAATTACCTTCATAGTTTGTTAGTTAAAATTATATTTTGAACCTTTGTAGAATGAAACGTCTATGGAAACAAGCAATATTCACAGAAAAAAATTAGCTTTTTAAACATATTATGTACTATCTCAAATTATCTGAATCTCTGTGAAAGTCTCTGATGTTAAAACTTTATTTAAATTCCATGAATTAAAATATATTATAATCAATGCAAGTGACATGGTCACCTGCAGCCAGGAGAAATCTATGTATATTGGCCTGCAGCCCATATTAGAAAATTGTATATTATATAAATATATATAATTTTATTTACATAATATATATTATATGCACATATTCTATTTCATGAGTGGAGGTAAAAACACAAATGTATGTGTGTGTGTGTGTATTTCCTATTTCATGAGTGGAGGTATAAACATGGTTGCATATGTATGTGTGTGTGTGTATTTCCTATATCATTAGTGGAGGTATAAACACAAATGGGTGTGTGTGTGTATTTCCTATTTCATGAGTGGAGGTAAAAACACAAATGTATGTGTGTATGTGTGTGTGTATATTTCCTATTTCATGAGTGGAGATATAAACACGAATGCGTATGTGTGTATGTGTGTGTGTGTATGTATTTCCTACTTCATAAGTGGATGTATAAACACGAATGCGTATGTGTGTATGTGTGTGTCTATATTTCCTATTTCATCAGTGGAGGTATAACACAAATGCATATGTGTGTATGTGTGTGTGTGTGTGTATTTCCTATTTCATGAGTGGAGGTATAAACACGAATGCATATGTGTGTATGTGTGTGGATATTTCCTATTTCATGAGTGGAGGTATAAATACGAATGCGTATGTGTGTATGTGTGTGTGTTTGTATTTCCTATTTCATGAGTGGAGGTATAAACACGAATGCCTATGTGTGTATGTGTGTGGATATTTCCTATTTCATGAGTGGAGGTATAAACACGAATGCATATGTGTGTATGTGTGTGTATATTTCCTATTTCATGAGTGGAGGTATAAACACAAGTTTAGTCAGCACTTTACAGCTAACGAAGTCCCTTGATGGAGGCAGGTTCTCAGGAAAGTTTGACTGAGTGGCTGAATGATACATTTCTGTGGACAGCACTTCTTAGTTGGAATAGAAAATGAAAACCCAAGGCACAGTGGATTTTACTCCTTCCTACCTTTAACAAAAATTGCTTTGAAAGGAAACAGATAAGTGTATAAATTTAAGACTTTAATGAGTTTATGTAATATACTCTTTATTTTTATCAAAATGTGATGTTTATATAAGAAATCACAGTAATTATAAAACATGTCCTACTTTAAATTTTTCAAGATGCTTAAAATATTTAAAATACCTTAAATACATAACTTAGAATCATGAAAAAAAAATATATATATATATAAAGAGAAAGGTAATTTTCAAAGAATGCCAGTTAAAAAATAAGAAGAATATGACAAAATTAGAAATATCATCTTTTTTTCAATACATAATAATAACTGTTTTTACCAAGGACCAATTATTAGATGATAAAAACTACTGGATGAAAATTTTTAGGAAGAAGGATGCTCACATTGCCACAAGGCCACAATTCTTCACTTATCATGTATCATATACATATATATATTTACCGTATAAATATAATGTTGTGTGATACATATACATATGTATATATTTACTGTATAAATATACGTGTGTCACACACATATATATACACACATATATACACACACACATATATATATGTATACACACTCTTACATCATATATATATACACACACATACCCACCTTCATAATGGAGTCACCTGGCAGTCACCATCATAACCAAGTCATTAAACCAGCATCATCAGTAATGGAGCAACATAAAATTATGTGCCTCCTGTTCAAATGCTTTAAGTGCACAATATCACCTACATAGTATTCTTGCTATGTTTTACTTGCTGCTTAACAGAAGAAATGTTTTACTTGCTGCTAAACAGAAGGAAACAATGAGACAAATTCAGAATGCAGAACATTCTAATGATAACTCCTCTGGATTCTTCAGAAATTCAGTTACGGAAACCAAAATAAACCAAGTCACCACACAGATAAACATTCTCTTTCCATGAAAGAGAATATAGAGATCAGAAACAAAACAAAGCAAAGCAAACTACGGTGAAACCACAAATTACAGTATAAGTAAATCTATGTATTGGATAATATTAACTTATTACTGATTTTCTTATACATGATCTATATTGTCATGATTTCTAGAGTAAACATAGAAAAGGATAGAAAAGGTAACACATCTGTGTGTGTATGTGTAATATACAGACACAAAGACAGACACAGAGATGTAGCCAGGTAGATAGATGGATAGATATAGAGATAATGAGGGAGAAAAAAGCAAATGTGGCAAAATTTGTAACTGGTGAATTTAATTGAAAGGTATTTACTAGTATTTATTATACTTTTGTTTCTATAAATTTGAAACTTTTCTGTAGATTGGAATTTTTTCAAAATTGAAATTTTGGCTGTGGTATACAGCTTTTCCCCTTTCCCTTCTATAAATAAAGAATCTGAAAGCAATGAAAACAAAGAGGCGAGGTAACCAAACTGAAAGACAGAAGGAAGAAAATCTACTGAGAACCTTCGATGTGTTTGGTGACTTCACATACATTTTAGGAAAGAACTGGTTGAGGGCTGTGCAAAGTATTCCCCCAAAAGTTCTCTGCATTTGTGGATGGTAAAGCTAGCACACGCTGTTTGTGAAATCTGGTCAGGAGTTAGAGCAGAACAGCAGAAAGCAGTGCCTTGCAGTGCCCCATCCACCCACCATCTGACCACTGGACCAAGTAGTGAAGGGGTGGAAGTTATTGGGCGCACTGGAGTTGGCAGCTCTTAGAGAGCATGAAGCCAAGTCATTGGTTCAGTTGTTATCACAGCAGCATATCCTGTCCCTGCTGTCCTCAGTGAGGTATGAATGCCTGTGTCTGAATGGTCATAAAGGGTATCATAGAGAACTGAGAGGGCAGAATATTAATAACCATTCCTGTATCTGGGAAAAGATGACTCGATTGAATTGCACATCTACTGAGAAAGTTCATCATTTTAGATAAGCAAAAGCTACTGAAGAGAAAAAGGACTGTAACCATGACAAGCAGCAAAGAATCCCTTTAGATTTTGGTAGCCCTCCAATTCAGAGCCATCTATCAACACAGCCTTCAAAATAAAGAATATACTCATGCTCGTAAAAAGCTAGAATCAAAATATCAGAGACCACATGGAAGGGATGTTATTACTCAGAAGTACGTTGGCATTTCAATTGATGTAGAGAATGGCTTACATTGTTATCAATTTAATGAGAAAATTTACAACTTTAATGGTCACTTTGGGTCAGATCCAAACACTCAAGACTTCTTTGTAGTTTAGTTTAGCGTTTTTTGTTGCTTTGTTTTGTTTTCACTATTTGTGTTGTGATTTATACAAGTTGATTCACAAAGGTTATTTAATACTAATGGAAGTTGTCTACTATTACTGAAAATTCATTAAGTATTTATCAGCTTAGGGCTCTTAAAACTTAGAGAAAAATCAAAGAAAAACTTAAAAGTTTCTCAAGAAAATGCTACACATACCCACCTTTATAATGGAATCACCTCTCTGAAATGACTGACCCTTTTTCTGTTTATTTCTCAGATCTTGTATCAGAATGTCATAGATATATTGTGATCAGCAATGCCATAGCACTGAAAGTAGAAGGCTTTTTGCACTGCCTCTCAAACGTCAAGCCAAGAGACTGTTTCCTGACTTAATGTAATACTCAAAAAAAAAAGCATTGAAAATACCATATATTTCAGACTTACAGAATTGAAAGAGATTAGATTACACCATATGGTAACCGACCCAGTTTCTTCAGTGACCTCAGACACCTACCTGAATTTCCTAGAAGTACCAGTTAAATGGGATCATTTTTTTATTTTACTTTATTTAGTTGTGTTATATCACTGGAAATCATTAATAACTGACAATATTGACAATTTTTCTACATTGTGTTTTAGAACTCTTGTCCAACTCTGAGATTATGGTCCATGGAAGTGCTTCCTTAAAATAATTCATTCTAAAAAATAGCAATCTATACTATGATAATTTTTTTTAGTCAGATACCACAGTCAGGTAACAATGAACTCATAAATGACAACATTCCATTTTAGGCTAGAGATAATATATATTTTTTGTACTGGCCAGATTTAGCTACCAAAATCTTTAATGTCATTCTAAGTATCTATAAATACATATATGCATAAAGTAAGATTGATTGTAGATGAATTTAACTATTAAACAAACCTGACCTACAAATGCCTAAGTAGATCTAAAAACTCACATAAAGTAATGAAACATAGATGAGTAATGTAAAAGTAAAAATGTAAAAGTAGCCAGCATAACGCTCTGCATGATCGTGCTTCTTTTATTACCTTTTAATTAATTTTGTGTGTGTGTGTGTGTGTGTGTGTGTGTGTGATGGAGTTTCACTCTTGTTGCCCAGGCTGGAGTGCAATGGCGTGACCTCAGCTCACTGCAACCTCTGCTTCCCAGGTTCAAGCAATTCTCTTGCCTCAGCCTCCCAAGCAGCTGGGATTACAGGCACCCGCCACCATGCCCTGCTAGTTTTTTGTATTTTTAGTAGAGACTGGGTTTCACTATGTTAGCCAGGCTGGTCTTGAACTTCTGATCTCAGGTGATCCACCCACCTCGGCCTCCCAAAGTGCTGGGATTACAGGTGTGAGCCACCATACCCGGCCCCTTTTAAGAAATTTTAATCAATTTATTCTCCCCATCTGATATTATCATTTCCCCTCACTTCTCTCAATCAACTAAACAACCAACCGAACAAAAACAAACAAAAACCACAATGTCCATGAATTCCAGGGTCAATTCAGTGTATGGGAATCAGTCATCCTGTTTATAGAAAGATAGAGTGGAGAAGGTGGAGAGGGTGGTTTTCACCGACTGGGGCAGTGGCTTCTGATGCTGCCACACAATGTTGTGGAATATGGAGTCCACGCATCCTGAAGGACACTTGGTCTTTCCACTTCAGTCCCCAGAGAAGAGTGAAGTCACTCTATGCTTGGGCTCAACAATTAAAATTCTTTGAATTTATATTCAATCATTTACGCATGTTTTCCCGAAGAAAGACTTCATGCAAGAATGGCCAGTGCTTAGGGATTTCCAGAGTAAGCAACACTTTTGGCCAGAAAAAGCCTTTTCTTAGGACGGCCAGAGCTTGTGTTGAAAACTAGTATCAAGCCACCCTTGTTATTAATGTTACCATCCTTGTGAATTCTCCAAATGCTCCTGGAGTGCTACTCTCAGAATAGTTTGTCAAGTGCCACTCTAGTCCATTCCATCACTTTCCCAAGCTTTGTGTTGGGGTCACAATCACTTTCCTCCCTGAGGATCTCTGGGATCCCTGTGTCAATAAGTTATCTACTAACCCGGATACTCAATGAGAAACACCAAAGATCATGTGATCTTCTTCATGTAGGGTAGATATATTGCTACCTAGATTGCTCATGTGATTCTTCCCCCCACTCCACTAATAATAGCAATTTATTCCAAGATGTCTTTCTATGTAAACTTTTTAAGATGTTGGCGCATACATATATATAATATAATATGTAATATATATTTATATATAGAATATGGAGGTTGGCATGAAACTATACATACTTGAATATATATTTATATATATACACACACCTATATTTAATATATATCTTATTTCCATTTCCTCAGATACCCAATTATTTAAAAGTAGAAAAGTAATAAATCAGTGGTAAGGTTAACACCCAACATTACTATCAATGATATTATGCAGCTGCTAGAGGTTGGCTTAAAAAAGGAAGCCTTCATTTCCTAAAAGAGATAGGCAGGATGCAAATGCAGTAACTCGCAACTTTTGTGATGTCTATAAAGAAATGAAACTGTTGTTTAGGTAAAAATCAGCTTTCCTTTAAAAAGACAATATGCTTATATAAAGAGGAAACAATAAGTGATAGAGTGGATGACATCCTCAGGAATAATCTTTCAATGGGTGCAAAAAGAAATTTCATGTGAGATAATCTATAAGGATATACTAAAATGATATATGTGGAAGTTAGCATTTTGGGGCATAAATAGCATGTAATTTGTCATTCATTTCAAAGGACAGATTTTCAAGGTCAGCAGTTCGAGACCAGCCTGTCTAACATGGTGAAACCCCATCTCTACTAAAAATACAAAAATTAGCCTGGCGTGGTGGTGCACGCCTGTAATCCCAGCTACTTGGGAGGCTGAGGCAGAGGAATGGCTTGAATCCAGGAGGCAGAAGTTGCAGTGAGCTGAGATTGCACTCCAACCTGAGTGACAGAGCGCCGAGGCTGCATAAAAACAAACAAACAAACAAACAACAAAAACATAGTAATGAGAAGGACTGGGGATTTTGCCTTTCTGGCAAAACAAAAAATGTATCCTAATATGGATACATGAATTCTAGTAGGAAGCAATGAGAAGACTCCTGGGACAGAGATCAAGAAAAGTTTAGTAACAGCAGTATCCAGAGTATCAACATTTTGTTCCCACATGGCAACACAAAGAGGATCATGTAAAACAATAATTTACAAGGGGCAAAGGAATTTATAGGGGAAGAGGAACCTGAACTTAGGGAACCTGAATGTTCTATAATGGGGAGTAAGTATGTTTGCACACTGTTTCACAGGCAGAAATGATTCTTCATTTCCAAGGATGTTTGCTATATAAACATCCTCAAAAGAGAATCCAGAACAAAAAGGTGGTCAGTGCCTGACTTGCAAGATGTGCAAAAATGTGAGAGACGAATTTTCTCCCAGTGAAGATATGCTGGGAGGATGCAAAATAAGCTAAGAAAATTTTCACTCTAGATAAGAGGAGTCAAAGGAAGATTAGAAGGGATGCCTGGAATGTGTCAGTTTTGGTCTACTGTATATATAGAATTAGCTTAGATAGCTATGTCCTGTACCAGTATATCCACTACAATACTATCATTAAAAGATTAATGCCTCTGCTAATTTATGGTAAACCTTTAGAATTGTCCAGTGTAATATTTAGAAACAGCACTTGTCTTTGCAGTTAAATTAATACAGACCATTGATTCTCACCTAAGTATGATTTGGCAATTTCTAAAGATATTTGAGGATGTCACAACCTGGAGTACTGTTAGCATCTGGTAAGTAGAGGGCAGGATGCCCCAAATCCCACAATGCACAGGACAGCTTCCTAAAACAAATAATTATTCCACTTAAAAGCCAATGATGCCAAGATTAAGAAACCCTAATGTATATATGCCTAAATTCAGTAATTGTATCTAAGTTCAAATAATCTTGGAAAATATTGTTTGAACTACATAATTATTGAGAAAATTTTAACTCAGAGGGTTTGCATTTAAGTGAACAAACAAAAAATATTTTACCCTTCATTTTACTCATCAATCACTTAAAAATCATTTCTAGAAATATTCTGGATATAGTCTGATTGCACTAATTTAAATAAAGGTTAGTCTTCAATTCATAATTATATACCCAGTTAGTAAATACACACTTCAATGGAATGGAAAAAAAAAACAGATTTCATGCTCAATCTTTCGGAGATAGACTCCTAGAACCATCACTTATCAGCTGCAAGACTTTGGGAAATGATACAAGTTATTTGACCCTCCTGTCCTCAGCTTTCAAAGGAAATAATTATAACACAAATGTTAAGACTGGCTGAACAACAACATTATGAGTGTTAATTGAAATAACGGAACAGTAAAGTGCTTTGTAAATTCTAAAGCTACTAATATCAGCTGCTATGTTAAAGGCATGTTTTTCTGTTTCTTTTTCTTTTTCTTCTTTGACATCAAAAAGGCTATAATGATAAATGGCCTCTTCTCCTTCTGTAGGATCATTGATTTTCGAAATCCTCAAGAATGGTAAGAGTGACCTTTTTGTTCTTCTTCAGTGAGTTTTAGTTTACTCTATTTTGAAGGCCAGGTATGTGTCATTGTATAGAAGAATCTGTCAAAAATTAGGATCACGTTTGATGTCACTTCTGAGCAACATGTTTCACGAAAGGTCTGAGAACTGACTTGGCAAGCCTTTCAAAATGGGAAAATTCAGGATTAAACCTGTATTGGAGCCTACCGAGGGAAGTAGAGTTACATATGTAGTCTTCATCTGCTTGTGAAATAACTCTTTTCCTTTTTCATTCCAAAAGAAGTAATGTATTGACTGCCTTATGGATTTGATTAATAAAATGCATCTTGCTCAAATCCAGTTTTTACAAGAGGTGATGGTAAATCCCTTTAAAGGAGGGTTTTAAGGCTGTGGCCGAAATGACTTAAGGGGACTAAGGCACTGAATCGTAAAACCTTACCTGAGATTTTTCCTAGGTTAGATACCAATGTTTTAGATACAATTTTGTTGGTGTGGGTATAAGAATAGCATACACTGCTTGAAAAAGATTATACTAGCTGACCACAGAATTTCTGTGTTACTTATGCTGGATAACCATAAATATTTAAGAAGTGCCTAAGAAAAACCTAGGGTTCCAGTTTCAGAATTATATTAAAAAGAATCCAATCATCTAATCTGTTTCAAGGATGGTTCTAGCATCGGTTGTTGATTACATTGAGTATCAGCATAAATTTACATAACAATGAAACAGAATTGACTGTTTTTTCCAGCTGTGCAGACATGTAAAAGTATCATGCTGATGAATTTGATTGACATTTAGTGAGGAAAGTTTCTTCCCGTCATTCTGTCATCAACTATGGATGCTACCTGAATTTACAATGACCCAATCTTTCCCTTCAAATATTTACACTTGGGGAGCCATTTATGCTCATTAATAGGATTGGACAAGATAACAAATAAAAAGATGAGGATGAAAATTACCTCAAATACTTAGACAAATTGACCTAAATAGAAGATAAAAGCTTGTTTAAAGTTCTTAATTTGTGAAACTGTTTTCAAAGAGTACATCCATTGCTTCCGTTTACACATAACGAAATTGAAATACAATCAAAATGACAATATAGATAATAGAATTCACTTAAACCATGTATTCTCAAAGACAAGAACTTCCTATATATTCATAGATTACAGAGCTCACTTGGACAATTATACTCATGAACTTACCAGTTTCTTTTGAATACTTCCATAGTTCAAATAGAATATTATTTTATATAGTCTTTTCCAAATTGCCTAATCATGAACTCAGAAGGATTGAACTGATTAAATGGAAACTAATTAATTCTGAATTATTCAATATACTTCACATTTATTTGGATCAAAATCTGATCCAAATAATGATTCATATGAATCAAAAATATTGATTAATACAAATATCTCAGATAAAATTCTGTACTATTCCTGATAGAAGTGTATTACATTAAGGAATAGCCTTTAAAATTTTTTGAGTAAGTCTTAAGTCTCATATCTCTGCAATGTAATAATTTATCTTTCTCATTGAGGTTTAGTTAATAGATAAGGACAATGATTATGGCATATTGTCATACTACTTACCCATACAAAGAAAACATACTACTTAGCCATACTACTTACCCATACAAAGAAAAACATACTACTTACCCATACAAAGAAAAATGAATTTTGCTTCCGCATGTCTTATTTCAAACCACTTTTTAACATGCATTTCTTCATAGATACATATATATTTAACCTTTACATCCTAAATAGGTTAAAAAGAAGTTGTAATTCGATTTCATTTTATTTTTGTTTATGGAGGCCTACAATGTCTTCCTAGAGCACAAAAGCAAACAGAAGTCAGAGACCCTCCTTTGCAATCTGAAACAGACCTGTGGCTGGCTCCATGACGGCTGTGCCATGGAGGTGGGGCAGCTGGCGCCTGTGCTTTTGAACCCGCCTGTCCTGATATTAACAACATCAGCCTTGAGACTTGAGCTCAGGCCTGGCCCCTAACTTTAAGCAAAGCATCGGAAATGGTATTCATAAAATCTGGATGCTGCTGGGACATTGAAATCGAAGTAATCAAAGCCCAGTCTGTGGCACAGAGGGAAGTAATATTTCCATGTAACTATACGGTAATTCCCAAATTACTAATTCGGTAAGTAAGCTATTAAGTGCAGCTTTTAGAGTGAAGACAGTGATCGAGACTGATACAGAGAACAGATAAACATCGGAAAATCTTAAAAGGCTATGGAGAAGAATTTAGGTACACTTAATGACAGAGTAGCTCTGTGGAAATACGAGATCAAATAAGGAGAACATAACGATTATATCTTAAAATTGAAACTTCTGCATATTACAATAGGAAAATCGGCAATAAATAGTCAATCATCATGATGTTTGGATAAATTCTAGAAACCTAACATTTATTTAGTTTTGTTGATTCTTAAACCAAATTATTTATGTAATTGTGCACATATGCACTCCAGAATTAGAGATGCTTACATTTGAGTTCAGTTTATCGTAAAGGAGGCTCAACTTCTTTAACAGAAAAAAAGATGATAAATATTCTTGTCTTGAAATGTAATTAGGTTTAAATGTGATAGCGTATGAGAAAGCAGCAAGTGTCACTTTCTTTCCTTTCAAATATGAGATATTCAATAATACTAATAGAGCTGTTTACCATTTTACCATTTCCCTAAAATATTTAAGCATGTTATTCATTGGTAGTGAAAATTTTAAGTCTTGAATACGTTTAGGAAATAGAATAAACATATCTATTAGAAAAGATAAAAAATAAAAAGAGCTGTATGCCAATACCATTGTATGTTCTATTAATATATTTTATGTTTGCAGTAAAGTCTTGCTAGATAGTACCTACTACTATAGTACAGGAATTATGCAATGAAATATCAAATTGGCTCCTCTACTTTAGGAGGCCAAATCAAAACTTCACAGCAACAGTAATCAAAACAAACTTTTGAGCCTGTGTATCAAATTGTTTCCCACCTGTTGGGGTGAATGGTGTATTTAGATTAGGGGCCCTTCAGGATCTGCAGGTGCTGGGTCAGCTCCTACCCTCTGAGCCTTGTGATAACCTTCACGGTTACAGGGAACTTCTCGTGAAGGTGAGCAATGGAGAGGAGCTGAGAAACCCAAAAAGAGGAAGGAGTGAATGGATGACGTGGGACCTTACTCTGTGTTGCATCCCCTGGCAGAGCAATTAAAGGTAAGGTGAAGTCCAGACTGGAGTGCCACCCAGGTCAAAATCCCCCCCACCGCATCAAGCAGCATGTTCGACTGGCAAATTTTCCCTTTATCAAATATTTATAAATTAAGGGAAGGCTTACCTTCAATTAAATTGCTTTATTTAGTTAAAACCTAGCAAAAATCAGTAATACTCAGAAATTGGGAATTCCTTGACTGGAAGGTGAAACTGAAGGACATAGAGCCATTCCAGCCATGGGTGGGGAGTTTTGAACATTTGAGAGCAGCCTTTGAGCTCTGTTCTCCAGGAGCATAAAGGAGGAGCCAGAATGGGAGAGAAGAGAGCTTTAAACATTTTTCCAGACAATTCCCCTCAATACATACACACTTTGTAACAGAGACAACTGGTTCAGTATTATACGTGTTGCAAATTTTAAAACCTTAGTATGGATTTGTTTCAGATTTAATACACTGCATATTTATGTTCTCAATCTTTGGTCATTAGACTTGAGTTTGATAGTCATTACTAAGTCCTAATAGTTAAACAAAAGAAAATGAATGGATATATTCTTTAATTATAAGATCGCTTTCCTAAATAGAAAATGAAAATCCCCTGGAGTTTCTGGAATGTCTTTTAAAAATAATTTATTATTGCAATGAACTAGACTCTCTTGCAAAGAGCCTAGTGATGCTTGTGTACCTTTGCACGTTTTTTTTTTTTCTTTTTCCAACCTTTTCTGGGCCTCTAGGGCCCTCTTTAGGATCTGAATACACAAACATATTTTGCACATGTGGGTGTTAGGAAAATGCTATTTGATGATAATGATGATGATTTCCTGAAAGTAAGGGTTGCTCATCAGAGGAATGTGTGACTGTTGGAGGCTTTTGATTAGTTTCTCTTGATCTCTTTTAAAAATAGGATGGTTTTGCTCATCTGTATGGGATGGTAAGAGGGAAGGGTAGTCTTGTCTAAAGGCAGAAAAAGGATGGTCTGACATCAAAACCCCTTCTAATTTTATGATTCTAAGAAGTAGGATCATTTATTCTGAAGAAAAGGCTCAAAGGTTTAGTGTGTAGAAGATGGTGACCAGCTGCTCTTCCCTCACTGATTACAGAAAAGGAAATGTGTTTAAATTTGAGCATGAGCGATTGAGGCTTTGAGGGAAGAATTTCCCAACACCAAGGCTATGTCAAAATCAAGGACAAAAGGAGTCAGAAAATGAATCAGTACATGTCCCCAAGTAGCAGTCTCCTCAAGGTCGAAGAGAACCCTATAATGAGCAGAGGAGAGTGCACCTATATTTTGTTTCTCTTTCTGTCTCTCTCAACATTAGTCTAGTCTTAACTTAGGAAAAATTATAGCACTGTGAATTGTTCATATGAATTCCTGAAGAGCATGGTGATTTATCTGGACCTTCGAATGCCTGGGTTAATGCTCATTAATTTGCATTTGTTAAGAGCTATCAAAGAGTTTATGGGGTGCAGCTCGGGGCCACTAGAAGAGGATTTTAATGTGCTGTTACATTTCTATGTCTCTGTCGCTTAAGAACGACCATGTGTTGTGAATTGTACTAATTTTATTAATTACAGATGTACACACATTGACATTAAAATATTATATTAAAGTCACTGCTCTCCCAATCTTCCACATTAGGTAAAATTATATGAATTCAGATTTTTTAAAGTGGTTTTGCTTGAGGTTTTTGGAAATGTTATTTTAGAAACGATTAAAAGAAGAAGTCAAGGACCTTATCCAGAAATGGTCCTAATATATTGGTAGAAAATGCTTTACAAGCATTCTCTGTATTCTTTATCTGCTTAAACCTTTGGAATAAAGAGAGTGATTGATTAAAATCTATTTGTAATCAGCTATTATGAGGCATGAAACAACATGACAATACCAAATAATAAAAATATCTATAAACCCTATATAAAACTGATTACTTACAACATTATTTTCCTTCATGCCTAACAGCTTAAAAATATCTATTACAAAATATCATTATCAACAGAACTATATTATTTAACTCTTTTACATTATGGACAAACTAATGAGTTTCTATAATTAAAATATCTCTCCATATAAATTTATTGTGACAATTATTAAATGCTAAAAAAAGTCAAATACTCAACATTTAAGATCACCACTAGGATCTACATCAAAAGTCTTCCAATTATTATGTAATAATATCACACACACACACACACACACACACACACACACAATATTGCTTGAGATGCTGTATTTTTGATCACTGGGAAAAAAACCCTAAATGTTATTTGAATTGACAGAGATTTCAGAATATTTACATACGGCTAATTATATTGGTTTGGAGGCACCCAGCTACAAATAATAAAAAAGAGTTTAACAGTGAGAAAAAATGTATTCTGTCTTATCACCAGGAGTTCCTAGGGTAAGGTGGCTCAAGGGTTGTCTGTTCTCACCAGGTCACCCTAGACAGGACTCTCCCCATGCTCAGTGGGCATGAGAACTTCCAGTTCTTACGTACACACATGACCTTGTCCGGCAGAAGAAAAAGAACTGTTCCCCCCTCTCTTTCTTTTGCCAAAAGAAACCTTTTCTGAGAAGCCTCCCAGCACAGCTCTCTTCACTTTCCACTTGACAGAACTAGGTTGTGTTCCCTTGCTAGTCTGCTGGGATTACCAAGACTGGCTTCGGATGACTGAGACTTACCCCAGGGCTGCTGGTAACGTCATCTTCCGTAAATGCGTGGTTATACCAAGGAGGCTGCCAAGAAGTAAAAAGAACACTGTTGAGTAGGCAACAAATACCGTCTCCAAAAATACACACACATCCAAAGTAAACATATTTTCTGTTTTATTTGTTAAGCCATAATGTGATAGAAATGTCATCCTGTATGCATATCCACACACATATACCAAGAAAAGAAGTGAAAACAGTAATAAAAGCAAACCAAAGAAATCAGACTAATCACAATCATTCACATCAAGAAACAGAGACCAACTCTTCTAATTCCACTTGCTTACTGCACCAGCCAGATGGAAAGTTGCTTTTAAATTATGCCAGATTTTTCAAACCATCATAACAAAATGTAGTTATCATTTTTGCATGCTTTTCATACTGAAGTAAAAGAAACATCTTAGAGTTTATTCTTAATATAACCAAATTCTTAATATTTTCATTTATTCAGTGAACTGGAAAGT